>NC_000005.10:93140110-93443140 GCF_000001405.40 Homo sapiens | reverse complement strand
GAGAAGAGGCACTCTGATTTTTAGAATTTTCAGCTTTTCTGCTCTGGTTTCTCCTCATCTTTGTGGTTTTATCTACCTTTGGTCTTTGATGATGGTGATGTACAGATGGGGTTTTGGTGTGGACGTCCTTTCTGTTTGTTAGTTTTCCTTCTAACAGTGAGGACCCTCAGCTGCAGGTCTGTTGGAGTTTGCTGGAGGTCCACTCCAGACCCTGTTTGCCTGGGTATCACCAGCAGAGGCTGCAGAGCAGCAAATATTGCAAAACGGCAAATGTTGCTGCCTGATCCTTCCTCTGGAAGCTTTGTCTCAGAGGGGCATCTGGCTGTATGAGGTGTCAGTCGGCCCCTACTGGGAGGTGTCTCCCAGTTAGGCTACTCAGGGGTCAGGGACCCACTTCAGGAGGCAGTCTGTCCATTCTCAGATCTCAAACTCTGTGCTGGGAGAAGCACTGCTCTCTTCAAATCTGTCAGACAGGGACGTTTAAGTGTACACAAGTTTCTGCTGCCTTTTATTCAGCTATGCCCTACCCCCAGAGGTGGAGTCTACATAGGCAGGCAGGCCTCCTTGAGCTGTGGTGGGCTCCACCCAGTTTGAGCTTCCCAGCCACTTTGTTTACCTACTCAAGCCTCAGCAATGTCGGGTGCCCCTCCCCCAGCCTCACTGCTGCCTTGCAGTTTGATCTCAGACTGCTGTGCTAGCAGTCAGCAAGGCTCCATGGGCGTGGGACCCTCCGAGCCAGGTGCAGGATATAATCTCCTGGTGTGCCATTTGCTAAGACCATTGGAAAAGCACAGTATTAGGGTGAGGGTGTCCCGATTTTCCAGGTACCGTCTGTCATGGCTTCCCTTGGCTAGGAAAGGGAATTGCCCAACCCCTTGCGCTTCCTGGGTGAGGTGATGCCCCGCCCTGCTTCAGCTCACACTCTGTGGGCTGCACCCACTGTCCGACAAGCCCCAGTGAGATGAACCTGGCACCTCAGTTGGAAATGCAGAAGTCACCCATCTTTTGTGTTGCTCACGCTGGGAGCTGTAGACTGGAGCTGTTCCTATTTGGCCATCTTGGAACCCCCAGCTAGCAAGCATTTTCTATAAAGGGCCAGAGAGTAAATATTTTAGGTTTTGTGGGTCATGCAGTCTCTGTTATAACTGTCATTACTCTTTCTCCTACTCAGCTCTGTCATTGTACCACAGAAGTAGTCATAAGTGTGCTGTATTCCAATGAAACTTTATTTACAAAAACAGGCATTGAGTAGTTTGCCCTGCAGGCTGTACTTTGCTAACTTCTTAGGGAGAATCTTACAAAATTATGACTGCCTTCTGTTGAGCATCTACACATGGTATATAATGTTACAGGCACATTGGATTGTTTTTTAACTAATTTTTATGACAAAGAGGAAGCCAAGGCTCAGGAAGCTTTAAAGTTGCAGAGTCATTCCTAGAACATGGATTTATCTCCACAGTGATGTTATACTTATTCTTACTCTGAAGTAGAATGCTCTACAAGTTTAAGAACTTTGTTTTCCATATCTAAAAGAACTTGGTTATAAAGTTGAGCTACCTTGATCTTTCTGAAATCATTTCATTTCAGATAGTGGCCAAAGAAAACTCTGACAATTTAAACTGGGGGCAACCGACTAATGACCTCCAGGCCACCAGAATTTCCCTCAGCTGTTTGCACTGTTGGGATCACAGACATTCTTGAAACCTGCCATGGTACATCAGTTGACTTGAAGGTCTCTCTTCTTTGACTTTTTTGAGGTGCTATGTTGATCACTCTAGGTAAGGTATTGGAAGAAAGCTTAGCAGCATTCTAAGCTTCTCTTTCCAAAATTCAGAACCAGAGGCCAGAAGTACCTCAGGTCTTTGGAAAGGATAGTGGGCAAAGATAAAGGTCTTTGATGCTAAAAAGTTAATGAACAAGTTGTCCAGTTTAGCTGTCATCCTATCTTCACCATCTTCGTTCTTCTGGCCTGGAAACAAACTTGATTTATGTAGAGATTACATTCAACTCTGCCTTACATGAAAAAGATGATTAATTTCTATAATCACAATACTTTATGTTATCTCTAAAGTTTTCAAAGGTGAAGAAATATTAGGTTTAGTAAAAATGTAAGAAGGTGAATATTAGCAGCATATAGTTAATAAATGGTCTAGTATTTGTATTTTGGAAGTTTAAGACACATTTTCCTATTGGGTTTTTGGAGTAAAGGAGTAAAGTAAGATGATCTACATTGTTGCTGTATACAGGCCTTTCCAGTTGTAAGAAATGTTTGGAGGCTTAGATGAGATAAAAAGAATATATTTGAAAAAATGCATTTATTTTTCCTCATGAAAGCTGGTAGTGCTGAAACTGCAAACCTAGGACTAGGAAGGCTGTTGAAATTAGGGAAAACATCAGTGACATGGCATGTCAGTGTGTGTATTAAAGTGCTTCAGAAAAACAGAACCAATAAGATGTAGATATCTTCAGAAACAGAGTGAGTGAGTGAGTGAGAGATTTACTATAAAAAACTGGCTTACTTGATTGTGGAGTCTGAGAAACCCAGACTAGGGAGAGCTCGTGGTATAGTTCCAGCTGGAGTCTGAAGGTCTGAGAACCAAGAGAGCCAATAGTGTAAGTTCCAGTCTTGTACAAGTCTGAAGGCGGGAGAAACCAGTGTCCTAGTTTGAAGACAAGTAGAGAGAAAGAATTCCTTCTTACTCAGTCTTTAATTCTATTCAGGCCTTCAATGGGTTGCTCAACGCCCATCCACATTGGAGAGACCAATCTGCTTTACTCAGTCTACTGATTCAAAAGTTAATCTCATCTAGAAATATCCTTGGAGACATACCCAGTAACAATGTTTAATCAAGTTTCTGGGCACCCCATGGCCCAGTCAAGTTGATACATAAAATTAACTTTCTCTGTGTGTGTGTGTGTGTGAGAGAGAGAGAGAGAGAGAGAGAGACAGAGAGAGAGAGCGAGCGAGAGAAAGAGGATTGAGGGAGAGAGAGAATGTGGGTGGAGATAAGAAAAACTCCACAGCCTAAACTTTCCTTCTCCTCCTTTTTAAAAAGATTGTAATTCCCTTTTTTACTTTCCAAAGACTTATCTGATTATTTATCTGTTTATAATGAATAATTACTGATTGGGTGTCTATTATGTGCTAGGCATGATGCTACCACTGGGGATAAAATAATGAGTTAGACACATTGTCTTCAAGGAGGTTACTGTCTAGTTGGGGAGATAAGCAAATATATCATTTAAATACTGTGTACTAAATGCTGAAACATGATGAGCAAGTATTAAATGCTAAGAGAATTCATAGGAAAGACATCCAATGCTACTTTGAGAGTCAGAGGAGCCTTCCTGGAGGAGATAAAATTTAAGCTAAGTAATGAAGAGGGGCTTAATCAGACAAAAAGCCAAGAAAATCTGTTCAAGGCAGAGAAAACATCATGGATGAGAGATGAGGATGGAGGCTTGGTCTGAACTTTCCCCATTCCATCTACATGATTCAACTGATTTGAGCATTTTTTAACATCAGACATTTTAAAAGAAAAGCCTTGGCCGGGCGCAGTGGCTCACGCCTGTAATCCCAGCACTTTGGGAGGCCGAGGCGGGTGGATCACGAGGTCAGGAGATCGAGACCATCCTGGCTAACACAGTGAAACCCCGTCTCTACTAAAAATACAAAAAATTAGCCGGGCGAGGTAGCGGGCACCTGTAGTCCCAGCTACTTGGGAGGCTGAGGCAGGAGAATGGCGTGAACCCCGGGGGGCGGAGCCTGCAGTGAGCCGAGATCGCGCCACTCCACTCCAGCCTGGGTGACAGCGAGACTCCGTCTCAAAAAAAAGAAAAAAGCCTTTTTATTGGGTGCCATGAACTAAAAGGAAAAGATGTGGCACTAATTGTCCATTCAAAAATCTAATAACAAGAAAGTAATATTGCTTACAGATGGCACATTCTCTTCATCAGAATAAATGTGGCTGGCAGTGAGTAAAGTAATAATGGTCCTTCTTGGCTATGTTAGGTCAATTTTTGGTTACCAGTTCTAACAGAGGAAGTCATTGAGTTTAGTCAGATTCAAATCTTTTTTCCCTGCTTTACTGAGGTATAATTGACAAATAAAAATTGTATATATTTAAGGTATACAACATGATGCTTTGATATATGTTTACATTGTGGAATGATTATTACAATTGAGGTAGTTTACATATTCATCACCTTACATAATAACCATCAAATCTTTTTATGAATAAGGAAGAAAGGAACTCTGGCAGTTCCACTAAGGTTCAGCTCTCTTAGAGTGCTCCTTCTAGGCCATAGCACCCAGCTTATCCTTTTTCTCCCAAGTCTTTTATGTTAGAAGTGGGACTAATCTCTTGTTTTCTCCTCTTCCACCTCCTTTCCCCCTCAGGTGAAACAGTCGCAAATGGAATTCCAAGAAACATTCTATGTAAGTCCTGGCTTTGAAATACTTTGTCATCCTAAGAAGCTTGGACTTTATCCTGTCAAAGAAATGACAAATCAGATCATTCCAGCTGCAGTATGGAGAATAGAGTGAAGTGGGGTAACACTGGTTTAGTGGCACAAATTAAGCATCTACGTAAGAGAGGATAATGACCTGAACTAGGGTTAAAGTAGTGGGGATGGAGATAAATAGATAGTTTGAGAGAAATTAAGCAGATAGAATGACTAGGACTTGGCAGTTGACTGGATATGGTGGGCCTGGTGAATGAGAGGCAGGAGTCAAGATTGATGGTCAGGTTTCTGACTTGGGCAGTGGGTATATAGTGATGCTTGTACGAAGATTGAGAAAGTAAAAGGGAAAGTAAATATCAAGCAGTTTCAAGCAGCAGTCAGCTGCTGGGCTGGCTCACCACACTTCTGTAGATTCCGTTGAAAAGGAGACAATGAGCCTAGATAGATTTAGACAGTTTATTACTCAAAGCAAAGTAGGCAGCATGATCTTCATGCATCTATGAATTCCCCAAATCCCATGATACAGAGTGAGGCCCAGACAGATGCTGTGTACACGGTGGACCTGTGTCCTCCCAATCTTATAAGAGGCTACTTGCAAACTTGCCCAAAATCATTGTCCTGGAGGTTGACATTATCTTTGTTATGCTGGTCAGGAAACAAATGTACCCTCTAACCCAGAAGCATATCCTGTCTTTACTCAGAGACAAATAAAAACACCATGGACAATTACCTTTCAACAGTAAGAGAATGCTTTCCATTTTGGACATAATGAATTTGAAATGCCCATGATATCTAAATAAAGGTATTCAGTAGATAATAAGCTGTTTTGAAGGAATATTTGGTATAGTGTTTATAGAAATGAGATAATAAAACAATAAAATATATAAACTTTGGCTATGTTAATAACGTGATAGTTGCTTGTAAGATAGTTACAGCAGGTGGTTACTGTGTTGCCTAATTAAACATCATGATAGAATCTTAATATGTGTAAAATTTATAATTTTATTCATCACAAACTGAATTCACCTAGGCTTAGTCCTCTGCTGCTTTTGAGGTTTGATGATCTGCTAACAATCTCAGAAAATGAGAGAGTTGTGTGGTGGCAGTATATTTATAACACACTATGGAACTGGCCTTATAACTGTGACTTTTGCCTGCTTTTAGTCCAGACCAGCCCTCTTCAATAGAAATAAGATAAATGCAAACATCAAATGTGAGCCACATACATAATTTAAAAATTTCTAGTAGCCACATTAAAAAACCTAAAAGGAAGCAAGTGAAATTAATTTTTATAATATACTTTAACCCAATATATCGAAATATTGTTTCAACATGTAATCAACATAAAATTATTAGTGAGATATTTTACATTTTTTTCATGCTAAATCTTTGAAATCCGGTGTGTATCTTACATTTACGGCTTATCTCAATTTGGACTTGACACATTGCAAGTGCTCAATAGCTATGTGTAGCTATTGACTACTATTTTGGACAGTGCAATTCTAGACCTCAAGAACAAGAAGTTATATTTTATCATGTATGATGAATATAGTTTTTCTTTGTATGTTAGAGGACTAAATACTGTGGTATGTTTTTTATCTTAAACAATTGAATACCAAGAATAGCTAACATTATAATGAAAAAACAAATGGTCAGTGAATTTACATGGTATTTAATTTTTTTTTTTTTTTGGAGATAATGAGTTTCACTTAAAATCAGCTAGGTATTACTGTGTCTAATATAGGCATCTTGGAAGGTAAATTAGGGCTGTAGGTTGTATCATTAGGTCCTTGAGTGTAAACCTCTCCAGGATTTCACTAAGTGGACCAGGTAGTCAGGTGATTTAAATTATAATTAATGTTCATCCTTTACCCTTGGGAATATATTACGTGTTGGTAGAATTTGTTCCATTATTTTATATAATGAGGTGCCTCATAATTTTGTGGCTTGTGAACAAATGTTCACATTTGTGAACTTATTTACCATGTTGACAAATGTATTGGCTTTATAGTACAGAAGCATCTCAAAAACCTAAAAGATTTCTGTTAAGTAATTTAATGAAAAACAGACATTGATGGGAAAAGTCAGCCATCCTAGTGCCCTCAATACAGCAGTTGGAAATAATATACTTTTGAATGTCTGAAATATGTTAGTGGTTTTAGAAAAAGACTAGGTAAGTCATTTGAGAAACTTAAGAAGACCTAAGAAACTGGCAATACATGGTAATAGCTTACTGAGTTTGCTTTGGGTAAACTCAGTAAGTCATGGAACTTGCTATGCATTTTGGTGGGGATACCTTTAATTCTAATTGGTGAAATGCAGTCACTTTGAATTGTATGTTGAGGGAATGTTCTCAGGGAAAAGTGAGTTTCTGTGTTGAATGACTAAGTGAAAGCACTTGACTATTTGTAAAGCCTGTGGGTATCTCTTTGATGTTGATTATTATCTGTGATTGTTTGTTGAGGGTTTTCTGTTTGTTTTTTAAAACACTTGGGAAAAGCAAATGGTGAGTGTTACAATTTAAACAGATTTTCTTTTAGAGAATGTTCTGTAGGAAAAGACAAATAGTTCTACTTGATCCTTGTTTGTTGATGCTTTTATTTGATTTCATATTTATTGATACAAACAGCTTTAAACATTAGATTAATTCTATAATAAAGTGATACAGAAGTGGATGTGTTATGGGGAATAGTATTGAATAAAGAAGACAGAAGCAGTAGGGTGGGTAACATCTACTTTGTTTTCATGACCCAGAAGGACTGTGTGTGTACCAGTAGGCACTTTATGGAGTTTGTCAATCCACTATGGTAAAATAATCCAACAAAGGTTAATGCCATGTTTGTGACTTAACCATTGATGGGTTAAACCAATTGTCTTGCTTTGGGATGAAACCTTGGAAATGAAGGGGTTATCATCAAAGGAGTTTTACTACAATAAAGTAGTCAAAGAAGGCCTACCTGAGAAGAGGATGATAGAACTATGACTTGAAGGAAATGGGGGAGCGAGCCCTGATGGGGCATCAGGAGGGGCATTCCAGGCAGAGGGTATGGTGGGTGCCAAGCCCTACTGCAGGAGCATACCCAGTAGTTTGCAGGAACAGTGTGGTGACCAAGTGGCCACAGAAGCAAAGGGGCTACTATCATTTATTGTCTTCTCTATTTTCTAGGTACTATTTATACAAACTTGAAATGAGGCAAATTGGGGAAAAAGTGTTATAGTGGAACAATCTATTTTAAACTTTTAAAAGCATTGCTTGGAAATAAATCAGAAAACAAATAAAGTGATAATACAGCTCCAATTATGATGGGACATGTCAGAAAACCATGGAAGTCTGATAGATCAAAGGGCTTCTCACTGGCCAAACTCAGACAATTTGAGTTTCAAAATAATGAGAATAATGATTTCAACCCATTAAATAAAAATAAAAAAATCATGAGTTCACACTTAAACAAACAAGGGAGTAGGATACTAACTGATAAATGTAGGAGGAATGATAATATTAGAAAATCACCATTTTGCAACCACTATAGCAATTAAACAAATTATCAGTGGATGCTAAACCAGTGAATGAGAATCTGATGAGGACCAGCATATTTACAAGATCTTAAAAAGCATCTACCCGTAAGTTACTTTTTACTTACAAAGCATAAAATAGGTTTTAATTACAAAGAACTTTATAGTGGAGTAACCAGGTAGATACCACCTTAACAACTTAAGTAATCAGAATTAACATTGCCAATAATTGGACAAACCAATATCATGTACTTCCTGATGTGATTCACTGAGAAGAACACAACATCATTTATATAATATTGCTGTCCAAAATATGTAACCTAAATCTAATTATAAAAAAAATTAGACAAGCCCAAATTGGGGGATTTTTACAAAGGAAATTGCATGTACTATTTACAAAGGTCAATGTTGTGAAAGACAATGAAAGGATGATTCTGGACCAGAAAAACAAAAATTGCCATACAGCACATTTTGGGGACAATTGGAAAAATTCAAATAAGTTCTACATATTACATTAGATAATAGCATTATGTCAATATTAAATTTCCTGATTTTGATTATTGTAGTTTGACCCTGTAAGTGAATATCTTTTTTCTTGGGAAAGTCACACAGAACTGCTTACAGGTAATGAAACATGGTATCTGCAATTTACTTTCAAACAATTTAGAGAAAAAAGTTATACATAGAGAAGAGAGGGGGAAGGGGAAGGGCAAGAAAGAATGATACAGCAATTGTGGCAAAATGTTAACAATGTGGGTCAAACACAAACAGGAGTTCTTTATACGATGCCTGAAACTCTTCTGTAAGTTTAAAATTATTTGAAAATAAAAAGTTGAAAACAAAAAGTGATAGTGGGCTGGATGAATTGGGCCTGGAACTCTCCTTCTGTTTGGTGCCCCACTTCATCCATTTTCTTCTAAGAAGGACCCTGAGGCACCCCTGAATATAATTTGAAGATCACTGCACTAAACTGATCATCCCTTCTAGCAATGAAAAAAAGGCAAAAGCCAATAGTTTTATAGGTAATAAGAAAGGACACACTAATGTTTCATTAGCTGTAAGAAGAGACTACTTGTCCTTTTAAATATTGCTAATGTGCAGATATTATTGGTAAATATTGATAGACGCTAAAAAAAGAGCATATGGGAAAAAAAGAGCATATGGAAAAAAAATAAGGCAAAGTCTACACTTGGCCTGAGGGCTCTGGGAATTGTGAGGGAGGCTGCGTGTAGGTCATTAGGAAGAAATTCAAGTAGAGGCAATAAATTTTACTTTTGGTAAAAGTAAATACGTGCAACTGAAATGAGGCATAGGAAGGAGTGAAGTGTGGAAATTCTGATCAGCATAATTATTTAAGTTTATAATCATAGTTAAGGATGGCTCCTCTCACTAAATGACAAGGTCATAGTGACTTTTAAAACTAGAGGACAGATAAAAAATGATTCAGAATAGACAAGGAAGCAGTCAAAAGCATTGAGCAATGTCAAAAGCATCCTACTTCAGGCCACTTTAACACTTGTACTGAGTCAGTACCATCTCTATACAGTCATGTGCTACATAATGTCATAGGTTTGTATAAGTCCATCCTGTGATGTTCACATAATGATGAAATTGCCTGACAATGCATTTCTCAGAACATATCCCTGTTGTTAAGCAATGTATGACTGTACTTGGAGATAGCATTCATTACGTCAAAAGAGAGGAACCCTGCCTGAGCCAGGTATCATTTCTTTGTTTCTTAGAGTTAACAACATAATCTCCAGTCAGTGTAGTACTTTGAGAAGAACAGAATTTGAAGGTCTAGAAAACAATGTGGAACTACTGGAATTATGGGATTATCATGGGCATGTAAATAGCATATAGATTGTTTTAGGCTGGCTACAAGGGAATTCTAGTTTCCTTAAAGGAGAAAACCCAACAACGAAGAAGAAAATAAATTATCTTTTGACCTAATTCATGTGCGAAATACTAAAACTTTATATCTCACTAAGAGATAAGGTATAACAAAAGTGGGGAAATTAGTCTATAAGATACGAGAGAACTTTGTTTTCAAAACTGCCACAATGTATCAGAAATTATAAGGGGTGGTCATGGCATAGGAGAAGCATGAAAATATACTTTACTAAAAGTTGAATAATGCATATATCAAAATGAACAAGAAGAGCAGTAATGCTCACAATGTGCCAGTGATAGCATGTATAAAACCTGTGGTTTCTTGGCTATTTGGAAAATAATAAAATGAAAAATGACTTCTAATGGACAAATGTGATATACTGTTATAAAATAAGCCTTTCTTAAAGATTAGGAAAAATAGAAATTACACAAAAAGATATGGGAAAATCTGTAACTTCAACCTTTGTGGGCATGGTATGAGAGCAGGTAGTACCGAATTAAGGAGGAAAACATGCTGACAAAAGAAGCTATAATTGTAGGCAGCGTACAGGCAGGGTGCTTTGTGAAGTTCTGCCAGGGAACAGCTATGACGCATCAGCAGTAGTTGGAATGGAGAAATAGGGGAATGGATAATTTAATGACCATTTAAAATAGTTATTTTACTCTCTGAGATATGGTAAGAAGGGTAACCAAACCCAATGCTCCAGGACACAAGTGATTGGCTAAAGGAGTCAGGAAGAAGTGTTTGTTGTTCTAGTTGGTGTAGCCTTGCTCAGCTACTTAGGTACCCTCTATGTGTTCCTTTCCTAGCATCAGGTATTATCTACTGCTGTCTGCAGAATTCAGACATGGAGGGCTCAATGGTGTCCCCTGGTCTTTGGAACATTCTGTATTTTAATGATCATGGTAAGTACTTGGAAAATATGCAGCAAATATAGAGATGTTGGTGTTTCAGTAGAATTAATGACCACATCTGATTTTTGACTGGTGTTTTCATTGAAATCATCGGGTCTAGTGATGATTTCCTGGTCAATTTTTACTAAAAGAATTGACTATATATAACATCTGACATTTTTTATTCTTATAATGGACTAGGTCTTAAACACTGAACCACAGTTCTGCCCAATGAAAAGCACAGGTGTTCTGACAAGCAATAATAATAAATAAGATGTGGTATTTTTATTTTGTCAAGTAGTATACATGCATATAGTCTATGCAGGGAGTCAGAATACAAGGCTGCTTTAACAGCAATCAAATTTTGGTAGAATGTACTTGATTTTAACATCTTCCTTTTAGACCGGTATTTTAAAGAAGATCAGAAAAATTACTCATTCTGGGAACAAAGACTTTTGAAAGCTGTCAGCTCACTGACAGTTATGATGAGCATTTATTTCAGGCTTATAAAACATATTAATCAAACTCATTTACAGTGTGGTGGTCCAAAGAGGGTTATTTTATTTTTGAGAGATACTTTAAGTAAGTGAAGAGCACTGGTAACATGTACTCCATGAATACAAAGCTACAATGTGTTTTTCGTCTTCAAAATGAGTAAATACTTTTCTTGGGTTTACGGAATGAAACATACTGCAGGATTCTGTTTATTACAAGACTATTTGCAAAAGACCTATGCACCATTCATTGCACCTTGAAAAACACTTGAAAATATGGGTTGCATTTGCAAACTTCAGTGTATGACATGGAAATCTGGCAAGCTGCCTGGTGTCTACTTAAAGGATTGTCATTCTGGGAAAAATAAATTTCTCTAACTAGACAAAAGTCAATGTTTTCATGTTTTACTGCAATCAAACTGATAGAGCTGACAATTTAATGTCTCAACACTTAAAATATCTGTGGATAATCAGTTACCTCAATCAATCATAAACACAAATCCGTCTATTTTCAAAGCTTGTGTGTCTGTGACTAAGATATAAAACAGTTTGGTGAGACCCATCCCCCACAACACCTCATCATCTCCCCCCCACCATCATCTCAGTAGTCCTGATTTGTCTTTAGCTATGCAGATATTTATACACATTATGCATCTGGAAATAACTTTTAACAACTCAAGTGTGATCAAATTTAGAAAGTTTTCTTTCACTGTCCTGTTTTATTTAATTTTTATGGGTAGTTTATAGCCTGTATGGCTGTCAGAAAAATGTGTAACTGTGCTGGCATTCCAGCTGAAGACATCATTACGAGTGAAAAAATGCTCAAGGCTTTTTCAAAGTGGGTGCTGAAACATACATTTCCCTTCTCTGACTCCAGGGGATGCTGGTAGCTACCCCAAACAGAGGTATTTTGGGGTCAGATGGTATAGTGCTGACCCCTTAGGATTTCCTGGCAGGCACACTGGATGGCTCATTTCTGGACACTCACCATGATGATGATGATGATGATGATGATGATGATAAAGCAAGGGAGACAGTGACAACACAAAAAGGCTCCTGAGGAATTGGATTCCAGGTAGCTCTAGATTTGGCAGAACTGACAGGTTCAGTTCACTAAGCTTTGGTATTGATAATGACGGGAAACTTCAGACAGTTTTAGAAACCTGTTTCTATTAAGATATGCATGGCATTTCTGCAACATGAGAACAAGTTTACTGGGCCACACCATTCTTCTTTCGGCATAATAAGAATTGATGTGAGAATTTTACATTCCTAACAGATAATTACTCTGAATACTGAATAAGCCAAATTTCTTGTTTGGAGTATTTTTTGATATATTTTTAATGGTGTATATGTATATATCGACATACACATTCACCACCAATGCCTCCTTTTTGTTTCTTTGATTATTTGGAGCTTTGCAATCAAACTAAGCAGTTTTAGGACCCTTGGGGCAGCATCTTTTAGTTCCCCGTCAGGCAGCGTTGCAAAGCAATCAATCTTGCTCTCACTCTCACTTGGCGGAAGTGCCACGACACGAAGAGTGCAGTGCTTCGCTCTTGCCATGAAGCCTGGGTGACAAAAGTTTTTACAAGAAGCTGACTGTATTTGGGGTTATGAATATGCAATAACTCTCATTAGTATTGAAGCACCAGAGCAGGGGCTGACATCCCCCGCCACTTTGAGTTGCTGCAGAATCGACTAATGAATTGTCTCACTCCCTCACTCACACAGTCTGCTATTGTGGCTCCTAAGTTCCAAGGGGAGTTGCCCATTTTGAGAAGACCATTGACTGCAAAAATTAATTGTCGAGGACTACTCTTGATTTCATGAAACAATGTTTAGACAGTGCTTAGATTGTCAAAACAGAAAAGCACTAAACTCTGCATAAGATAATAACATGAATAGAAAAATTTAGAGACACAAGAAGGTATATATTATGTACTTATATTCATCATTGTGTACAGATATGCTTCCATCCTGGATCATTGTACAATATGTGTAACTGTATATAGATGAAACCAAGTCACAGAAACCTGACATTCTGTTGGTTTGTCTATTATCCTTCCAAATGGAACAGAGATGATAGAAAATTCCCAGAATGAATAGGGTTGAAACACAAAGATATTCCATCAATTCTTTACCATATTCTTTCTTTTGTATTCTTGGGTCTCTGCCAAACATTTTGCAGCTCATACACATACCATCTTTCATGAATATGTTACTGATAAGGATATGTTTATAGCCACTGATTAAGATATCTGAGCTGATTTGCAGTGTGTAAGAAGATGCAAAAGAGCTCAGAAACCATTTAGAATGTCCCCTTTCAATAGAATAAATTAAATGTGTTTTTCCACATCCCTCCTCCCTTGAAATTTCCTTTCAACTAGAAGAGCACTTCTGTGACTTGCTGCAGATTGTCACAGGATGGATTGAATTGAAATTGATAATATATGCTAAAAGGTAAGGGATATTTTGTAAGCTGTGCAAATATGGCAGTGAACAAAGAGTTAAACTCTTATATTAGGATGCTTGCTTCTGTGGTCATTTATTTAATCTGCAATGTAAAGTCATCCCTTGCAAGGAAGTAGATATTTGTTATTTCGTAGAGTTTTAGAGGTTAGTGTTATTATAATTGCTGTATCTGTTTGACCCATCACTGGAAACAAGAAAAAAAATAAAGTAAAAGAACCACATACATATAAGAGTACCAAGAATGAGTATAGCATAAAAATAAATGCAGCTCTGACAAAAGTGGCTCAAGTATCATACATCAAACACTTGTTGCCTCTGCTGCCTTTAGTGACTGCACATGACTAAGAACAAATCAGTGATAAAATCTTAAGAAAGATGAAGCCAGTCTGGGCCTTTGCAAAGACCATTAGTCATTCTACAAAGCCATAATATTATTTGTTCAAGTAACCCTTGGCTTCCAATTTAATGGACATAATATGCATCCACCCCAGTTCAAAGCCACAGAGAGAATTTTTAAAAATTGGATACGTCTTAGAGAGTACCAATCAGATCTGATCACAAAACAAGCTACTAAATTATTCAGTTTTATTACTAAATTTGCATTCTAGCTGTACTTCAATGCAAGTATAGGGTTTAAAATTTTTACTGTTTTTAAAGTACTTATATAATCAGAAGTGAAGTACCTGTACAATCACAAGCATTTCCTGATTTTTCTGATGCCATTTCCCTAGATATCCAAACATTTTCTATTATAAGACAAAAGTCTACCTGGGTACATCAGAATAAACTATTTAACTCTATGGAATACACTTGGATTTTAAAATACAAAACTGGAAACAGATCCATTGGAACAATTATGGCTAAGCACAACCTATTCAGGTTTAATAGAAATATTAATACCTGTTACTATGAATAAGATAATCACATTACAAGTGAAAATAGTTTTAATTGAAATATTGTAGTTTTGATTTGGCACTGTAATTAGCATCTGTATTTTAAACTTTGTGACTGCTGTGAACATTATTTATGGAAGGTTTATATTAATATAATTTGGTGCTTGTTGCTTTTATCAAATATTGGTGTCTAATGAAATAAAGTGCAAAGAACTTGAAGTTCTCACATTTTTGTGAGTGATTTGCTGACAATCATTTGCTGTACCTCCTTTTCCACACACAACCACAATACAATTGTAAGAGCAGGTGAAATAATATATTACATTGCTTCTATTTATATTATGTTAAGCTCTCTTACTACAAACCTGAAATAGAATTTGGATACTTAACAAGAGAACAGCAAATATGAATATGGATTTAGGCAATTATTTGATTGCTCATTCTATACTGTATAGCATCCATAACTATATTTAGCATTTTGATATAGTTTATGAAGTGGACCCAGAATTGGACTACCCTATAGCAGACAGTGCTGGAAGTCACAGACAGATTCATCCTCCCTCGCTCCCTCTCCCCTCACCTCTCTCTCTCTCTCTTTCTCTCTCTTTCACATACACATGTATGCTCTCATAATGGGGAGGGAAAAGAATGAAGAAGAGTTCAGCCTTTGATGAACTTACCTAGAATTTTGCCATCAGAAACTATTTTAATTTAAAAACATACGTGTACATTTTGTCCTTTATGGTTTAGTATTTTTTTAATTTACATGTGAATGTGGGGCACCATAGTCATTTCAGTCTTTAGGATCTCTAGAGGTCTTGGTCTGAACTTGAACAGACCAAAGAATTTACTGTCAGCAAGTGGTATTTATACATTTCCTTGTCAGCCATGAATTAACAATTATTGAGTACAAATCTGGGTGCTGAGAGTAGGGACAGGTGGACTAGGAAAATACAGAAAACAGAATCTTGGGTAACAGGAAGTTTACAATGTAGCTGGGGTGAAAGATCATGGGTAACAGTGGAGTTTCATTTACAGGGTTAGATGTCAACAAAAGTAGATTGGTTTAGTGCTCCCGAAGTGCAGAAGTGTTTCAGGGTTGTCACTGAGATGTGAGAACAGCCTCAGGAGGGACAACTGTAGGGACTTCTCATAGGAGTTCTTGCTTGGATTTTGGAAAATTAAACATTTTATTAAAACTTGGCTTTACTTTGAAACAGGATATAAGTGTGTCTAAAACTCATTTTATTTTGATTTCAATGGCAATATTTCCTTTAGAAGCGATATAAAGTTTATAATTGTGTGTTTTGTAGTGTTCTTTAAATTTTTTTCACTTAAAAAAATTGTATCCTTAGGTAAGGAGGAAATTTGTTTACTACCATTACAGTTGCCCCTTTTAAATGAAGGACAAGGGCAAGAGATTATACATGAAAAAGATCAGAGTAACATTTAAATAACTGTTTCTTCCTTAACTAACTCTTCAGTAGTCTTGTCTAGGTATACTTATAAATGGTGATTCCATATCGATGCCCAGAAAAATTATGCAAGTCCCAAAGTCCTAAATTATGCAGTTCCCAAGTCCTGTACTACCAGAAATGGTCATTATATGCCTTGGCGGGAGGGGGGGAACTTTTATTACTTGGTTGGATCTCTAAAAACTGATGTAACTTTCATCACTAGCCACAAGCCCAGCTCTCAGTAAAACTGCGAAGTTGTTTATCTGCCACTCTTTACTTTCCCACTCTTCTTCCTTTTACCTTTTTCCCACTCTTCTCAGATGGCAATAAAAAGGGCTTGTGGTTACCCCCTGCCAGGGGCATTTGCTTTTTAAACAGGAGACTTTGTGATTTGATATGAGTGTTGGGTGTATGGCAGGTACTGTGCTAGCTGCTTTACATGTGTTACTGCAACACAGATAATTGTATGGATGAAAAAAGTAGTGCAGAGATATGCACAAAATGAATTGTCAGTATCACACAGGTAGTTAGGTTTTGAGTCCTAGTAGTATTTTTGACTCCAGAGCCTATGTTGTTTGTATTACATCAAAACATGTTCAGACCTTGAATAAATTATGCTAGAAGTTCAGGCTTTGTGCCAGTCCCACAGGAAAAAATGCTTTTGGCAAGGAGCATTGCCCTGCCTGGTGCCCTTCAAATGAGATGAGGTGGGCCGGGCATGGTGGCTGATGCCTGTAATTCCAGCACTTTGGGAGGTCAAGGTGGAAGGGTCACTTGAGATCAGGAGTTTGAGACCAGCCTGGCCAACATGGTGAAACCCCATGTCTACTAAAAATACAAAAATTAGCTGGGCATGGTGGTTTGTGCCTGTAATCCCAGCTACTCAGGAGGCTGAGGCACAAGAATACCTTGAACCTGGGAGACAGAGGTTGCAGTGAGCCAAGATGGCACCACTGCACTCCAGCCTGGGTGACAGAGTGACAGAGTGAGACTCTATCTTAAAAAAAAAAAAAATTAGGTGAGATGGATCTAATTAGTTCTGCTAACTCATGAGGCCAGTTTTGTATTTGTACCTTAAATCTTTTTTAATGTAGGCATATCCCAGGGAGACTTTAATCTTTGTTTTAAATTTAATTTAATTTATTGAACGTTTATTGAATGCCTGTTCTTTGCCAGACATTGTGCTAGATGCTGGTGGTACAAAGACAGTCTATTTAAGGAGAGAGACTTTATAAGACATTATAAATAACTATAATACAATTCACTGAATGATATAATAGAGGCAATGCAAGGGATCATGGGAACGTATGAGGGAATAATTAATTATGCCTTGAGGGAAGGTGTCAGGGAATGCTATATTTGATCAGAGCCTTGAAGGACAAGCAATAAGAATTTCCCAGAAGGACAGGAGGAAGTTGAGAGTTCGTTTTAAGTGATGGGAACAGCATGAGCATGTGTGTGAATATGCCTGGCATATTTGATGGATGGTAAGAGTTGGTTGATTGTAAAAACAGTCACCAATTTCCCTTTCCTGCTTCTAACTCCTGGCAAAGTGACATTGCAGATCCATCCATTAAGAGGTGGAGTCTCTCTTTCTCTACTGAATCTAGGTTGATCATATGACTTGCTTTGACCAGTGGATATTAGCAAACAGTGCAGAGAC
Organism: Homo sapiens; assembly: GCF_000001405.40. Lineage (NCBI taxonomy): Eukaryota > Metazoa > Chordata > Mammalia > Primates > Hominidae > Homo > Homo sapiens. The sequence continues at coordinate 93,425,394 of NC_000005.10, read as the reverse complement.
TCATGCACTGGGGCTTCTGCACTTGGAACCCTGTGACTGTATTGTCAATGAGCCCAGGTTATTGTGCTGCAGGATGAGTGGTCACCCAGAAAAGAACCGAGGCTCTTGCCAGCAGTCATCGAACTGCTAAACATGCGAGTGAGATCATCTACTACCAGCTGATCCACCATTTGATCACAAACACATGGGAGTGTCCAGGGGAAATCATTTGTCAGCCCAGATTTCCCCTGATCTCTCTGGGGTGTCAGCTCGGACGGAACTAACTGCCCAGCCCATTCACAGACGTATGAACTAAATAAAATGTTGTTTTAGCTAGTAAATTTAGGGTGTTTTGTTTTTCAGCAAAGCTGATACACAGAATTTATATGTAGCGTACAGGAAATGTAGGAGAGGGAGAAGCTAAAAATGGAGAGAATGTTAAGGAGTTTAAGATATCTGATACCATATTAAGGAGTTTAGACCTACTTTCTAGTACCAAGCTTCCCAACATCATTGATTCATGTACTGCTTTTATCTTTTTTAAAACATCTCACACTACCTGAATAGATTAATTTTTCTTTAAATTGCCCGAGTTTTATACTGAAATTTATTTTTAAAGCAAACTTTTAACTTGACACCCAGTTTGATGTGTTAATTCTGTTTTTTGAAACCTATTAAAATATGAATATTTAAGAAGTTGGTCTGTTTGCTATCAGAAATCATCTTGTATATTATGAGGAATGCATTCAAGGATTTCCTGCTTTAATCAGTAGGAATCAGAAGCATGTGGAGAATAGTCTGAAGTGCAGAGGCTGGTGGTAGGGAGGATTGAGGAGGCTAATGCAGAGGTCCAAGTGGGATATAGTAAATGGTAGGTAGATACACTTGAAATGTGTTCTTGAGGAAGAAGAGAAAGGACCTGGTGACAGATTTGATCTATGTGGGGTGAGAATGGGAAGTGTGAAGGAGAAGAAGGAGTATAAATATGGCTAGTTACCTTGATCATATAGTAAATACTAATACTATTAAGAAAAAGGAGAGAAAAATATAAATTATATAATTTATGATTTAATTTGATATAAATTATAAAATTATATATATTAGAAAATATAATATAATGTACTTGTAGAGTTTGTGATGGTAGGTCATTTGAAAACAGGTGTGCTAGGCATTTGGACGTGGGTCTGGGCTTTATTATTTTTGAAGTCATCAGTGTGTAGTTGGCATGTAGTTGAAGTCATGAGAGTAGATGATATCATCTAGAGAAAGTATTTGGTACAGAGATCTTCAGCTTTTGTTTTTTTCATCCCCAGACTCTTAAGAGAAATAACTTACTCCAGCTAGCAATAGTGAGGGGTTCACATATGTAATGATTCTCAAATGGGAGTGGAGGGGATCTGTGCAGTGTGAAAAATATGTCCCCCAGGTGATTTTGCTATACTGCTCCTCAATCCTTGTGGGTTTAATGAAATGAGGACCATGGAAGAGGAATTAGTAAAGACAGAGTAGTCTGAGAGGCAGACCTTCCTAAGAGACGATAATTTTACAGAAGTGAAGGCCTTTAAGATGGAGGGGTGAGCCACAGTGCTAAATTTTGCAGAGAAATCTAGTAGTATTAAGATTATTATTTAACCAATGCTGACTCATGAAAGTATAGTACTTGGCATATAATAGGAGCACGGTAAATGTTTGAGTGAATGATTTATGTAGAACTGTTTTGTATTTGAAACACTCCATAAGCCGTCGGTGTTAAAGTTAGACAAGATTTGTAATTGTACTACTTTGGACTTGGAAATCAATATGGATTTTTAAAATTTTCTCTGTCCATGGTCAGTGACTTACAAGAGTGCCTACTTGGGCACCATAATCCTGATCTCAGTGCAAAGCAATGTTTGAGTCTGTATTCAGGAAATAATGCTGGGGTAAGGCTGTTGACTGATGTCTGTTTTATGGCCATTCCACGTGTGGGCCTCCTGCCTCTGCCACCCATGGTTCCCAGAGGCAAGTTACTTGCCTTATGCTGATTTGAATTGAGAGAATGAATAGACTTTACTGGCAGAACTGGAATGCCATCAGCCTATCTAGTTCTTAGGTAATTTTATGCTCACACTAGCAGCTTCCTTTTTTATTATTATTAAAATGAAAGGATTTCTACCTGCCTTTGCCTGTAGCTAAGGAGAGGCCCCGGATCAGGACAGCAGTTTCCTCAGACGTGATGTGGTGCCCCTTGCATCCTGCTCAGAGAATTCTCAGCAGCACAGGTTTGTTTGACATCTGGCATTCATGATTCCTGTGAGAGTGGCTTCCCCCTAAATGTGCCCTGAAAGCATTCCTGCTGTGCCCCTTCTGTCCAAGTATAAACACATCATAGGAAATGAGCAAGTAAAGACCCAGCTTTTCCGGAAGGAATGAAGGAACCCCTCACCCAGCTGGCCCGGGTTTTGATGTCCAGCTTCAGGAAATTTTGCCAGCCGCTGGGGTAGGGGCTGTTGTCTTCACCACTTGGCACCTTAGTCCCTTTCCCATTCTAAACTCCCCAGGTGCTGTCCACAGCCTCTGTTCTAAGTCATCCAGCTGAGGAAAATTGTTCCAGGACCTTTGAAATGTGAAAGAAGGGTTGTTTTTCATTGTAGATTAACCAATGTGCAACTGGATTAGTTATTTACAGTTGTAAATGTGGTGCTGTGTTTACTGAGGTAGGGGACACATTTAAAAATAGTTGAAGCAGTCTAAAGCTAGACCTATGAAAAAGATTCCTTTCCACTTGTTTTAATATGAAGATAAAAATATTAAAAATGATAAAATGGATATATAACAAGGAAGTTAACACCAAAATAAAAGGAAAAGGAAAGCCTTTTCACTTTCCCCTGGCTATTGTCTTTCCAATTCCATTTTTTGCTCCAGCCTAATGAATGTATTGTAAGTAAAACCTGCATGCTGTCTTTGCTCTCTGCCTTCCTACTACTGCAAATATCAGCTCAGCCACTCTTTCAGATCCACTTCAAGGAAACACTGACTTGAAAACTCTCCCCCATGGTTTTGTCTGAACTGGCTGCCATTCTGCAGCACACACCAGATCCAATTGCTGGAGTCGGGAACCCGAGAGGTGAGCAAGAGCAAGCACTTAGCTGAGTGAGTCAGGCGGGCCTGCGTGAAAGGATGTAGGTGAGCCAGAAGCTAATGGGAAAAATAGGGGGTCGTTGCTAATTTTGATGTGGGGAAATCTGAAAGGCTCTTCTGCATGTCAGAGCATTTGAATATTTGGCAAACAGCTGGCTGGGCTCCGGGAGAGTGCCTCTTGATTCGCCTCGTCAGATGTTCAAAGATAAAATGAGGCAGCATGCACGCCAGCACATAGCTCATAGCCTTGCAGTCAGTTTTGAATTTAGATTTGAATTGTGATATCAATGTCATGGTGGCACATGCTTTGAGAAAGTACTTACAGAGAATAATTGAAAGATTCAGTGTGAAGCTTCTGAAAGCCGTAATTTAAGGTTCCAGAAGCCTCCATATTACTTTCACCATTAAAATTTAAAGTGACAGAAGCCCAATTATGTATGGTTATTTTCTTAAATAAAATCATATTTCTACCCCAAGTGAAAGATTCATTGCTGCCCACTAATCTCTGTCAGGAGAACCAATCTCAGCGGCATCCAGTGTCGGCAGCCAAGATGGTTAGCTTTGTGCTGGGGACAATGGAGCGGCCCTGGGGGAAGCAGAGCTGGAAGGCCTCCTCGGAGGAGCTTGACTTGCAGGAGGCTGATTTGCATGATAATCACCATCATGGATCCTCCCTGGTGCCAGCCTCCACACTTAACCAAATGCAGTATAACTTTCATAGCAGCTGAAAAGCCCGAGTAGGGGCTGTAGCACACATTTTGCAAAGCCTGGATGACGTCAAAAACTGCTAGTGAAGAGGGGGCAGCTGGTTGTAAAGCTAAACCACACCGAGGAATGGAGACTTGGAACATAACCTTAAAACCTGATAAAGAATATAACTTTGGGGACTGTTGAAAAATACGAAGCTTTTCCCTCTTTTTTTTTTTTTTAACTCAAAAGAATCTGTTTACCAGAAGAAGCCTTTTCTTACTGGAACTTCTGAAGCTGTTGAAACCATGGCATGAAAATAGATCAGTGGAAACACAGAAACATTTCCAGTGCAGACATTTCGGTCTCCATCAGTTAAAAGTATGGAGCCAGACTTGTAGACTAGGAATCTTCCCACCAATCCTTGGTCTGTTTGATTTTACTTTATACTGCATTGTGATTTGGGGCATATGGTAGAATGGTAGCCAGAATTGCAATGAAAAATTGCACAGAGCCAGTCAAGCTTAAATCACTCAAAGTTTCTTATGAAAAACTTTATTCCTTAGGGCTCCCAGGGACAAAGGAGCATGTAAATCAACTGATGTTATGAAGCATGATTTTGGATAATATGGAGAGTATGTACATATCAATACTAATCTAAGCAGTCTTAGAAATAATAAATCACATATTTCTTGTAATTTTCCCAGTTTGATAAAACATTTACAAGTGGGTCTTGGTTCTGCTGAGTTTTTGTCATGACTGTAGCACAGCCAGCTCTTTGGCAGTCTGCAAGTTTATTTTTTGTTTTCTGGATTTAGCTTTAGGATCTATCCTTCTTTTTACAGAATTGGTCCTGTGATAAGAACTCAACTTCTCTTCCTTCCCTTTTGTTCATGTCTCAGTAAGAGGTGGCCACATTCACTTATGTCCATGACTCTATCACTATGTTTAGACTCTCCCTGTAAATTATTTTGTCTCTTCCATTTTCCACCTTTGACATTTTGTTGGCCTCTTCCTTTAAAAAAATCCTTTTTTAAATTCCCTGCTCCCAGCCTTCTTTCTTTCAATTCTTCTTGACTTGTCTACTCTGCAGTCTCTGCCTTTTCACCATTCACTGTTTAACCCTTTGCAGTATGGCTTCAGCCACCCCAGATATGCTAAAACTACTTTCTCAGACAAAGACAATACTCCTACTTGACAGACCCTCTTTCTCACTGTACTCTATAGGGGAGTGACTTACCTAATTGGTAAATTTGGGGTGAATAAGTGGGCTAGCTCAGCTTACTGCCATGCTCGTTCTATCTGGAGAAGGGCCTGCCTACCAAGAGCACACATTTTCTCTAAGGCTGGGGGCTCATCCCAGCTTTTGCTGTCCTGGCCTGCCAAGATGATACAATTTTTTTTGTTTGTTGGTTTTGAGACAGTCTCATTCTGTTGCCCAGGCTGGAGTGCAGTGGTGCAATCTCGGCTCACTACAACCTCCGCCTCTTGGGTTCAAGTGATCTGTGCCTCTGCCTTCCGAATAGCAGGGATTATGGGTGTGCACCACCACACCTGGCTAATTTTTGTATTTTTAGTAGAGACAGGATTTCACCTGTTGGTCAGGCTTGTCTTGAACTCATGACCTCAAGTGATCCACCCACCTCTGCCTCCCAGATTGCTGGGATTACAGGCATGAGCCACCATGCCCGGCCCCAAGATGATATAATTCTATAGCTTAGCCATGTGTGTTTTGGATTTCAGACTAAGCTACCTCCTCCACCTTGGCTTCAATCAGAATAAAGGTTATATTCTGGTCCCCCATCTGTTTTTATTTTTGTATTATTTCTTTATTTGCTCAGAACCTAGGAGAGGAAAGGGGTGTCAATTTTGCAGAATCCTTTAGAAACCTCAACACATATATGTTTAAGAAAAACTTAAAGTTCTGTCTTTCCAAACTCACTTTCCAGAAGTGACCACTATTAATGTATATCCTTTCCGATATTTCTATGCATATGCAAATATATGTTTATATAAGTATATAATAGAAACTTCTTTTAAAGGTAGAGTCTTTCTGTATTGCCTAGGCTGGAGTGCAGTGGTTATTCACAGGCACTGTCTTCACACACTATAGTTTCAAACTCCTGGGCACAAGTGATTCTCTTGACTTAGCCTCCTAAGTAGGTGGGACTGCAGGTGCACGCCACTGTGCCCAGCAATAGAAATGTTTTTACTTGAATATCACATAACAGAAATATACATAACTACATATTTATAGTTACAAATCTCTAAGATATATTTCTTTTCATGTAATTTCCCTTTGTACACATATATTTCTGTATATACACAGTGGTATTTTTTCCAAATATGGTATCACTCTATACATGTTGTCCATCATCCTTTTTTCACTGAACATAGCTTCATGCCAGTAAACAGAGGCATACTATGTTATTTTTAATGGCTGCACAGTGCTCCCGAGTATGGATGGTCCATAATTAATCATCCTTCAACTGTTGGCCATTTAGATCACTTAACACTTTTGCCATTGCAAATAACACTGTAGTGAACATGGTAATGTTTTTGTTTTTGTGAACTTGTGCTGCTATTTCTGTAAGATAGATTCCTAGAAGTAGTACTGCTAGGTATTTGATTAATAATAATGAGGAACTCATAGGTTGGGAAGGATTCTGAGAGTGCTCAGTTTATCCAACACACCCAGGAAGGTTTTTTTCTTGCTATGACATTGAATAGTCCAGAGAGTGAAACTCCATATTCTTTTTCAGTAATGCTTTCAGTGACTTGAAATCAAAATTGATTATAAAAGAAATGGTAGCAATTATGATGCTGTGGCCAAGAGAGTTGGAAGTGAAAGTGAAAGGCTGAATCCTAACATAATACTGTGGTGAGCCTGGTGGACAAACCAGTCAGGTAACACAGATAAGGGGTCAGCAAATTATGGGAGCCTCAGATATTTGGATGAATTTACATTCATATAGTAGGGAGGTTTTTATTTATTTATTTATTTATTTATTTATTTATTTTTATGAGACGGCGTCTCGCTCTTTTGCCAGGCTGGACTGCAGCGGTGCAATCTTGGCTTACTGCAACTTCTGCCTCCTGGGTTCAAGCGATTCTCTGCCTCAGCCTCCCAAGTAGCTGAGACTACAGGCGCATGCCACCACACCCAGCTAATTTTTGTATTTTTAGTAGAGGCGGGGTTTCACCATGTTGTCCAGGATGGTTTCAATCTCCTGACCTTGTGATCTGCCCACCTTGGCCTCCCAAAGTGCTGGGATTACAGGTGGGAAGTTTATTCTTTTATACTTTATGGAGAATAGCTATGAGAGATTAGTTCACTCTGGGTGTCCAAAACTGCAAACCTCAAGCTGGTCCTCGGCAAGCTGGCCCCCTTTAGGCCTCGGCTGTCAGTCACCAGGAAGTAGGTGACCTATTGAGAGTCTGGCCAGACTTTAAGGGACCTGAAATCTGCTTCTGCCACCTATTCCACAGTGCATCAGGCCTAAAGAATAGTTGGCTATCCTTTACCTGGATTGCTTTGCTTGTGTCCCAAGGCTGTTTCCCTTGCAGAGAGGCATGTGGCAGCTCTTTCACAAGTTGGCCTAAAGAAAAGAAAAGAAAAAAGCATGATGCAACTTGACAGAGTTGTGGGACTCTTAAGTGCTCCAGGTGGCCCCCTCTGACACCTGTAGGATTTATTTAGAATATTTTCAGTATGGTGATGACCTACAAGGAGAAAAAAAATCCCCTGTGTATTATGGAACTGGCTGTAGGCATGGTGAGAACAGTGCTGCAGACATGTGCTTTATTCACTGTCATATCTTGTACATGTTTCCCACTCATTGTGTACCTAGAAGCATATCTGCATCAGAAACAAGTGCAGCATGAGTAGCGAAGATGAACATGTTCAACAGCTAGGAATGACCACATACTGTGCACATTTACACAACACCGTGAAAAGAACCAGGCAGCCTCGCTGTTAGATCATTTCACTGCACACCAAAGAGCTTTGAAATGGACTTTTAATTATCATTGCTGAATTGCTATGGCTGTATTCTTTAATATGAGCATCTGATTAGGTTAATTTTCTTTAATTGATGAATGAGCATTTAAACTTGTAAGATTGAATTGGTTGTTATGTATTGGCAGTTTTATATTCTGACTTTTTTGCTGGAGTACAAATTATAGGCACTCTTTATCTGTTTTAGTTTTGAGGTCACTGTTCTTCCTTCCTTCACCTTTGTGTGGCTTTTTAGATTTATTAATGGATAGAGCAGTGCTAAGTGACTATTAAACTCTTTTCCATATACAATAAAACCCATTAACATGGACCTCACTAAATTTGGAATTTATGAAAATGAGGTCAAGGCCTGGGTTAAAGTTTACCTTTGCATTGTCTCTGAACTAAAGCTTTGCTGAGCTAATAAATAGTATAAATAAAATTGCAGGGGGATGGCACTATTCCTTTAAAAAGCAGATTTCTCTAGCACTTTAGAGAAAGATCTTGTAAGGCAGATAATGAAGTAGTGTGGCATAGTGCAAAGACTAGGCCACTTACTAGCTATGTGACCTTAGCTTCACTGAGTATTTTCCCCCATCTGTAAAATGGAGATAGTTATCTACTTTATGAGGTTGTTGTGAGGGTCAGTTTTAATGTATAGAAATGCCTTGTGTGAAGTAGTTACTTCATAAATGCCAGGTAAATATTACCTAAAATAAGTGTTGAGCTAATTTTAAATACTTTTTTTTTAAATAAACCACTTTAGAGTTTTGTAACCTTCCTCTGAGATATTACTTTTAATATTATTATTGATTGAAGAAAAAAACCTAGCAGTTTGGTGTGATTGTAAAGAGCACGAGCTTTGGAGTCAGACAACTGCAACTTTGGAAGGAGTTCGACCGCTTAGTAGCTATGTGGCCCTAGGAAAGTTAACATCTCTTAAAGTCTGTTTTCCAATTTGTAAAAATGGTATGATAATACCTGCTCCAGGACTGTTTTGAGGACTAAATGAGATAATATAAGGTAAAAAGCCCAGTGATTTTCATGTAATAAACTCCCACATGTCAGCTGTTGCTGTTATGCTCTTTTTGATAATTGTCCATACTTTAGACTTTTCATTCATTCAAGCTTGTCTTTTTCAATTCACCCAAATTAATGAATCTTATTCTAGATATAATCTCTGTTCTATATGAGAATTTTAAGTAGGTAAAAATTATAGAGAAGGAAAAATGGCTGTATAAATAGGGTGAAAAAAGAATAATATTTTAAAAGTAGAGGCACAAAGGCAAGTTAGACATAAATTACTGCATAATGAATTTTGTGCACAGTCTTTGTGTCAAAGCTTTTTATATTAACTAGAAGGAAATGGAACTTTATATATAAGTAGTAAAAAGTGTGTGCTAGTGACCAGCTCATTCCATTCATTGGGAGAGAAAGGCATTAAGTCCATGTTTAATTTTATTTTCATCTTCTTGTTTCCCCTGTTTCATAAGCTGTGTGGGTGAGAAATGTAAGTACTGTAATGTCCTGCATGAGACTATAATCTATCCTCTCCTTAATGACAGCCTTACACAGCTTGTAGAATCCATCACTTCAACAGAGCAGACTGAATTACTTCGATGACTGGCAAATGGGCACCACTTGTGGTGAAATGAAAGCAGTCAGGTGTGTGTTTATTAAGTGCTCTTCAATAAGAGAAATGTGTTTTCCTGAAAACTCTCATCCATGCTATTTTTGTAGAAGCAAAAAAAGTGCCCATCTTCCTTTGAGAAAACAGAAGAATTATTTTTCTTGAGATTCTGTATTATTACAATACAAGTTCACAATCATAAACGTGTTATAAAAATCAGGCTTTTCTGCAGTGTATGCATGAACAGTGGAAGCTTGCAATAATAACAGGCAGGGACAGAACCAGTACTCTTGGGGCAATGTGCCTTTGACTTTCCAGGACTGCCCAATACAAGTGGATCATTTAAAAAAGTTAAGTCAGTTCATTAATTTGATGACCAGTGGTTCTACATATAAGAGTTTTCATAAAAATAAATTCACAAGTCAGATAATATCTTTTGTCAAACCATGTTTTCTATGATTTGGGTCAGAAAGTGATCATTCTAATGCACACCATGTTGATTATTTGGATTAGATCAGATCTTTATTGGAAATACTGAATGGTGAGTTGTTAAGGTCTGGCATTATTTGTTTAGATCTGGCATATGAGTAAGATCAGCAATAATAGCTTGGTATTTATTGAATGCTTACTATATTCAGGTACTGTGCTAGAAACCAGGGATATGAGACCCCCACTCTACCTCCCCCAAAAAAGACATAGTCTCATGTTGCTGACAACAACCCTGTGAAGTAGATACAGTTAAAAGAATATAGAGTTTAAGTTATTTGTCCAAGATAGGTCAGCTATAAAGTGGCAGAGAAGTATTTGTTACAGCAACCTAACCTATATTCTTGTTGAGAGGTACCAAAGTATAGTGGCTTAAACATGAAAGAAGGAGCTCCTTGACACAACGAAGCTGGTGTAGCAGTTCTGGATTGCTTATGTTTAGACTGTTGGGTCAGGGAGATGTAAACTTCTATCTGATAACCTCTGCTACCCCTGGATATTGGCTTCATTAATATGTCTGAAGATGCATAAGTGTTCTCTTTAAGGGCATTCCTTGGAGGTTGTACTCCTAACTTTTTTTTTTAACTGCAACAGTTTATTTTTCCTTACACAGTAGCATGTTGCTGGGGCCTAATGTTCTTACATAACAAAAGAAAACCAAAATTTGTTGTCATTGCTTAAGTAATTGAGAATTGTTACAAAAAAACCTTATATAAATTAAAAGGATGAATAAATTTACAAGTGTACATGCAAACTGCTTCCAACTCAAGGCAAGTAACAGCCCATGGTATTCTGGCAGGAGAACACCAGGTAGAAAGGAAACTGGGTCCTAAGGCTTGGACTTCTCCAACCCTGATATAGTGGCAAGACAGAAATGACAATTGGTTCAGGAGCCCTTGCCAGCCTCTAGAGAAATCCTGGAACACTCAGCCCTGACACATTAATACCTACACAGATCGGAGACTGCTGGCCACGCACTCTCACCAAGGCACAGACTTCTCTTCTACAGGCATGTTCTCACCTTAGCCACAGAAGTGACTGAGCAACATATATTAGTACTAAGGGTTTAAATCAAATATATTCCTAGTTTCTACTCACATCCCATCAACCATACCTAGCTATCAGGAGGGCCTGAAAAAATAGTTTTTGTGGCCATTCATCTCTTTAAATTCAAGGATTCTATCAATAAAAAGATGTGGACAGTGGGTATTAGGGGCAGTGTCATTCTGAGTTACATGCTAACAAAAACATTGTTTCAAAGTGGAGTTTTCACCACAGACTTGTCCAAGTGATGAAAGATCATAGGACTTTGGGGTATGCCTAAATCCATTATCCAATTCTTTTCAAGTAAGGTTATGTGTATATGTATGTAGTATGTATATGTTATATGTAAATATTCAAAATATGTGAAGTATCATGAATATTAAATGATTCTACAGTGGACTGTGGTCATCTGCAAGAGCCAGTGAAACATTTTATAGTAGAAGTCCCTGGCTTTAATCTGGCAGGAAGGCTTACAAACCCCCCAGGATTTGTCTTGCTTGCATCCTAACTCAAAAAGATCTCAGACTCAGAGATCTATGATGTAAGAAGTGTGTTCTTAGAGAAATGCCTTTATAAAAATAAAATTAAGGTTTTGAATGAGGGATGTACTCAATACATGAATCATAAATAACACTGACCCAGAACTTCAAAATTTCTCAGAATTCTTGGTCTATTCTGATGTAGTTTAGACATTTACTGTAGAAAAATCAGTAAGTTTTTTTTAAGAAGACACTTAGATTCTAATTGCATTCAGATCCTTGCCCACGTGTTTCTTGTGGCCACAGGTACTTGGAGGAGATGAGCACAGGCTACACCTCAGATATTTAATACATGCACATACGTTCTTAGCCTACCTGGGCCCTGGCCCTCCTACCCCAAACCTAATGCAGTCTCTGATGAGCTCAGCTCAGAGAAGTTTCAGTCCAGTTTTATCACACCGGCCATGTGGAAGTAGAAAGAAGCAATCCAAAGAGAGTGAGAACCTTAAAGAGATGAACCCTGAAGAGATGAGAGAGCCCACAGAAGTTAAAGCTTTAACTTTTTCTCCCAGTACACTAAAAGCTTCTCCCACTTACAAAAAGTTTAACTGAGTTGGGTAACTTGATTCAGTCACTTTGTGTCTTTTCCTCCTTGAGGATGGGCTTGGGTAGGGGTAAGGAGAAGATGGGATGGAACTTTCCTCTCCTTTTCTTTCTAGAGATCAGCATATATATATATATATACACACACATATATATATATACATATATATACATATATATGTCTATTCTGATGTAGTTTAGACATTTACTGTAGAAAAATCAGTAAGTTTTTATTAAGAAGACACTTAGATTCTAATTGCATACACACACACACACACACACACACACACACACACACACACACACCATAGTGCTATAATTTGTCTAGGCTGGGTGAGGAAGTTCCTATGAAGGGTCTCAGCAGCATAGGTTTCCAGGGAACAGGAGGAAGCCAAGATTAGGTGTATTAGGGACTGGGAACTTGGTTTCACTAGCATAAGCCAGCAGTCCAGTCCTTAGTGACCAAGTGGATGTGGTTGGGATTGGTTCAGGGAAGGTGTTGGTACCTGAGGAGATTTAATTTAGCAGGAGGTTTGGGCCACTAGAATTGTAGATAACAGGTGAGATTTAGAGTCACGAGTGGTGGTATCATGAAAGGAGGCAATCTAATCACAGCTGGATCCCAGCCTACAGCTGGGGGCCTGGAATGGAATCTAGGGAAGGGTTTTATCAGGTCCCTAGTCAAGTAGATTTAGGTTCAGGGCAAGGCATAAGGCAACCGAAATCCAGTTTGTAGGAAACCGAAAATCCAGTCAGGGCAGATGCCAGCTCTGAGGATTGAGCCAACATGTTTGGAACTAGGAAAACGGAGAAATGAAGAAGCAATGTAGAGTAAAGTCAGTGCAACTGAATGCATTTGTGGTCAAATATAGAATTCCAGTCTCACCATCTTCTGGGCTGAAGTTGCTTCTCTATGGTCTGCTCTGATGAGGATGGGTTGAAGGTTACAGTAGTGCTGAGCCTTTTAAGTGGAGACATCAGGGGCCCAAGCTCAGAGGGAGCCTGGAATGAATGGCTGAGGTGGAGGCCCAGAGGTGGTAGCATTGCTTGGAAGGAGTTGAGACTATGGCAGAGGAGACCTAGGCCTAGCTAGGAGGCCATCTTATTCCAGGCTGAGGAGAAGAGGGCCTGAGCAAGGAGGGGTGGTGGAGCCAGGGTCTGCAGTAAGACAGTTCAGAGAGACAACAGCCCCTGAGCATGTGAATGAATGGAAATGTTTCTTGTAAAGATGCCTGTCTTTTCTGGTGCATGATGGTGTAACTAATACACAAGGTGTGACTGGATCCTTCCATGCTGCCCTCATGGGGGCTTTCCTACCTAGCTGATGTTTGAAGTTTTCATGTGTGCCTCTGTCTTTGACCCACCTGGCTAGTTCAGAGCCTTTGCTGAAGAAAATGTTCTTTGCTTGTCCGATTGCTTCACAGCACGCTTCTCTATCTGCAACTGTTGTTTCCCAGCCATCCATATGGTGCCACAGGATGGGACACAGGCAGGGACTTTACTATTCACAAAGGGGTAGGGCCTGGGACCTCGAGTGGGGCTTTTCCTGCTTATAAAGACAAGGAATGAAAATGCAGAATCCTTACCTGGTAGGGGAACTTTCTTTTCCAAATATGCAGGTATGTGATATTTCTGATTTCCTTAGGCTTGGATCTGTGCCTGGGGGTGAGATGGATTTCAAAGTCATTATTTAAAGTAGGGAGATAAAGCTTTAGACAACCACCATAAGAGATCCTGGTTGTATTTTTGAAATGTTGAGCGAAATAACATTTTAGTGATCAGTAAAAGCTAACCTTTGTACTTCTGAAAAGTTGTTCTTAGAAAGGCCTGGATTAATAATTGGTTTCAATTTGCCCACAGATACACTGCCTCTAGGACTGGGACAGATAGCCACTGAGTACCTGCTTCAAATCACCCTGCACGTTTTCTCTTTGGAAAGATAAGCACTGGAGAACCATCTCGTTACCTTCAGCAGAAATGGAAACAAATCAAGACATTAAGAATGCCGCAGTGGACAGCAGTTATGCAAGGTTCAGCAGAGGAAGTTTTCAAGATGGTGTGCCTCACTAGCCAGAAATCAGAAAAGATCGAAGCTAGCCTTTTCATCTCAGCTGCTCCTTAAATCAGTGCAACCCCTCCAAATTAATGTGAATTGAAACTTGCATTGCTTTTCAACTTAATTGAATACTTACTATATGTGAACCACTGCACAAAATAGGGGAAGAAGATGTGGGAGACAAAGATGTGGAGCCTGTCTTCAATAAATTTACAGTTAGTTTCAGGGTACATTGTTTTTCTTCTGCTGTTAATTAGGTGTATCCCCAAGACAATAAATACATGAATGGAAAAGTATATTCTGTGTTTTAAGTCTCTTTAATAAAAAACAAAACAAAATCCAAAAAAACTCCTAACATGGCAACTCAGGACATTTTAATCCTTTTTTTTGTTGTTGGGCTTCTGATAGGATCCATTTTATTGATTCCATAAATATTTAGTAGACTTTAGACATATTAATACATTGTAGTTTGAGTTAATTTGCATTAAATTCTGTTTTTTTCCCCTTAGGTATAGATTGTCTGTTGGAAAAATATATTGCTTGTGGATTTCTTGGGGAGTGGGAAGGTGAATTATACCTGTTGTCTCTACAGTCCACTACCTTCCACACCCTAGGGCAGTGGTCCCCAACCTTCTTGGCACCAGGGATCAGTTTCCTGGAAGACAATTTTTCTGTGGATGGTGTGGGGATGGTTTTGGGATGGAACTGTTCCACCTCAGATCATCAGGCATTAGTTAGGCTCTCATAACGAGTGCGCAGCCTAGATCCCTCACATGCACAGTTCACAGTAGGGTTTGCGCTGCTATGAGAATCTAAGGCTGCCACTGATCTGACAGGAGGCAGAACTCAGGTGGCAATGCTTACTGGCCCACTGCTCACCTCTTGCTGTGCGGCCTGGTTCCTAATAGGCCATGGACCCCCACAGACGGGTACTAGTCTGCAGCCTGTGGACCCCAGCCCTAGGGGCCTGCCATTCTGAGTGAGTTATTAGCATGAAGAAGAGGAAGATCTGGATCAAACGTGGGTGATGGTACTCAGAGACCCAAGATAGGATAGGGATGGAACAAAATCCATCTGGGCAACGGCTCTATGAAAATTTGGCTAAGTAATTATTTCAGTATTCATTGTATTCATTGTCCTTCGTGTTCCATAAGTTAAATGACTGTCTAATTTTTCCAAAAATTTATTTCTGACTTGAGAATAAGTGTGTCATGATTTTCCCAGTGTAAAGACACTGATATAACTGTAGATACCAGACATTTTATGTAGTGTCTATGACACATTTTAGTATGTATGAGCCAACAATAGACATGTCTTTGTCTTGAGGAGTGTCCATCTGAATTGAAAATGTGTCAGCTTTTTTTTAACATCATCAACAGACTTCTTAATTAAGCTGCCAATACATACTGCCAATAGCACTGTGTGCTGTCTGAGAAATGCATTGTGTAAGTGCTATTTCCATCTTATTAAATAAACAATGTTGCTCTGTATAAACTGGATTTAAAGTGTTCTTTGAATGAGGCATTATATTGCTCCATAAATAATGTGATGTGAATTCTCATATGATCCCTTTTAACTTAATTTCTAAAAAAATATTATTTGCTCCTCAGTAAGGAATAGCTCTAATTGGACTGGTAACTTTAGTGATATGATTTGTCTGTAACAGGCTGAATCGCCCCACTCCCAAACTCCTGGTCGTGATACTGGATATTTGTTATGCCACTTTTAGTTTGCATGAGGTATCTTCCAGGAAGTATTAGTTATTAACTTGTGTTCTACTAAACTGTAGATATTTATTTCCTGTTCTGGAAGATTTCTTGGAGTGTCCATCTGTGCATTCCTGGTGCCTAGTGTAGTCTTGCTAATGGAATAGCACCTTTATTGGTGCTACTTAGGGGTTGGTAGCTTACAATCAATCTACTTGGAACGTATCCAAATAAACTGGATATTTTTATACAGTCTAGTCCCCTGGGCCTCTTACTTGGTGTCTTGGATTTGCCAGTTCAGCCGTTATTTGTACCAACATCCACTCTGCTGCCCTGGGCCCTGCCGCACTCTGTATGCATGGACAGGGCTTTCAGAGGGGCTGCTCCACTTGTCATGTGCTGCCCCATCTGTCAATAGAATAGTAATTTCTCTATTCACAGGGTACTCACGGTGTGTCAGGCAGTGAGATACTTTACACATATTCTCTCAACTATCTCCTTTAAACCTCACAATAACCATTTGAAGTAGGCACTATGCACTGTGGAGGTATGCTATCTTGCTTAAGTTGTGGGACTCCAAATCCAGACCTCTTGAACTCCAAAGCCTGAACTATTCACCCCTACTCTGTGCCATATCCTAGGAGAAAGTCCCCATGCCTGGTGTGTGTATGTATGTGTGTGTGTGTAGGGTAGATTGAATCTGGACATAGTCCAGATTTACTGCATTTAATATTCCTGAACAGCAAACTGTCTAACAGCTAAAACCCAGCAAATCACAGTTGTTTTGAGAATGGAGGAAGGGCAGAGCAATTGGGAGAAAGCAAAGTTGGAAACAAACCAATTTGAGTCAAACCATTGGCCTTTACCTCATACAGTTTTTTTTTTTAACTTACTTTTTTTAACATGGCCTGACACCATGTGATAAATCAAAGCCTGACGCAATTGACCCAGAATTGATCCCCAAATGTCTTTTGGGGGAACATGCTTTAACTCTGGTTGTTGATTCTGAGGAATAATTGCCACCCTAGAAAGGTAATTACATATGCCATTGTTTATACACATAATAGGCTCAGAATGCATATTCTGCACAGAGCGGGAGAGAATCCTGCTTGCACATTTGGGGTGTGGGCTATGTATTGTGTTAAGATGCCACAAATAGCATTCAAACTGCTCCCTGTTACTGCTGCTTTTCCCAGCGTGTGTGTGTGTGTGTGTGTGTGTGTGTGTGTGTGTATAAGGGAGAGGTTAGGAGTGAGGTAGGTTGTGGGCCGTGGAAGGCTGTTTGTTGAGCTGAATGGTAGTGATTTGCTTTTCCTTAATTTTTTCGTTTACCAAAACATTTTTTGGATCTAATTCATTTAGCTTGGTCTGGTAAAAAGACTATTTTCTCTGTGCTTGACATATGCTTATTAATGAGTTATCATATTTCTTTCCATCAAGGGCTGTTTACTTTGTGGAAATTTACAGTGAGAATCCTTCTCCACAACATCCTCCTAAATGCCCTGGTTTTGACCACCCCTTTAAGTATTAAGGTGGTAACTAGTGCCTTTCCTCTGCTGTGCTTTCTGGTCAAACATAAATGGAATTAAGCCACAAATGACCAATTAAAGCACTTCATGCCTTTTTCCTTTAGCCGTAAGACAGTAGTTATCCTAAGTAAATACAACAAACAGGCTATTCTGGGGTAGTCTAACACAAGGAACCTACTTTTTAAAAAAATCAAAGTCTTAAAAAAAAAGTCATGACTTTTCGTAGTGCTGCACAATGAAAGAAATATGTATGTATTCCAACATGGAACTGAACATTGTCTGAGGCCGAAGCAATCCATCGTGGGCTATTCTCTGCCACAGTGTCCAGCAAATTGCATGACCTGCTTGTTAGGCTTGACAACAGTGTTTTACCTAACAAAGGCCTCTGCAGCGCCGAGCAGCAGTGGAATGTCAGAATGAGCACATTTCACACACAGATGTGCAGCCATAATAGCGCATAAGAAGATGCATGTGGCAGGAGGCTGAGGGTGGGGGTGGGGTGAGGAGGGGTGCTTGCAGTTGTATGGTGTGTGAGTGTGTAGGTTGGGGGCCGGAGGGAGGGGGAGGCTAACAGTTAGCAGTAGGGATGTGGCCCCACTGACCACATTTAATCAGCCCTCTGTAAACAATTCCACATTTTCATTGTTCTCTAAAAACTAATAAAGAGAAACAAGCACTTTTCATTCATCTTGAAGTAATTTTCTGTCAGATTGGAGCCCCTCGTGGCCTCCAGCTTGTGCAGTGCTAGCTGTGTGATACAACAACTATTGCAATTTATTTTACAAACTCTGGTCATTCACATGTCAGTTAGTGTTCACCAAGCCGGCATCTGAAATTGTGCAGTTAACGAGTTTTACAACATTTCTATCAAGAGAAACTGTTTAGCATAACTGACTCTTAAGGAGTTATTATACCTCTAAAAATCCATTTTAAGGGGCATTATTTAAATAAAATAGAAAAACGGTTCACTGCCTTTTAAAGGGGCTACAAAAAAAGTCCATCAGCTCCAGCGCAGTAATCCTCAGCTTAAAGCACTCTTGAGAGTACTTCTGGGAATTGTCAGCATAATGAAATGTTTTGTGAAATGTCCAGATAGATTCCTCTACTCAACAATTTAACTGTACCATATTTATTTTCCTTCCAGTTTTTAAAGAAGTGAATTACTTTTGGAGAGGATGACTCTATGTTGTGTAGATTAACTGAGCACATTTTTATCGAGGTTGTAGCAGGAGCGATGGTTCTGTTTGTGGTGTCATCTATATGCATCCGCAGAGAGGGGGAAAGAAGAGAAAGGCAGCCTTTTCCCCTGTTAGTGCTTTGGCTCCAAAAGGGTTAAATCACAATGAGGCTCATAGAGTTTTGCATTTTCCTTGTGCCACATTTTTCTCAAACTTTTCAAAAACTTTGGTACACAATGGCACCTGTAAATACTTTCTTTAAACTTTACAAAATGGACTGTTTTCTTACCCTAAATAAATAAATGCAGGAAAACCCATACATGTGTACATTGACACATGCATAATGATGCATATCATTTGAAAACTGGCCCATTTCAATAGGAGACGCCATTGTACATTTTACTTAAAGAAGAATAGATTCCTCACATTAACTAAGATGGCCAGTGACCCCAAACCAATTAATGGCTAGAGTCCATAATGGCGGTGCTATATAGCATAGAAGCAAGTTCATTTAGCATATTCTGTTACCTAACAGGAGTAGAAGCCACCACTTGCTTAATGGTTCTTTCTACAATGAGGACCAGGAGAAAATGTATGTTCTGCTGTAACAGGAGATATTCCTTTTCCTTAGGAGGTATATCTAAAACACTGCACATTTTCATTTTGTCACAAACAGTCCTCTAATTTCTCAGATGGATGTTTGTGCACACGACTTTAATTTTCTGAGGGAGATGGGCAGGTGTTCTTGTGCCTGTTAGCTGTATCTGCCCATAAGAAGCATAGTAACATCCATGAACCAAATACAATTTGACATAATTCATACCTTTATTACCTCCTACAGAATGATATTATTTCGTGCTGGCACATTAATGTTTCCAGCACGATACTGTCATTCCTGGAAATTTTACTTTCTGAAGTTCAGATGTTGAGGAATGAGTTTTAAAATTCTCTAAGTGCCTTAGATTTGGGGCAAATGCAACATATCCCAGGTTCAGATTTTTTACTCTTTTTAAAAATATTTGCTGGCATTGGAAATAATGTTCAGGTAATGGGTAAAGATCATGTCTGTAAACTCTCACCTCTTCTTGACCAAAGAGCTTGTTCCTATTCTATTTCCAATTTTGTAAATACAATATAGTCAACTTATCATGTCGTATTTTGCTGCTATTTGTTCCTCTAATGATGTGAAATCAGGAGGTGTTGATCAAAAATGTTCCAGTGATTGCAACTTGAATCTATTTGGTACTGTACTTAAATTTTTCCTAATACTCCAGCACTCAGAATTAGGGCAGATGGAATGTATTCATTTCCTATGGCTTTCATAGCAAATTACCACAAATTTAGTGGCTTAAAAAAACACAAATTTATTTTCCTACAGTTCTGTAGGTCAGAGTTTTCACTGGGCTAAATCACTTGTCAACAGAGCTGCATTTGTTCTGGAAGCTCCAGGGCAGAACCCGTTCCCTTGTCTTTCCTAGCTTCTAGAGGCCACCTGCCTTCCTTGGCTTGTGGCCGCTTCCTCCATCTTCAAAACTAACAATGGCAGGTCAAATTCTTCTCACATGGCATGTATCTTTCCCTCTTCTGTCATCACATCTGTCACTCTCTGAATCCAGCTGGAAAATGGTTTTCACTTTTAAGGACTCATGTAGTTAGATTGAGACCACCTGAAAAAAATCCAGGATAATCGCCCCATCTCAAGGTCCATGCACTAAATTACATCTGCAAAGTCCCTTTTGCTGTGCCAGATATCATATTCACAGGTTCTGGAGATTAGAACATGAACATTTTTCGGGGACCATTAGTCTGCTTACCACACAGAGTCTCCAAAAGTTCTCTTCTATACCAATATTTGGAGGATTAATAGCAGTCACCAAGCCAATTGTCTTCAAACTATAAAAATTATGCACAAAATTGCTTAAAAATTTACAGTATGAACCTCCAAATATGTACATTTTCTTCTAAGTTATACTACCATTAAGCTCTATATTTTTACTGCTAGTAAATCTTCCTTTCTTTTTAGTGTATAAATGAATAAAATATCTAATCTAATGTTTTTTTTTTGCATCCCAGTGCATTATCTTGGGCACCCCCGTGTGCTCCTCATTTTTGATTAACCTGGGTAAATGTGGCTCCTGATTCTTCTTTGAGACCCATAAGGCTTCCAGGTGAGGAAGGGACTACAGAAACTTTCTGATAGTCCCTGACAGTTTTTGGAAGTGAGGAGGAAAGTCATTTATTTTCTTAGCATGCACTATTACTGCTATTTGTAGTTACAGAATGTAAAAGACAGAATGTAACATGCCCAGAACTTTCCTGGAAGTCGAGAGCTGCAAATTATGGAGTTACAAGACAAATGCCATTTTATGAAAGACTAGAAAGAGATTGTTTATCAGAGAGCCCCAAAACATGAGTTAGTTTCTTGTCTAGAAAAGAGCCATATCTCATCAGAATGACTACTCATGTCAGTGCACTTGGAAATTCCAAGAAACAAATTGCTCAATGACCATTTTAAACACTAGTAGCAAGGTCCTTGTGAAACTGGGCTGAAAGAAAAGGTGATTTTGCCAAGTTCACTTTAAATCATATTTTTCAATTGTTAAAAACATCTATATTTTACCAGCCATTCTTTATTGCCATGGCATGTAGGCTTATTACAGCATAGGAAAACCAGAAATTGTAACACAAACCTACTGTAAGGCCCCCTTGTGTTAAAATTTGAGATGTTTTCAGAGCAGTCACCCTCAAAAATGGGTGCTTGCTAAGCCATGCTGACACACCTCTGAAATAAAAAAGCTTCTGCTGGGCAAATGAAAGTAGGTTGCCACAAAAATGTATATCAATTATGAAACAAGTTAATCAGTGTTTGCCAACTGCCATAAGTGTCCCGGAGGCAGTCTGGGCAGTATCTTTTTATTTGATTTGCCCCAGACAACTTCCATTTTCTTCCTGAAAGGTGGACAGGTAGTCTAAATTCTTTGTTGAGAGTTTCTATCAATGATCTCAAAATGCAACTGATAACATGTCAATGATTGCTGTACAAAGAAGTTAAGCATTACAGCTAAATTTCCCTACTGAAACCCAATCCAGGGATTAGCAACAATAGGGAATCTGTTTTATTTGCATTTAATTTGTACCTTCACACTATTATCTCCCATGTTTTAGTTTCAGGAAATGTGGTCCCAGGCTATTATAACCACATTTCATGCTGCTGTTGCACTGTTATTTGATCTCTATGGTTGGAAATGACTTACTGAAAAAATAAAGCCAGCATACTTTATTTTAATTATACCAGTGCAGTGTCTAAATAAAAAATGTACTTTATATTTAATGTGGAGCACAGATTAACAGTTTTATGGGACATAAAATCTATCTATATCATTTTCTATTTACACATCAGTTATATATCTTTCTCTCAGCAAAACAAATGCCTATGGTGTGAAAACGGGAAAGGAGAGCATCGAAGTTACAATCACATGGGCAGTAAATAACATCTTAATTGGTCTGGAATGCCAGAGTTTGATTTTTTTTCTGCCTGGCTTTTATTTATTGATCTCTGTAGCTTATTTATCTTTCCAGTGATTTGTACAAGTCTATCTCCTTTCCTCAATAAGCCAATCTATGGTGGTTTTATATTGCAAATCCCATCTGGGGAAATGGTCTAGTGAGAGAAGTGCACTTGCTCCTGGAAAAACCATTATTCAAAAGCTTTTGCAGAAGTAAGGGTAACTTCTCAGTTTTTATACTTTGTCTTCTGGAGAAAAGAAGGAAAGAAGAAGTGCCGCTATTATGAAGTTGCCACCCAACGTGTGTTTCAACAATTCTTTACTCTCCACTTGTTAGGCAGCAATAAGAAAACAAAGAAGGATTTAGCGTACACTGGGAAATATCTCTTAAATGTTCCTGTACGTGATTTAGTTCCTGGCGAGAGAAGCAGACAGGAATGGATTGTGTATATCTAATACATCATATGTAAACCCTGGCTTTTCTTCTTCTATATGCATTTTTACAGCTCCATTCCTAATATCTTTTTAAAATAGCACTTTAGGATAAACTACTCTTCAAATGACACATTATGCTCCATAGTGCAGTTAAGAACCAGCAAATGTAACCACTCTCAGGAAAGCTGCTTGGCAGAAAATCCGACACTTTTTCTAGTATGTAGATATCCATAGTTGAAGTCAATCCTGGGAAATTAGTGACTTTTTTCCCCTTTAAATGAATGATCCCCTTGTTATTTGTCAAATCGGCAGTTCCAGTATTTGTCGTGATTCTATTTGATCTCACAGAATATTAGATGAGTGCTCCAAAAGATTTCCTCTGGTGATAGCTGAGGGAAAAACAAGTTTACAGATGGCATCGCTATACCTATATAAGTGATGCTTTGCAAAGTGATTCTATAAGAATGTTCCAAAGAAGAGACTCTGATATTCCATCATCACCCTAATGTAACCTTAACCACCTTGAAATGAGCTCACGAAAATTTTGGGTAGGACTTCTAGAAAATGCATTTGCATTTGACATAATTAGTGGTACACAGATCTCACTACATCCAGGGGGAATCTCAAGACAACTGCTTTGTCGACTATTAGTGCCCAATTTCTGAATGTCAAACCCGGCACATCTTAATTTCTAGAGAATAAGCTCAATTGAACTTGTTCCCCAGTTATGCAAAAACTGCTCAGATAAAACCAAGTGGACACCAATGTAATGAATGTGGTTATTAAATTGTTTCAATTGAAAGAACCCTATTCTTACACCATCATAATGGGAACAATTTATCCCCACTGATCGGCCTGTCTCTCTCTTTCTCTCTCTCTCTCTCTTTTTCTGAGCTCTCTTTGATCTTGAAGCATATTGCAGTGGTGTGTCCTATTGAAAAGCGAAACTGGGGCAATTTTAATGCTTTTGTACCTTACCAGTGCTCTATTTTTTCACTGTTTAAAAATAGCTGTTAATTATAAGTGCAGTTTAAATGTCTCAAGTGACCCAGAAATGCAGGTTGGAATGAGACAGATTGTGTGTCTCATATAAAACAGATGTACTTTCACAGAGCATTCTGAATTCAGCCTTCACTCTGTATCCTCCTCTTGGGTTATTTCAATCAGGTATTGAGCTGGTCTAGCACTGTGCTATAAAATCCCACACATTTGAACAGGGGAAAAAAAGCAGATTTTTTTTTTTCCAACACGAAGAAAAGCCTCTTTTGTATATCAGTCACTACTATGTGGTGAATATGGTGCCATTGATGTTAGATAATGGGACAAAGATTACTTTCCTGGCCAGGAAGACCATATGATTTTCTAGAGCTCCATCCTGCCTGTCTCTTGGGTCAGGGGGCTCCATGTTAAAAGAGCACTGTAATAGTGATAAACATATCCCCTGGGGTCCTTCTTCAGATTTATTCAATAGTGTCCAAGGACAAATTTACCTCCTGCTAGATCTCAAAGATCTTTGACTCTTGATTGGTTTCAGAAACTTGCGGTTTTAGCTCCTTGATCACACTCGGCCCTGGAGATAGTGACACTGCTGGTTATCTGTCAGGGACCAGGCTTTAATAAGCTATGTGCTAACTCAGTAAAATCACTCTACCAATTTATTCTTCTATTGTCTGAACAAAACTAGTACTTACCCAATTATATGTGTTGGTATACAGTAGGCTTGAAGGTATGCCTATGTAATGCAGTTCCAAGAAGTGATTTCAAAGCTGAGTTTAGAATAGAGTGCATTCCAGTGATTAGATGATCTTATCCAAGCCCCTTAAGATCTTTGGTACCCACCCCAAAGCCTCCTGAATCTGAAAAGTTGAACGGTCGGAGAATTCGAGACTCATCCCCCTTCCTCCACTTGGATTCAGATCTTGTGGTTTGATCTCCCTTGCTAGCAAAATGGAAACATGTCTTAGAAGCGGGAGGGCAGTATATGTGCACTGGCTTCCTACCTGCTTTTAACTAGTAATGCCTAACAGGAGTTCTTCATTGCCATAGCAATGACATTGAACATAGAAAGGTGTGGGCTTAGGGAAATAATTTTCAAGTTCTTCCTAGAAAACCTTGATATTTTAGTCAAGTTCTAAGTGCAGACACTGATTTGAATACTTCTTAAAGCTCTTTTTTTTCATTTAAATCAATATTTTAACTTCATTAATTGATTTTATTTAACCATTTGAATTTGTCCAATAAGATTTATTCCATTTAGTACTTGTAATCTTGTAAGTAACAGTCCAAGGCAGTTGGGTTATGGTCTCATGCCAAGTTGATGTCTTATTTTTAGGAAGAGGAACAAGTATGGCATCAGAGAATTTTAATGGAATATATATCATAGAGAGTTGAAAACAAATTTAAAAACAATTCTTTAATACCTTGTAAACATATTCTCTTCACGGGGATACATTTCTATTGTTATCAGAGAAGTGATGATAAACACACTAATTGACAAGGTATAAATAATACTAATTCTAAGCAGAGTATCTATGAAAATAGAACAAATTACTGTGTAAGACATATGGGGTTGGAAGTGTCTTAGAGCCTTGTTGACTAATCAGACTATTGGTAGAAGTGGAAAAGACTAGTGTCACCCTGCAGACACAGACGGCCACTGGTTGTGCATGTTGTGTTGGCACTGGGCCTGTGAAATCCAGGCCTGGATAAGAGTCTGGATAGATGTTAGGTGTGAGGATGGGCTAGACTCTGGGTAAAATGTGGCTTTGAGCAGGTCAGCATACTAGAGCAGGAATGGCCTTGTTCTAAAAGCCAGGTGATAGAATTATCTGTGGAAGCAACAAAAGAATGAAGGTCTGAGAAAACAGTGAGCTGGAAGCCAGGTAGACATTTAAGAAAGAAGGAACCTCAAATTCCAGATGTATAAATGAGGAAGTCATTCAAAACCAGGAAACTGCCAGTAACCAGGTGCTCTGGGAACTGAAAAGGAATGATCAAACAAGAAAAAGCATAGGTACGAGGCCTTGGAAACAAGAAAGGACTATGATGGATGAGGCAGCTTTCCTGCTTTGGGTGCCAGAGGAAGGGAGGGACTTCAATCAGAAACCCAGGAGGAGGGAACAGGTGAGGGAATTGGATGCGGGCGTTGCCAAGATGAGAGCTGGCAGGCAGATGTTGAGGACTGCTGGGCCTCAGGAGTTTGCAGAACTACTTCTTAGCTCCATTCTCTGGGCCCCAGGCCCTGTCTCCATGATGGTCCTTGTCCTGCAACCCCCTCAGAAATTTCCCAGTCGTAATCTACTTTGAGCTTTTTCTCAGACAGGCTATCTAACACAAAAGAAGGAGGCTCTACATCAAGATAAACGCAAAGGCTATGGGTAGTTCTAGGCATTCTCAGTTCTCTTTTCTAATTTGTACTTTCTACAGTGATCCTTTGTTATTTTTGTAAGAATTAAAAAAATTGGTAAGTTAACTTAAGTGACATGGTGGAAAGAATTAGGACTTCTGAGTCAGACTGACCTGAATTCAAATCCTGAACTATCTTTTATCTCATAGGTCTATGACTTGGTCAAGTTACTTACACTTCAGAACTATAGTTGACTTGTCTGTGAAAATGAACATAAGACCAAAATGGTTATTTATCCCAATTCTTCCATATACTCTTTCACACAAAGAGGAGAATTTGCCCTCTGCTTCTTAAGGAAAAAGTGACAGAGGAACTTTTCCATATTTTCCCTTTTTTACTTTGCTCATTGGAACAAGGAGTCACTTATTGATAGCATAATTTGCTTATTTGGTCTCTCTTCCTTTCCCTCTCTATCTCTCCTAAAGAATGTGGACTTTTTTTTTCTTGCTGTAAACTAAGCTTATAGGAGTAGGCCTTATTACTGTGGGGAAAGTTTTCCTTTTTGGAGAGGTACATTAGGAAGTCCATTTGACAGCAAATCCAAGTCACACTTTCTAGTTCTGTTTTTCAGGCTTAAAGCTGACATTTTAATCTAAATTGGTGTGATCCTTGGGACTTATTTCTCAACTGGGTCTGCACTCAGGGTAAACAGTAAACAATAGCAATAAAGACCACCACCTGCCAGCCCTTCTCCTGTCTCCATGGGTATCAGACTGGGAAATCAAGTGAAGTGCCTAGCTCTGTGCCTGGAAAATAGTGGTAATTCAATAAATGGAAGTTAATAGTAACGGTCATTATAACGGTAGCTTTCTTACCATTATTACTAACATGATCCTGGGGGCATCACTATTTCTCTGGGCTGGCAAGCCTTTTCCTTTCCTTAGCTTTAATCTATTATGGACCAGCAGAGCTCTTTTTAAGGATCCATCTGTCCTGCTATATTCACTACTGCAGCTGTTTCCTTCCTGTAGTATCAAATATTATTTTTCATTAGTGGATGCAGAGCACTTTTTCTGTTTTTCCTAGGGCCCCATGACTGTTTTAGGGCTATTTAGGTATGCAGAAGAGCAAAATATTAACAACTCTACCCTTGAACTTAGAAACAGGAAGGGAATTTTATGATAATCCCCAAATTCCCAGCCTCCCCACAGGTACCTTCTGCTCCAGCTAGCAGGACTGATTCCAGCTTTGGTTAGAAGGAAATTAAGTATTTAGTTAACTTAGAATGAATTTCTCCCAGGGTGCCAGGCCTGTTCTGTCCCAAAGCTCACCTCTGGACAATGGAGTCTCCCTGTCCTGCAGCCAACACTTCACCTTGTTTCACAGTCCCACAATGCTATGTCTATTTGCTCTTTCTCTGCCACGTCCTTCTCAGGACAGCAGTTTTGCCCTCTGCAGCCTGTGCTGCTCCTGCCCTCCTAGATCACTCCACTGTGCTTGTTTCGAGACTCCATCAGGCCTCCCTGTCAGCATGGCGGCCCCTTGTGACCTGAGTCTACTCCTTGCCTGACTTGTACCTCTCAGCCATCATTGTCTGGCTGTCTTCCTCCTACCACTCACAGCCAACAACGGCTCCGGTTACCTGGCCCATTCTATCGCGGTGAGATTTTAAGAGCCACGCTTAAATCCCATACCTTTCTTCTGACCTCTCTTCCCCTGTCTCTTCTGATTCCTTAGAGCCCTCCACCACACTGGCTTCCTCAAGCAGCACTCCTGCTCCAACATTGCACTTGCTGTTCCCTCAGCTTGCAATCCTCTTCCTCCAGAAAGTCCCAAGTCGCACTCCATCCTACCATTCAAGCCGATTCAAGTCCTACCTCCCCAGAGAGGCTCCTCTTGACCACCCAACCCCATCACTCTTCATTATGCCCTTTCTCAACTTTAGTTATTTTTTTAATTGCCTCTTTAACTACCAGATCTTAGATTATATTTTTATTTGTTTGCCTCTTTATTATGTCTTCCCCACCCCCAGAATATGAGAAAGCCCCACGAGGGCAGGACTTTTGTCTATCTTGTTCACAATGTACAGAGCCTAGAACAGTGCCCAGCACATAGCAGGTATTCAGTGAATCACCCATCCTGTTGACAGCCTGGTTCCATCATTCTTTTTTTTTTTCTTTTTTTCATTTCTTTTAATAGAGATGGGGTCTGGGGTCTTGCTATGTTTCCCAGGCTGGTCTCAAACTCCTGGGCTCAAGTAAGCCACCCGCATTGGCCTCTCAAAGTGCTAGGATTACAGATGTGACCTACCACACCCAGCCCTGGTTCCATCATTCTTAATAAGTTTGCTTGACTATTAGTAAAGTGTGATGGGAATAACAGAAAAAATATTAATTTAGAAGTATAGAAAATTTGAAATCCCCAAAGCTGTGAAAACAAAAAGTTATTTTCTTTTCTGGCTAATTCATTTGGTATAAAACCTGACCTGAGCTTGTATAGTCCATGTGTAATATTTACTTATCTCATATATTTATGAGCTCATATGAATATTCATGTTTTACTACACAAATATTAATGTGTTTGATTTCAGAGTGCTTCTCCAAACCTTGAATATAATATGCATTATATGCATTATATTAACCACAAAATTGAAAAAATTACTAGTTCTGAATATGTTTGGCTCCAAAGATTTCAGAGGAGGGTACACAGATCATTATATGCAAACCTTTGTCTTTCTTTCCCTTCTGTATTAGTCCATTCTCATGCTGCTATGGAGAAATACCCAAGAGTGGGTAATTTATAAAGAAAAGAGGTTTAATTGACACACAGTTCCACATGGCTGGGGAGGCCTCAGGAAGCTTACAATCACGGTGGAAGGGGAGGCAGACACGTCCTTCTTCACATAGTGGCAGGAGAGAGAAATGCAAGCAGGGGAAATACCAGACCCTTATAAAACCATCAGATCTCCTGAGACTCACTTATTATTACGAGAGCAGTGTGGGGGAAACTGCCTTCATGATTCAATTACATCCACGTGGTCCTGCCCTTGACATGTGGGGATTATGGGCATTACAATTCAAGGTGAGATTTGGGTGGGGACACAGAGCCAAACCATATCACCTTCTGAAGAGAGTAATGAAGGGGAAAGAGAAGTAAAGAGGTAAAGAGAATTAGTATGGGGTGCAATTAGGAGGTAGTATGGAAGAATTTATGGAGAGAAAGGAGGGGAGAGGACAACTGCCTTTATCAGTAACTTTGAGATATGTTAAGATTAAGGAAGTGAGCCTGGCTGCATGTTACGCAATGCAATTCCCTTATACTACTAAATCCAGAGACCTTCAGTAAAAACTAACATTATTTTTTAATGGTTTACATACTTAGATTTTTATTTTGGATGCAGCACTGTGCTGATGTTACCAGAGCAGCCCTGATGAAATAACTGAGAAAGTTCTCTTTCTTACTGTTTTTCTTTAGTCCTTTTATTTATAGGCATAGCTGCTTAAAGAAACCAGATGGCCTGGGATGGTGCCAGAGCTTCTTGACTCTTGATCAGATACCAGAGGAGATAAGACCCCCAAACTGGCACAAACTGGAACAGATGACCCCTAGTAGCCTTTAGATCATTAACATATCATTATAACACGAACATTCCTTTCCCTTAAAGAAAATTTCTGCTATTTTATGTACCGGGGTTGTATGAAGAAATACATTTATGAATTGAGCCTGCATATCTGGAGTCCCATCCTGCACATGCTAACATTCCTCCTCCTCATGATACTCAATTCTTAAAAACCCCATGCCCTCTATTGTTCAGGGAGAAGCGCCATTTAGAGCAAGAGTCTCTCCTTCTCCATTCCAGGCCAGTGAATAAAACCTGATTGTCTTTTTTCTTTGTGACCAACAGAGTGGGGAATGAAGTCAGTTTGCTGGTGACACTGAGATTGAGTTTAATGCACCCAGTACATTTCTGGCTTCATGAACATTCATAAGAAATAGCATATCTGTTACTGGTTTATACTGAAATGTGAAAAGTTCAATGTATTCCTGCTCTGAGAGTTCTTTTCTTTTCAGAGTAAAAGAATATGGAATTTTAGCTCCAGATCAATTTCAAGAACAAATCAGGAATCCCGAGAGGACCCGCAGACCCTCTGAAGGAAGCAGACTGCTCCTGTAGAACCCGGGAGACACCCCAAATACTGGGAGTGCCCCAACTGCAGAATTGGGAAAGGGAGAGCCTCCTGTACTGAACACACAGCTCCACTGGAGAAACTGAAGGTCTGTTTGTGGGAGAAGTTTCTGACTTTACCTGAAGCTGAGTCAATTTAGAGAGCTGAGCAGGGGTAGAGGAAGCAGCGGAAAGGCCTTGGGAGCTGACTCAGTCCCCTAGCAGGCCATTCTTGCCCAGCACCACAGGGATCCATTGGGAGGGTGGCCAGAAGAGTGGGAGGTGTTGGGGAACACCACAGGGAAAAGGTAATCTTCAGCTAAATTTTGTAACAATTTGAACAGGGTGAGAAGCTTCCTGGCCAGAACTCAGGGGAGGGCACAGAACTGTTGTGCAGACTCCACTGGCAGAGGAAGAACCAAGCCCTTTACTTTTGCAGCTGGGAGGCGTACTCGCCTGCCTCACCCACAACCTGGAAACAGACTCAGGGTCTGTTGTGGGGGGCATGGTGGGAGTGAGACCAGCCCTTCAGTTTGCATGGGAGCTGGGTGAGGCCTGTGACTGCCAGCTTTTCCCCACTTCCCTGACAACCTGTATGAGTCAGCAGAGGCAGCCATTATCCTCTTAGGTACACAACTTCAGTGACCAGCGAATCTCACCCCCATCCGCCATAGCCACTGCTGCAAGACCCGCCCAAGGAGATTCTGAGCTCAGACATGCCTAGCCCTGTCCCCATCTGATGGCCTTTCCCTACCCACTCTGGTAGTTGAAGACAAAGGGCATATAATCTTGGGAGTTCTAGGGCCCTGCCCACTGCTGATTCCTCCCTAAACTACCGTAGCTGATACTCCCTGGAAAGCACCACCTCACAGCAGGAGACCAACCAGCACAAAAATAGAGCATTAAACCACCAAAGCTAAGAACGCTCATAGAATCCATTGTACACCCCTGTCACCTCCACTGGAACAGGTGCTGGTATCCATGGCTGAGAGGCCCACAGATGGTTCACACCACAGGGCTCTGTGCAGACAACCCTCAGTAGCAGCCTGGAGCTGGGTAGACTTACTGGGTGGCTAGACCCAGAAGACAGACAACAGTCACTGCAGTTTGGCTCACATGAAACCACATCCATAGGAAAAGGGTGAGAGTACTACATCAAGGGAACACCCCATGGGACAAAAGAATCTGAACAACAGCCTTCAGCCCTAGACCTTCCCTCTGAGAGAGCCTACCCAAATGAGAAGGAATCAGAAAACCAACTCTGGTAATATGACAAAACAAGGCTCTTTAACACTTCCAAAAAATCACACTAGTTCACCAGCAATGGATCCAAACCAAGAAGAAATCCCTGATTTACCTGAAAAAGAATTCAGGAGGTTAGTTACGAAGCTAATCAGGGAGGCACCAGAGAAACGCGAAACCCAGTGCAAGGAAATCCAAAAAATGATACCAGAAGTTAAGGAAGAAATATTCAAGGAAATAGAAATTAAAGAAAAAACAATAAAAAATTCAGGAAACATTGGACACACTTATAGAAATGCAAAATGCCCTGGAAAGTCTCAGCAATAGAATTGAACAAGTAGAAGAAAGAAATTCAAAGCTCAAAGACAAAGTCTTCAAATTAACCCCATCTAACAAAGACAAAGAAAAAAGAATAAGAAAATATGAACAAAGCCTCCAAGAAGTCTGAGATTATGTTAAACGACCAAACCGAAGAATTATCAGTGTTCTTGAGGAAGAAGAGAATTCTAAATAGAAGAATAATTGAGGAAAACTTCCCCAGCCTTGCTAGAGACCTACACATCCAAATACAAGAAGCACAAAGAATACCTGGGAAATTCATCACAGAAATATCCTTGCCTAGGCACATTGTCATTAGGTTATCCAAAGTTAAGGTGAAGGAAAGAATCTTAAGAGTGTGAGACAAAAGCACCAGGTAACCTATAAAAGAAAACCTATCAGATTAACAGCAGATTTCTCAACAGAAACCCTGCAAGCTAGAAGGGATCAGGGCACTATCTTCAGCCTCCTCAAACAAAACAATTATCAGCTAACAATTTTGTATCCAGTGAAACTGAGCATCATATGTGAAAGAAAGATACAGTCTTTTTCAGACCAATGCTGAGAGAATTCGCCACTACCAAGCCACCACTTCAAGAACTGCTAAAAGGAGGTCTAAATCTTGAAACAAATCCTGGAAACACATCAAAACAGAATCTTTTTAAAGCATAAATCACACAGGACCTATAAATCAAAATACAAGTTAAAAAACAAAAACAAACAACAAAAAAACCAAAGTATGCAGGCAACAAAGAGCACAATGAACGCAATGGTACCTCATATCTCAATGCTAATAGCATTGAATGTAAATGGCCTAAACGCTCCACTTAAAAGATACAGAACTGCAGAATGGGTAAGAACTCACCAACCTACTATCTGCTGCCTTCAGCAGACCCACCTAACACATAACGACTCACATAAACTTAAAGTAAAGGGGTGGGAAAAGGCATTTCATACAAATGGACACCAAAAGCAAGCAGAGGTAGCTATTCCTATATCAGACAAAACAAACTTTAAAGCTACAGCAGTTAAAATAGACAAAGAGGGGCATTATATAATGGTAAAAGGCCTTGTCCAACAGGAAAATATCACAATCCTAAACATATATGCACCTAACATTGGAGCTCTCAAATTTATAAAACAATTACTGACAGACCTAGGAAATGAGATAGACAGCAACATAATAATAGTGGGGAACTTCAATACTCCACTGACAGTGCTAGACAGGTCATCAAGACAGAAGTCAACAAAGAAACAATGGATTTAAACTATACCTTGGAACAAATGGACTTAACATATATATACAGAACATTTCCTTCAACAACTGCAGAATACACATTCTATTAAACAGCACATGGAATTTTCTCCAAGACAGACCCTATGATAGGCCATAAATTTAAGAAAATTGAAATTATATCAAGCACTCTCTCAGACCACAGTGGAATAAAACTGGAAACCAACTCCAAAAGGAACCTTCAAAACCATGCAAATACATGGAAATTAAATAACCTGCTCCTTAATGAGCATTGGGTCAAAAACGAAATCAAGATGGAAATTAAAAAATTCTTTGAACTGAGTGACAATAAAGACACAATCTATCAAAACCTCTGGGATACGGCAAATGTGGTGCTAAGAGCTAAGTTCATATCCCTCAATGCCTACATCAAAAAGACTGAAAGAGCACAAGCTGACACTCTAAGGTCACATCTCAAGGAACTAGAGAAACAAGAACAAACCAAACCCAAACCCAGTAGAAGAAAGGAAATAACCAATATCAGAGCAGAACTAAATGAAATTGAAACAAAAAAATTACAAAAGAGAAATGAAACAAAAATCTTGTTCTTTGAAAAGATAAGTAAAATTGATAGACCGTTAGCAAGATTAACCAAGGAAAGAAGAGAGAAAGTCCAAATAACCTCATAAGAAACAAAACAGGAGATATTCCAACTGACACCACTGAAATACAAATGATCATTCAAGGCTACTATGAACACCTTTACGCACATAAACTAGAAAACCTGGAAGAGATGGATACATTCCTGGAAAAATATGACCCTCTTAGCTTAAATCAGGAAGAATTAGATACCCTGAACAGATCAACAACAAGCAGTGAGATTTAAATGGTAATTTAAAAAAATTGCAAACAAAAAAAGTCCAGGACCAGATGGATTCACAGCAGAATTCTACCAGACATTCAAAGAAGACTTGATACCCATCCTTTTGACACTATTCCACAAGATACAGAAGGAATCTTCCCTAATTCATTCTATAAAGCCACCATCACCCTAATACCAAAACCAGGAAAAGACATAACCAAAAAAGAAAACTACAGACTGATATCCTTGATGAACATAGATGCTAAAATACTTAACAAAATCCTAGCTAACTGAATCCAACAACATATCAAAAAGAGAATCCACCATGATCAACTGGGTTTCATACCAGGGATGCAGGGATGGTTTAATATACACAAGTCAATAAATGTGATATACCACATAAACAGAATTAAAAACAAAAATCACGTGATCATCTCAATAGATACAGAAATAGCATTTGACAAAATTCAGCATCGCTTTATGATTAAAACTCTCAGCAAAATCAGCATACAAGGGACATACCTCAATGTAATAAAAACCATTTATGACAAACCCATTACCAACATAATACTGAATGGGGAAAAATGGAAAGCATTTCCTCTGAGAACTGGACCAAGACAAGGATGCCCACTCTCAACACTCCTCTTCAACATAGTACTGGAAATCCTAGCCAGAGCAATCAGACAAGAGAAAGAAATAGAGGGCATTCAAATTGGTAAAAAGGAAGTCAAACTGTCACTGTTTGCTGACGATATGATCGTTTACCTTGAAAACCCTGAAGACTCCTCCAGAAAGCTCTTAGAATTGATAAAAGAATTCAGCAAAGTTTCTGGATACAAGATTAATGTGCACAGATTGGTAGCTCTTCTATACACCAACAGCAACCAAGAGGAGAATCAAATCAAGGACTCAACCCCTTTACAATAGCTGCAATAAATAAATAAATAAATAAAATATTTAGGAATATACCTAACCAATGAGTCGAAAGACCTCTGCAAGGAAAACTACAAACTACTGCTGAAAGAAATCAGACGACACAAACAAGTGGAAACACATCCCATGCTCATGGATGGATCGAATCAATATTCTGAAAATGGCCATACTGCCAAAAGCAATCTATGCAATCCCCATCAAAATACCACCATCATTCTTCACAGAATTAGAAAAAACAGTTCTAAAATTCATATGAAACCAAACAAGAGCCTGCATAGCCAAAGTGAGATTAAGCAAAAAGAACAAATATGGAGGCATCATGCTACCTGATTTCAAACTATACTATAAGGCAATACTCACCAAAACAGCGTGGTACTGGTATAAAAATAGGCACATAGACCAATGGAACAGAATAGAGAACCCAGAAATAAACCCAAATACTTACAGACAACTGATCTTCGACAAAGCAAACAAAAATATAAAGTGGGGAAAGGACACACTTTTCAACAAATGGTGCTGGGATAATTGGCTAGCCACATGTAGGAGAATGAAACTGGATCTTTATCTCTCACCTTATACAAAAATCAACTCAAGATGGATTAAGGACTTAAACCTAAAACCTGCAACTGTAAAAATTCTAGAAGATAACATTGGAAAAACCCTTCTAGACATTGGCTGAGGCAAGGGTTTCATGACCAAGAACCCAAAAGCAAATGCAATAAAAACAAAGATAAATAGTTGGGATTTAATTAAACTAAAGAGCTTTTGCACAGCAAAAGCAACAGTCAAAAGAGTAAACAGACAACCCACAGAGTGGGAGAAAATCTTCACAATTTATACATTTGACAAGGGACTAATATCCAGAATCTATAACAAACTCAAATCAGTAAGAAAAAATCAAACAATTCTATCAAAAAGTGGGCTAAGGACACGAATAGAAAATTCTCAAAATAAGATATACAAATGGCCAACAAACATGAAAAAATCCTCAACATCACTAATGATCAGGGGAATACAAATCCAAACCACAATGTGATACCACCTTACTCCTGCAAGAATGGCCATAATAAAAAAATAAAAAAACAGTAGGTGTTGGTGTGGATGCGGTGATGAGGGAGCACTTCTACACTGCTGGTGGGAATGTACAGCCACTACGGAAAATAGTGTGGAGGTTCCTTAAAGAACTAAAAATAGAACTACCATTTGATCCAGCAATCCCACTCCTGGGTATCTACCCAGAGGAAAAGAAGTCATTATTTGAAAAAAGATACTTGCACATGCATGTTTAAGTAGCACAATTCACAATTGCACAATCATGGAACCAACCCAAATGCCCATCAATCAACGAGTGGATAAAGAAACTATGGTGTGTGTGTGTGTATATATCTGTCTATCTATCTATCTATCTATCATCTATCTATCTCTATCTCTATCTATCTATCTATCTATCTATCTATCTATCTATCTATCTATCTACCTATCTATATGATGGAATACTACTCAGCCATAAAAAGGAATGAATTAACAGCATTTGCAGTGACCTGGATGAGATTGGAGACTATTATTCTAAGTGAAGTAACTCAGGACTGGAAAACCAAACATCGTATGTTCTCACTGATATGTATGAGCTAAGCTATGAGGATGGAAAGGCATAAGAATAATACAAGGGACTTCGGGGACTTGGGGGAAGAGTGAGAGGGGATAAGGGATAAAATACTACAAATAGGGTGCAGTGTATACTGCTCAGGTGACAGGTGCACCAAAATCTCACAAATCACCATTGAAGAACTTACTCATATAACCAAATACCACCTGCACCCCAATAACTTATGGAAAAAAACTATTAAAAAATAAAAGAGTATGCATAGATCCTTACCAGAATATTAAGAAAACTATTTAGATAGCTCTGAGATCAATCAATCAAATAAATTAATACATTGAATATAGGATAACAAGTTGAAGATAAATTTAGGTTGGTATTCAAATATTATCTATTAAGCAATTATTTGAGTAGGTATTGTGCTTGGAACTTTCATGTATGTCATATTCGGAATTAATTAATTAATTAATTAATTTTTTTTGAGACAGAGTCTCGTTCTGCTGCCCAGGCTGGAGTGGAGTGGTGTGATCACAGCTCATTGCAGCCTCATCCTCCTGGGCTCAGATGATCCTTTCACTTCAGCCTCCTGAGTAGCTGGTACTGCAGGAATGTGCCACCATACCTGGCTAATTTTTAGTGGAGGCGGAGTTTTGCCATGTTGTCCAGCCTAGTCTTGAACTCCTGGGCTCAAGTGATCCACCCCCCTTGGCCTCCCAAAGTGCTGAAATTTCAGGTGTGAGTCACTGCAACCAGCCTATTCTGAATTCTAAGGGAAATTGGGTTGATATTTATTTCCCTGTAATGTTTTTTGTCCTCAATTTAAAAAATGATGATAAAATGCTTATAACATAAAATGTACTATCTCAATCCTTTTAAGTGTAGTTTGTTGGTGTTAATTACGCTCATATTATCATGCGACCATCACCACTATCTGTCTCCCGAACTCTTTTTCATCTTGTAGAATTGAAACTCTATATTAAACAAATACCTCCCCATTCCTTTCTTACCCTAGCCTCTGGCAACCACCTCTTTTCTGTTTCTATGGTTTTAACTACTCTAAGTACCTCATGTAAGTGGATGCATCCAGTGTCTTTTTGTGGCTGGCTTATTTCACTTCACATAATGTCTCCAAGGTTCATCCCTGTTGTTCAGCATATGTCTGAATTTTCCTACAATGTTTTAATCAAATGTTAGCATATTTTCCCATCCCTCACGTGGTTTTATTTCTTAGCATGCAGTAGAATAAAAATAATATTTTTTGGTTTTTGTAATACAATGGTTTTCCTATAGTAAAATATCAAGATGATTGAAGTTGTCATTTTTCTTCTGGACATTTTGGTTATATGTTAACATGGGCTTAATAGCAGTTTATCTGGGTTGATGGGAACATGTTTCAACATTATCACTTAAATTTTTCTCACTGGTTAAAATGATTGGATCCCACATTTATAATGCTTCGTGTGTCTCTAGTACTTTATAGAGTGGCGAGAGAATTCCAGAGCCTTGCTCCCTCAGGGGGTGTTTCTCGCCTTGCTCTAGAGCAGGATGTGACTGCCTGTGGGTGACAGGATGAAAAAAAGAATTCATGCTGAATTAGGCTCCACCACTCCCAACAAGAGACCAAACCATGTGTGTAGAGGAGCTAAAATGGAAAAAATCAGACTTCCTGAAGCTGGTGGTGTCGTGATAATATTAGATAACTGTTCTAAATTAACTTTAGTTGATATATTGGAAAATGCAAAGATTTGATACACCAGTGGCAGGCATAGTATGGTTAATTTATATAATGTGACAAGAAAACTAGCATTTGGAAACAAATTGGTAATTATCAAAGTAATTTTTGCATCTCCTTTCACTCTGTCTTGGGGAATTAGCTTTTGGGTATTGCCTAGGTAACAATATTTCAATTTCATTCAAAATGATCACTATTATGATAGTAGAGATCAAATTTCATTAAATCTAGACACATAGTACTTTTCATTTAAAAAACCCAAAATCTCTTCTGTTTCTTAAAGGAATACCCAATATTGTGTGTACTAAAAACTGTAATGTTAATAACAAAATATTTCCCACTCTTGGTATGTACGTAAGAATTTCGCTAAGTACCTACTACATGCCAGGCCTTGTGTAAGGGGCTGTAATTGCATTCTTTTAATTCTCACAACATTGTCAAAGGAGGGAATTGTTAAGCTCATTTTACAGATGTGGAAATTGAAGTTCAGAAAAGGTAAGGATGTGATCAAGGTCACCTAGATAGCAGCAGATTCAGGATTTGAGCGTGGGTTTATCTGACTGCCAAAACCTTTGGAACCTTCCATAATACCGTGTTGATTTCTCACCTCAAGCAAACAAATGATGATAACTCATAAGAGGCATAAGTGTGTTGAGTGTTTCCAGGGGAAAAAAGTTTAAATCCACATGATGACAGAAAATGACAACCTATAAAATGTTCCAACAACTTGTAAAACATGAGTGATGTTAGAAAAGCTTCACAAGAATTAAAATGACTAGCAGACATCTTGCAAAATTTGCAGATGCAAATCCTAAGATTTAATTATTTTTGAGCTAAAAGAGTTACATATTTCTCTTTGTACCTTAATTTGGCTTCTTTTTAAGACCCTAGGTATTCTGTGAGAGCAAATGGGATTGGAACTCTGAAGTTTGGTCAAAGAGAATATTTCTTTCATGCAAAAAGCAGAGTATTTCAGAATAAGTACTTGAGCAGGGATTCTTTAAGTGGAAGTGAGCAGGGCTGTTACCCCTGCCCCCTGCCCTTTATTGCCACCACCCATGTCATAACGGGGGCAGAGATTGTGCAGTGTGAAAACCAAGCAGCACTTTGTTCCATTGCTCTGATTCAATGTTAATAAAAATATTTAATTTGTTATAAATTTTAATACTAAAAGAAGGCATAAGATTTTGATACATATGAAAGGAGGACATGAATTTCAAAACATTGAAAACACTTCACTAGAGAGAACTCATTCCTTATAGATTTCTGCCTTCTACTGATTTACTAGTGCACAGAAACATCAATGTTAGACTTGCTTCTTGAATGGATAGCTGACAAAAACAGGGCATCTCACTTATTCCAGTAACACTTTATAAGATAATATAATTGAAAATAATTCATGAATTAATTAATAATTTCTCCCATAATCAAAGAATCCCCTTTGAAACTTCTAAGTGCAAGTAATATATCTTTTGACTGAGGTAAAATGTTATACAAATCCACTTTAATCATTTCACTTTAATTATTTTAACCTTCCTGTGAACAGTTCTGTGTCATTATCATGGCTTTTGGTCAGTTTGGTATTTTCGGTTTATAATAACTTACTGGTTATAGTCTGGTCAAGCCCAGGCATTCAGTGTCTTCCAGTGGTTAATGTGTCTTCCAGCAAAAGGCAGTTTCATAATAGGTATCAAATTTCTGTGCTAGCTCTCAGATCTTTTCTGTAATCTTGTGTTAAGTATTACTGTGTACTCACCTTCTGTTTCTCTTGTGGAATTGAGCTGCCTTTTATAAAGTGAAGACGCTTTATAAATATCTCCATTGTTGTCCTGTCATTCCCAGTTCCAATATGTTTCCTTCACAATGGGATATACCCTGGCTTTCTAAAGGGACCAATCCTTTTCACTTTCCAAAGTAAAATAAAATACGTGAGGATTATGTGATTAAGGAGGGGGCAAAGGACAGAACCAGCATTTGCTGAGTACCTCTGGGGTACTGCACACTGGCCAGACCTTCCATATGTTGTCTTATTTTATCTAGGTGGATACTGGAAACATTCAATCCACTGCATTTATGTTACGGTAATCCTAGCATCAGCTCAGTTCCAGGCTCTTTTGATGATACCTTCTGATGAACAATTTTGTGATCTGGTTTCTGCGTAATTGGGAAAGGGAGGATGTGTTTGTTGTTCTAGTCATGCTACCTGTTGACAGATCACAGTTGGTTAGTGCAAAGGAAAGTGAGGGTCAGAATGTCTCCAGAATGAAATTGTTGCTGGTGTTGCTATGGCTGGGGCCATGTGGATGGCATATGGAAGCCCCGAGGCAGCCTACATCAGATCTCAGGTTGGTGGGCTGTGCCTGGTGACTGATGACACATTGAGCAGACAAGGAGCAAATTAGATGTTTCAACTACCTGGCTAACTGGATATTATCTTCATATACTTTAATGCCTTTCCCAATATTTACTA
Organism: Homo sapiens; assembly: GCF_000001405.40. Lineage (NCBI taxonomy): Eukaryota > Metazoa > Chordata > Mammalia > Primates > Hominidae > Homo > Homo sapiens. Next base: position 93,385,057 of record NC_000005.10, on the reverse strand, counting down.
TAGCCTCCCTTTAAGTCTATTTGACACAGCAAACCGATGTTGGGGTCCCAGTCTGGTTTGTCATGATGTACATCTACCAGGAGGCAGTAGAGCATGGCATAGTTCAGTGTGCTGATTCTGGAGGGAAGCTGCCTGTGTATAAATTCCTGGTCCAATGACAGCCTGCCTTTGTGACCTTGGGTAAGTCACTTAACCTCTCAGAGACTCAGTTCTTTCCAACTGTAAAATGAGTATAATAATAGCACCCTGAATGCAGGTAAAGGGCAAGGCACAGTGCCTGCTACACTGTTCCTGTTCAATTGTCATTGCTAATATAACAACAACAGCAACAACAATTATTACTATTGTGAAAACAAGCTCCCCAACAAGAAGTTAACTCTATGACTGCAAGGAAGCAAGCTCTATCAACATTATGTCATCTTAATTTACCATATAATGCTAATTTATGCATTTAATAATCTTAATTGCCAGGAAACTTTTCCTCATTTTTCACCTAAATCCCGAGTGCTATAGATAGGTTCTCACTCCTCTTGAACTACCCATGGAAGTTGATTTCCTCAGAGTCCTCATTTTCTGTAAAATGTTCTGTATCCTTCCAAAGAGGTCCAAATTTCACTGGATTTTTGGAGGACATGAAATATAAGTTCAACACTTATAATAGCCCCATTTTAACCTATTTTGTCACCTCCAATAAGTTCTGTAGAAGAAATCTGTTTGTTCTTTTCCCTTATTTTTCATAGTCATTTCGTAATGAGAATGAGCCATATGGATTCAAGCATATCACAAAACCATTCTTTAGCAAGGGCAGTTTGCCTGAAAGACAAAATTAAATCTCTTTAATGAAATATTTTGGAAAAGAGAAAAAGAATGTCACGTTGGCTCAAGATTTTGTTTTGATCACAGCTGGGGGACAGAGTCATTTTATAGGGGCCGGTTTTATTTTTCTTATTCTTTCCTTAATGCGGTTGCATACTTTATGTTCACATTGAGTATTTGTTATTAAAGTAAGTGTAACTATTTAAAATTTGATAAGCACATAAATTATTTTCCTTCAGTGGATGCATATATGGTGTGAAAACTTTACTGTCGGACCATTTGTATCAGTAGAGACAGATCTCATAAGATGTCTTCTTATTTCAGTCACAAATCAGAAGACCTTCGTGCTGCACTGCAGGCAAGACACGTCCATGCATTATCAATTCCCCCTTTCACTGGTCTTAAAATTACAACTAGGAACTCAGGTAGCTTTGAAAGCTCTTTTAAATTATCAAATGCTATAGACCAGAACTTTTCAAGCTTTAATGTATGGAGAACATGGCCCAGTGCATCTTGTTAGAATGCAGATTCTGATTTGGTAGGTCTGAGATGGGGCCCGGCATTCTGCATTTCTGACAGGCCTCAGGTGATGCTGATGCTACTGGCCCTGGACCTCACTTTGAGTACCAAGACTGTAGACTTCCTCTCCTCTTTGTGATGTTCACCCATCTCAGAAACTCCACAGGGTTTTCTGTATCCAAAAAGTGGAGAGTAACAGAGGTCAGTTAAAAGGAGTGATGAAATAAAAGACCTCATAGGTAAAGGTGAGTATCAGAGTAAACGGTTGGGGAACTATGATTCCGGGTCTCTCCAGACAGCAAGTGGGTTTGAGTCAGCTGTTCTGCACTGTGATTCATTTCTCCCATGGCTCATTATTCACCATTATTATTACTGTTATTTTGTCCTTGCCGTTTCTATATCTTGTTTCTTTTACAAAGGATGGGAAGATAATGCAGTCTGCCAAAGCTGGTGATCCAAAGAGGTTCTGTGCTCAGAGAAGGAAAAAGAGGTGGTCTGTATAGGGAAAATAAATGTCATCCCTGAAATGTGGTGGGATCACTGCAATGTTTACGAGCAAAAATTACCTTCTGCTCTTTTTATACGTATCAGGATGTCCAAAGTAGTGTCAAACACCCAGGAGGTGTTTACTGTGGAATTTGATTGCTGAATTTCAAATTGGTGTAAGAATGATTGTTTGCACTAGGGAATAATTCTGAATGAGTGTCTGAGGTCTGTTCATTAAGATGGATAGCATTTACATCAGTCAGTAAAGAAGTAGGTTGATGTGGCTCCCCACTTCTTTCTACCCAGCATGGTTTGGGGTTTGTTGTTGTTTAAAAAGTAAGTTAAATACTGGCCCACACTGCCCTTGATGTTGAAGGGGGAAATCAAGGTGAGGGTTATTAAATATCAGAATTAGTTACCAAAGGCAGTAACCATGGGAAATGTGAGAAAACCACTGAATAACCCTCTTTAAAAAAGCAACAACTTTTGCTCGGTTCAGTGTTGTTTAAAGTTCAGAAGAAAGGCATAGCCCCTTTAAAAGGTTTAAAAGAAGTTTCTAGAAAAGTTAATTAGTAATCTTTGTTATTATGGAAATAATAGTGACTTTTACAGCTTCAAAGGGGACTGGAATGAATGATTAAAAACTTATTGTTGAGGAAGCCTCTTGCTGTTTGAAGGAGAGGCTGCTCTGGTATTTCACAGCACACTGAGCTGCTCACAGAGGTTTGGTGGATGAAGATTGTCTTGCTGTGTTCTTGGGCCAATAGAAAGGCAGCTGCTGGCAGTCAAGTTATGTGAAAGAAATAAAGAAGTGTGTCTGTGTAAAAGGAGGCACAGAGGGACATCTGTCCAGGAAGTGAAGACCAGAGTCAGGGGACCTTCAGAACCTGTCTTTCCTTCACATGAGTAAGTACAAGTTAAAAAACTACTGTGGCAGCTCCGCAGCTCAGGATGGTTGGCCAAGTTGCTGCGAACCACAAATCTCTGGACAAGTGGTGTTTTCTGTTGTTGCCATTATTTTTTATTCATTTGTTTCAATGTGGAGAGAGTTGCAAGTGATTTTGTTTTAAGGAAGCATAATGTTAGATTATGAAATATTTGGTAGAATTTAAAGACCAGAAAGTGACAAACTTTACTTTTAAGCATTGATTTTAAATTATATCATAATTTAAATTTATTAAACAAAAGTTAGCATTTGTGTTATATTTTCTTTTATATGTATTTATGACCCTAGGGGTTCACTTCCTGTTTCTCTCTAGTTTCCCTGCCTGGCTGGCCTCTGAAGTGGATGCTTAATGAACTTTTCTTGGTGATGCTGCTCCTAATTGAGGCCTTGAACTCAGGAAAAAGTAGTCACAAAAGGACTATCCCATCATCTCAGACAGTTTTATGTAGAGTCTAGGCTGAAAGCAGGGTGAGGTGGCTTGTGAGCTAAGGTTCTTTGGTTGCAGCAGAACGGACTCTAGCTGATTCGAGTAATGAGGAAATTTACAGGTAAAATGTGGGAGAGTGCACAGGCCCAACAAGAAACCTGGAAATCAAAGACTGGAAAAGATCAGGCCCAGGGGAGCTCCAGAGGTTAGGGCAGCAGTGCCATGGCATCACTGCTGGAACCAGTGGGGCCAGCTGACTTCTTTCCTTGTACCACCATGCTCAAGATTAAATTCCTGCAAATGAAAGCGTCTGAGGGTGCTTAGCTAAAGATGGGGGGAGGTGGTTTGTTCATTAATGGCTTCATGACTTGGGGGAGCCGTAGTTCCCCAAGGCAAAATTGAGGTGTTCACATAAAAAGATGGGGAAAGAGGTCAAGCTGGCAAGAAATACGGATGTACAAAGTTGGGAAGAATAAGCAGAGACTGAGAATATGATTTTTCCTAAATTCCTTCCATCACAGAATAGATTTGCACGTGTGATTCTGTTGTTGGGCTTGTGCTGACTCAGCACCTCCTTGCCTGTGTCACTCCTGTGTGCACTTTAACAGTCTTACTTTTCCCAGTGGGTGGCTTAGTCAGTTCCAGCTGTGATAACTGAATACCGCAGACTGGGTGGCTTAACGAGTAGACATTTATTTCTCACAATGCTGGAGTCTGAGAGGTCTGAGATCAAGGCACCAGCAGACAAGGTTTCTGGTGAGGGCCCTCTCCTGGCTTGCAGATAGCTGTCTTCTTGCTGTATCCTCCATGGGCTAGAGCAGAGGGAGGTAGCAAGCTCTTTAGTCTCTTCTTATAAGTGAGCTAATCCCATGCATGAGGGCCCCACTCTCATGATCTAATCACCTCCTAAGGATACCTTCTCCTAATTCCATTTTACTGAGGGTTAGGATTTCATCATATAAATATTGGGGGGACATGAACATATAGTTCATAAAAGTGAGTCCAATTGTGAAGGAGATGCTAATTGTTTATTTGACTTTGTTTTGTTTTGTACCTGGAAGATTCGCTGCACTTGCAATGGAAACTAAGGAAAGCTGTCAGTATCCTGTTGAATGCTTCTATAAGTAATATCCTATTCAGTCATTTCAAAACCATTTCTTTCTCCTTGCCCCCGTCCTTTGTATACACAGATAGATGTACACACAGACACACACACACACACACACACACACACACACACACATACACCACCCGCTTCTGGGACTGGTTCCAGATACACAATGGAAATGATGGGAGGTGATAAGATATGATGTCTTCCCGGGTGCCACAGGCATACAAATCATCAAAAGGTAAGAGGGAAAAATTAGACTTTTTGTGATTCTTGACCCCTCACTTTCAATCCATTAGTTCACATGGAGGTAGCATGATTGGCCCTGCTGGCAGGCTTCTAAATATTTTACTCTATTGTTAACACCTTCTAAAATCCATGTGCTTCATTACCCCTATCATAGACCACAGGATGCATAAAGTGTGAAATCACATAGAGTCCTTTTTGAAAAAGCAGCAAATCCTCTTCCTTTCATTTTGTGTGAAGAGAATTCTAAGCAAGGTTTGGTTCTTTAGCTTAAAACAGAATTATAGGACAATTGTCCTTTGCAAACCTTGTGGCAATCACAACGCTGGCTGAGAATAAATGGCATAATTCTAAGGTATTTTGGGGATATGTAACCTCAAAATTATGAGTTTCCATCGTCCACTGGTGGCTGTTTCTCTTAATAACAAGGGTTAACATTTATTGAGCAGTTACTATTTGCTAGGCTCTATGCTAAATGCTTTTTTTAATGAAAAAGTTTATTTAATCTCCACAAAAACTGTAGGAGGTTTGTACCACTATTATCTCAGTGTTACAGGCGATAAAACTGAGGCTCAAAGAGATGAAGTAGTATTTTCAAGGCCATGTAGCTATTTAGAGGTGGAGCCTGAATTAAAATTCAAGAAGCAGACAGATTCCTAGTCACCACACCACACTGTGTTTCTTTTTCTCTTCCTGTGGGATAAAATATAGAAAACACATTAGCTTTGTGTTTTCTTTTACTTCTTTTTGGAACTTCTTCCATTCAACTTGGGATCTTGCAGCGTCTGCTGTTTGGGAAGGGGTCATTGTAGTAGAACTTCTTTTGGTAGCCATGGGAAATGAGTCAAATTCTTGGCTTTTGAGTTTCAGAAAGATCCAGATATAAGGTGATTTGGAAGAGTGCTAAGGATACTTCATTATCAGAACCAGAATCCCCCAACCCCTACTCTCATAGTACTTGCTGGAAAGGGAGGGACACTGTATAAGAAAGGAGGGAATCAGGCTGAAGCTGGAGGGTTGCTGGTGTGTCCTGAGAAGGTGCGTCTCAGATTGCGTCCTAGCATAGGGGTAGGGGACAATGATAGAATACTCAGATTGGTTTACAAAGTCAAGAAGAAACTTACGCCCCTTCCCGTGAAAAATTCAGAAAGACTAGGTGCAGTGGCTTCCACCTGTAATCCCAAAACTTTGGAAGATAAAGGCAGGAAGATTGCTTGAGCCCACGAGTTTGAGACCAGCCTGGGCAACATGGCAAGACTCCCATCTTTACAAAATATCTATTAGCAGGGTACAGTGGTGTGTGCTTGTAGTCCCAGATGCTCAGGAGCCTGAAGTGGGAGATTGCTTGAGCCTAGGAAGTTGAGGATGCAGTGAGTTATGTTTGTGCCACTGCACTCAAACCTGGGCAACAGAGTGAGACGCTGTTTCAAAAAAAGAAAAGTTCAGAAAAGCCACAAGATGTTGCTTGTTTCTTTCATGATACAGGGAGAGATTTTTCCATGCTAGGGACAGAGCAGAGGACTTATTGAATGGGATGCCTGAACCTGATACTCCTGTAGAGACCCTGAGCCTTCCATCCTGACTTGGAAATCCACAAAATGTTTTTCTAGGGTCAGAGAAAGCTGCTAGATCTGCCCAAAGAATCAGGGCACCTGAAGAGCCATGCAGTCAAGATGAGAAGTAAAAGACATGATTTCCCTGACTAGCAAAGTCCAGGTAGGCAGACTATTGCTCATTGTATGCTGGTGCTGACAGATGATGACTGAAGATCAGAAATCCCACTTACCCCTACCATGTTACACATGTCCTGGCATTAGATAGCCTCTTGAATTCAGACACAAGCCCCAGGCAGGTGTACTTTAAGGGGAGTACTGAACTGACTGATGTTAAATTTGCCACTTGGTAGAACAGGGTTTGAAGTAGAAATTAAGTTCTGTAAAAAGTGGAACAGTTCTATCTCGTCTACACCTGAGTTTTGCCTGAGATTTGTACTCTCTAGATTCCAAATAGCCCATCCAACCCTTTGCTTAGAAATTTTATAAAATCCAATAAAGCAGAAAGAAAATACCTAATTATTAAAGTGAGGCCAAATCAAGTCAATGGGATAACCAATTCTCTAAACACAGGCAGTCCTCCCTTTGCATGGTTCCCATATGCAGGAATGTCAGTTACCACGGTTTAATTAAATAACCCAGTCTCCCAGCAACAGGGTTCACATTTCAGCTACCAGGGTGTACTAACCATGAGTAATTGTCTAGAGTACACACGTCACTGCTCTTCATTATGTAAAGAACAGATGCACATCACAATCAGTGACCAGTCTTATCACTTTATTCAGACTCCATCAGTGATTGTTCACTCACACCTGCTCTTCAGTCCATGCCCAGACAGCAAAGTGCATCATTGTGTTGTTTCTGTGTCTCCCAGTGATCAGTCCACATGACATTTTACAAAAATAGATAATTAAAGTGGGAATGGTGAATAAAGATGAAAGTAGAGAAAATAAACACAAAGTGATGACTCTGGAAATGTAATTCAAAAGTGGTTGTGGCAAAAAGATGAAGCTGTCCCAGAGGAAGTGATAGTGGGGGAAAATCCCAAAACCCCAAACACAAAAAACCCCTCCATATTAATGGAATGCTTAGAAATATTACATGACATTTAGATCATAAAGGATAAAATGTTGGAAGCTGACCCAAACTTACAAAAGAGTATAAGAAGTCAGAAGACATGAAAAGACATTTGCTTCACATCTTGTTATACAATGATAAAAGGCAAACACTGTTTAAATTACTCTTGATCATATTTTTACAAAACTAAACACTTTCATTTTCAATGTTTCTAATGTTTCAAATCATACAGAACAAAATAAATCTTAATTTTTCTATTGTTTTCTTTTTTTAAAAAAAAATTCAACTTTTATTTTAGATTCATAGGTAGATGTGTAGGTTTGCCACATATTGCATGATGGTGAGATTTGGGATATGAATGATCCCGTCACCTGGGTAGTGAGCATAGTACCCAGTGGGTTTTTCAGTCCTTCTCCCCTCCATCTCTCCCCTGTCTAGTAGTCTCCAGTCTATTGCTCCCATCTTTTTCTTGATTATTTTCATTTTCATTTTTAATTTTTGTGGGTACATAGTAGGTGTATATATTTACAGTGTACATGAGATATTTTGATACAGCCATACAATGTGTAATACCCACATTAGGGTAAATGGGGTATCCATCATCTCAAGCATTTAGTTATTTTTAAATATACAATAAAGTATTGTTGACTGTAGTTATCCCGTAGAGCTACCAAATACTAGATCTTATTCATTCTATCAAACTATATTTTTATATACATTAACCATTTCCACTCCCCCCACTCCCCATCCACTACCCTTTCCAGCCTTCAGTAACTACTTTTTATTTCCATGGGTTCAATTGTTTTAATTTTTAGCTCCTACAAATAAGTGAGAACATGTGATGTTTGTCTTTCTGTGCCTGATTGATTCCACTTAACATAATGACCTCCAGTTCCATCTATGTTGTTGCGAATGACAGGATCTCATTCTTTTTTATGACCGAATAGTAATCCATTGTGTATACATACCACATTTTCTTTATCCATTCATCTGTTGATGGACACTTAGGTTGCTTCCAAATCTTGGCTATTGTGAATAGTGCTACAACCAACATGGGAGTGCAGATATCTCTTTGATATACTGATTTCCTTTCTTTTGGGTATATACCTAAAAGAAAAGTGGGATTGCTGGTTCATATGGTAGTTCTATTTTTAATTTATGAGGAACCTCCAAACCGCTCTCCATAGTGGTGTCCTAATTTACATTTCCACCAACGGTGTACAAGGGTTCACTTTTCTCCACATCCTTGCCAGTATTTGTTATTGCCTGTCTTTTGCATAAAAGCCATTTTAACTGGGATGAGATCATATCTCATTGTAGTTTTGATGTGCGTTTCTCTAATGATCGGTGATGTTGAGAAACTTTTCATATACCTGTTTGCCATTTGTGTGTCTTCTTTTGAAAAATGTCTATTCAGATCTTTTGCCCATTTTTTGGTGCAGATTATTATATTTTTCCTTTTGAGTTATTTGAGCTTCTTATATATTCTGGTTATTAATCCCTTATCATATGAATAGTTTGCAGATATTTTCTCTGATTCTGTGAGTTGCATCTTCATTTTGTTGACTGTTTCCTTTGCTGCATAGAAGCTTTTTAGCTTAATGTGATCCCATTTGTTCATTTTTGCCTTGGTTGTAGTGTGTCACTCAAGAAATCTTTGCCTGGTTCAATGTCCTGAAGGGTTTTCCCAATATTTTCTTTTCTTTTTTTTTTTTTTTGTTTTTGAAACAGAATCTCACTCTGTTGCCCAGGCTGGAGTGCTATGGTGTGATCTCAGCTCACTGCAACCTCCACCTCCTGGGTTCAAGCGATTCTCATGCCTCAGCCTCCTGAGTAGCTGGGATTATAGGTGTGTGCCACCACGCCTAGCTAATTTTTGTATTTTTAGTAGAGACGGCCATGTTGGCCAGGCTGGTCTCAAACTCTTGGCCTCAAGTGATCCATCCGCCTCAGCCTCCCAAAATGCTGGGTCAATGTTTTCTTTTAGTAGTTTCATAGTTTGAGGTTTTAGATTTAAGTTTTAAATCTATTTTGATTTGATTTTTGTATACAGTGAGAGGTAAGGGTCTGGTTTCATTCTTCTGCATATGGATATCCAATTTTTCCAGCACCATTTATTGAAGAGACTGTCTTTTCCTCAGTGTATGTTCTTGGCACTTTTGTTGAAATTGAGTTCACTGTAGATGTAAGGATTTGTTTCTGGGTTCTCTATTCTGTTCCATTGGTCTGCTTGTCTGTTTCTATGCCACTACTATGCTGTTTTGGTTCCTATAGGTCTGTAGTATAATTTGAAGTCAGGTAATGTGATTTCTCCAGTTTGGTTCTTTTTGGTCAGGATAGCTTCGGCTATTCTGGGTCTTTTGTGGTTCCATATACATTTTAGGATTGTTCTTTCTATTTCTGTGAAGAATGTCATTGGTATTTTTATAGGAATTACATTAAGTCTATAAATTGCTTTGGGTACTATGAACACCTTAACAATATTGAGTCTTCCAATCCAAAAACATGGAATATCTTTCTTTTGTGTGTGTGTTCTCTTCAATTTCTTTCATCAATGTTTTTATCGTTTTCATTGTAGAGATCTTTCATGTCTTGGTTAAGTTAATTTCCAGTTATTTTATTTTATTTGTAGCTATTGTAAATGGGAGTACTTTCTTGATTTCTTTTTCAAGTTGTTCACTGTTGGCATACAGAAATGCTACTGATTTTTGTATGTTGATTTTCTATCCTGAAACTTTACTGAATTTGCTTATTAGTTCTAATAGCTTTTTGGTGAAGTCTTTAGGTTTTTCCCAATATAAGATTATACCATCTGCAAACAAGGATAATTTGAATTCTTCCTTTCCAATTTGGATGCCCTTTATTTCTTTCTCTTGTCTGATTGCTCTAGCTAGGACTTCCTATTGTGCGCATCTTTATGTCCATGGGTACTCAATGTTTAGCCCCCACTTATAAGTGAGAACATGCAATACTTGGTTTTCTGTTCCTGTGTTAATTCACTTAGGATAATGGCCTCCAGCTACATTCATGTTTTGCCAAGGACATGATTTCATTCTTTTTTATGGCTGCATGGTATTCCATAGTGTGTATATACCATATTTTCTTTATCCAATCCACTGTTGATGGCCATCTAGGTTGATTTCATGCCTTGCTATTGTGAATAATACTTTGATGAACATGTGAGTGGATGTGTCTTTTTGATAAAACAGTTTATTTTCTTCAGGGCATATTCCCATGTGTTAGTCAATTTCTGCGTTGCTATAAAGAAATGTCTGAGGCTTGGTAATTTATAAATAAAAGAGGTTTCATTGGCTTACAATTCTACAGGCTACACAGAAAGCATGGCGCCAACATCTGCTCAGCTGCTGACGAGGCCTCAGGAAGCTTTTACTCATGGTGGAAGGTGAAGAGGGAGTAGCAATGTCAACATTGGAAGAGAGGGAGTAAGAGAGAGAAGGAGGAGGTTCCAAAGTCTTTTAAACAATCGTATCTCTGGCCAGGCGTGGTGGCTCACGCCTGTAATCTCAGCATTTTGGGAGGCCATGGTGGGCAGATCACAAGGTCAGGAGATCGAGACCATCCTGGCTAACACGGCAAAACCCCATCTCTACTAAAAATACAAAAAATTAGCTGGATGTGGTGGCAGGCACCTGTAGTCCCAGCTACTTGGGAGGCTGAGGCAGGAGAATGGCGTGAACCCTGGAGTGGAGCTTGCAGTGAGCCGAGATTGCACCACTGCACTCCAGCCTGGGTGACGAGTGAGACTCTGTCTCAAAAAAAAAAAAATCGTATCTCAAGTGAATGAACCGAATAAGAACTCACTCATTATTGCAAGGAGAGTACCACAACATTAATGACCCAAACACTTCCCACCAGGCCCCACTTCCAACATTGGGGATTATATTTCAACATGAGATTTTTGAGGGGATTAATATCCAAAGTATATGAACCCGGTAATGGGATTGCTGGGTCTAATGGTAGTTCTGCTTTAAGTTCTTCAAGAAATCTCCAAACTGCTTTCCACAGTGGCCAAACCAATTTACATTCCCACCAATAGTGTATAAACATTCCCTTTTCTATGCAGTCTCACCAGCATCTGTTATTTTTTGACTTTTTCATAATAGCCATTCTGACTGGTATGCAGTAGCATCTCATGGTTTTGATTTGCATTTCTCTGATGATTTTTTTTTCATATGCTTGTTTTCTTCTTTTGAGAAGTGTCTGTTCATGTCCTTTGCCCACTTTTTAATGGGGCTATTTGTTTTTTGATTGTTGAATTGTTTAAGCTCCTTATAGATTGTGGATATTAGACATTTGTCAAATGCATAGTTTGTGAATATTTTCTCCCATTCTGTAGGTTGTCTGTTTACTTTGTTGATAGTTTCTTTTACTGTGAAGAAGCTCTTCAGTTTAATTAGGTCCCCTTTCTCATTTTTGTTTTGGTTGCAATTGCTTTTGAGGACTTAGTCATAAATTCTTTGCCAATGCTGATGTCCAGAATGATATTTCCAAGGTTTTCTTCTAGGATTTTTATAGTTTGAGGTCTTATATTTAAGTCTTTAATTAATTGTGAGTTAATTTTTGTATATGGTGAAAAGTAGGGGTCTAGTTTCATTCTTCTGCATATGGCTAACCAGCTATCCCAGCACCATTTATTGAATAGGAAGTCCTTTCCCCATTCCTTATTTTTGTTGACTTCATCAAAGATCAGATGGTTGTAGGTGTGATTTGATTTGAGGTGTGATATAGGATTGTGATGTAGGTGTGATTTAGGATTGTAGGTGTGATGGTTGTAGGTGTGCAGCTTAATTTCTGAGTTCTCTATTCTGTCCTTGGTGCTCTATGCATCTGTTTTTGTACAAGTATTATGCTGTTTCGGTTACTGTAGCCTTATAATGTAACTTGAACTCAGGCAATGTGATGCGTCTGGCTTTGTTCTTTTTGCTTATGATTGCTTTAGCTATTTGAGCTCTTTTTTGGTTCCATATGAATTTTAGAATTTTTTTTCTAATTTCATGAAAAATGATGTTGGTAATTTGACAGGAATACTGTTGAATCTATAGATTGCTTTGGGAAGTATGGCCATTTCAGTGATATTGAGTTTTCCAAGCTGTGAGCATGGAAAGTTTTTCCATTTGTTTGTGTTATCTATGATTTCTTTCAGCAGTGTTTTGTAGTTCTCCTTATAGAGATCCTTCACCTCCTTGGTTGGAAGGACAGGCTCTTTTATTATTTTCATTTATCTCTATATTTACACTTGACAGTAAGAGACAGTTTTTTATTTTGACAAAAATCTTAAAGGTCACAGAACAATAATAATTTTCCCCATTGGTTATTAACATGACATGTGTGATTTCAGCTTGCATGGTCATTTTTATGGTTCCACACCATCGAGCAATGCAAGGACTGCCTGTAAACAGAAATGTTCCTTTACCTGCATATTTATAAGCAACTTCAAAACATCTCCATCTCAAAAAACTGGACACCTAAAAATTCTCACGCTTCTCTCAAGGTCAAAAGTTGCCCTGAAACTGGTTTTCTCACCCTGCAGAGAAAGAAACATAAAAAGTGTTGTGAACTGTGCCCTGAGGCCTTGCAAGTCCTAGGAGCAGGGTTGGTAAATTCCTTCTCTCCATCAAGCCTTCAGTGTCTAATGCCCATCTCTGTTGTTTAATAGTCCTTTGTGGTTGTCACTGCTCATTTTTGGTATTGTTAGCAGATCATCTCATAAGTGGACCGATGGTCATTGTGCGGGATGTTCACAAACCCAGACATTGCACTCCAGTCTTCACTACTCATTTTCCCTGTCATGTTTTATGTGGAAATATGCCTTGAGGGATGTGAAACAATCAGACACTTATATTAACAGAAAGGATAACAGATGTGCTCTTCTTTTATTGTCTCTGGGGTTCTTTTAGATCATCTGAAATGACTACATGAAGTTTAAAAATATTTCACCAAAAATGCTTAATGCAAGAAAAAGTTGTGTTTTCCACACACGATGTTTATCAAGATAACCTTCAACTGCTCTTAGACAAAAGAAAGGTTAAAGCTTTTAAGTAAAGGATTTTATAAGTGCAAAAGCTTTCTTGCCCCCAAGCCCTTTATATAGACATTTATATTTGAGTGTATAAGGGAAGGAAGAAAAGACAAAAAGGGAAATAAAAGAAATGGGTATTTGTTAAGTAGCTTATCAATCCTAGTCTTTTGCAAGACTGGTAAGTTTATTTTACCATTTCATGAAAGGCATACACAGTAACTGATATTTGTGTGTGCGTGTGTGTGTGCATGTGCACGTGTGTGTGTGTGTGTTCCTGGCATATTTGAATGTATACCAGGTGATTAACTGTTTTTTTTAATTTTTTCTTTTCATTCTACCTCATAGCACATATACATAGTATTATAATATTTGAGTATGGAAAATTATCTTTTACATTTACAGGTCCTTCTCATTCAAGAAACTTCAGGTACATTGCCAATATTCTAGTCATTAACCTATACAACCCTCGATTAAATTGGTGCTAACCTTTCAATTTAAATGGGAAAAATTGGGGTGATTTTTATTTCTACCCCAGTGCAATGATGTGGTAGATTTGTATGAATGTTCTTACATATGATGCTTTTAAGGAAACCCAGAATATTCATTTATTTACTTTTTCAAAAATCATACCACACCTGTGCTGACTAGGAAAGGTCAAAATGTCACAGCAAATATTGGCACTTAATAAATCCACTCATACATTTAAAGGGAATGAGACTGTGACCCAAGACACTCTTAAACCTCTGTGGCAAGAGATTACGGAATCTTGGGATCTTAAAGGAGGTAAGCCCCTTACAGAAAATCTGCAATTTTGATAAAATGGGGAAACTGAAGAAGAAGGAGTGAACTCTGGCACAAGATCATAAAGTGATCAGTTATCAGTTGATGGAATATCTATTTCTAGACATATTAGAGTCACTGGTGTTGGAGTTAACTTCCTGCTGTAAATAATTATAAAACTAGACAAACTATATGAGTATATATTTTTTAGGCATTGTAAATAGGCATCAGAAGGCTGTGATCCTTGGAAGGAAAGACATGAGCTGAATTTCATTTTCACCCCAGCCTTCTAACTGGTGACACGTTCCAGACTGTGGTTTAGGGAGGTGAGGCCCACAAGGAGAGTTTCAGTCTTGCTAATAAGGCAGAGAGGTCAGAATTTAAGTCTGCTAAGGTGGCTTGAATATGTAGACCAGGGTTCCAGAGGGGAGAACACTGTAAGGGTTGAGGACCAGAAGTCTACATGGAGCATTATCTGGGGTCTTTGGCCAAGGGTGGAGCTATGCATGTGTAGGGTAATATACTGAAAGACATAGCAGAGTGGAACTCTGGGTATAAAAACTAAATGAAGCTCCCTCATAGGTCATGAAGTGCCGGGAGACATTGAGTTCTATTCCAACCAAAGTGGATGAACCACATGGTGCATCTGAGTATTTAGTTGAGACCCCCCAAAAGACCATATTTAGGAGCAAGGACCACATTTTAGAGCAAAGGCCACACTCTCAATTAGAGAATACACTGAAATAGAACCATGCTAGAAAAACTCAAAATCATCTGACTAGATCAAGAGGATCTGCCAATAAATTATATGACTGCCAGAACTACACTCACATCCATCATTTAAAAGAGAACTATATAATCCAAACTCCCTACAATGTATTATTCACAATATCAAACATATAAAATATGATTAAATATGTGAAGAAGCATTACATTATAACCATAACGAAAAGAAAAGCCATCGATTGAGATGAATCTGAACTGGCCAAGATTTTGGAATTCGCAGACAAGGATTTTATAACAGCTATTGTAAATGTGTTCAAGGACTTAAAGGAAATAATGGTCAAAATGAATGAACATATGGGGAATCTCAGCATGAAATGGAAAATGTGCAAAAGAACCAATGGAAATTCTTGCACTGCAAAACACAATATCTGAAATAAAACTGCACTGAGTAGTCCTAACAGCATATTGAACAGTGCAGAAAAGTCTGTGAACTTCAAGAAAAGTGAATAGAATTTACCCAAACTGAAGAACAGAGAGACAAAATGATGGGAGAACAGAGCCTCAATGATCTGTGGAAAAGTGGCAGGTAGTCTAAGATATGTGGAAATAAACTTCCTGAAGGAAAGGAGAAAAAGAGTGGGGCAGGAAAAAAATTATTTGAAGAAATATTGGCCCCAAATTTCTTAAAACTAGGTGGAAAACATTCTTCTATAGATTCAATTCAAGCAGGATAAAAGCAAAACAAAACAGAAAGAAAATACAGGTGTATAATAATCAACTTGCTGAAAAAAAGAGACAAAGAGAAAATGTAAATGGCAGCCAGAGGGGGAGATTTTAAAAGAATGAAATAAAAAGACAGAAAGGAAGAAAAAAAAAAGCATTACATGATGAGGAACAATGATAAGATTGATGACGGATTTCTCATCAGAAAAAATGGTGGTCAGAAGACAATGAAATGATACCTTTAAATTCAGAAAGAAAAAAATAATAAGGTGTTAACCTTGAATTCAATATGAGGGGAAATATTCTTTACAAATGGAGTGAAATGAGAATTTTTTAGATAAATGAAACTTGAGAGACTTCATTATCAACAGACCCACATTAAAAGACATGCAATGAGAACAGAAAAAACTTCTTCAGTGTAATAAATAGCATCTTGCAAAAAAACCTCTACAGCTTACATCACACTTAATGGTAAAAAACTGAACAGGGTTACCCTAAAATGAGGGTCTACTCTGATAGACGGAAAGAATGTCTACTCTCATTAATGTCCACTTTCAGCAGTTCTATTCAACATTGTATTGGAGGTCCTAGCAGTGTAATAAGGCTAAAACAAACAAACAAGCAAACAAGCATGAAAGGCAAAAGGATTGAAAAGAAAAAATTATAATTATTTTTATTTGCAGATGCTATAATGTGGGTAGAAAATGTTCATAAAATTATATAAAAACTATTGAAACTAATTAAAAGTGATTTAGTAAAGTCACGGACACAAAGTCAGAATTTAAAGTTATTTGTGTTTCCTCATTATAGCAATCAATAATTTGAAAATAAAATTTAAGAAAACAATAGCATGGTAACAAAGTCCATAAAATGAATAGAATAGACATAGCAAAAGATGTTCAAGATCTCTATTTCTGCAAACTTTTAAACAATGCTGATGGCAGTTAAATAAAACCTAAATAAAGGCAGGAATGAGGACTGAGATGCCATGTCTGCCTGAATTAATCTATAGATAGACTCAATACAATTCAAATAAAAATTTGTATCATTTTCCCTTCTTTTCTGGAGAAAATGGCTGATTCTATAATTTGTATAGAAGTGAAAAGGGCTTAGAAGAGCCAAAATAATTTTGAGAAAGAGCAAATTGGAAGAAGTAAAGTATCTGATTTTAAGACTTACAATAAAACTACAGTAATTAAGATAATGTATTATGGCACAAGGATAGAAAAATATATTAATATCAATGTTACAGAATAGAAAGTCTAGAAACAAATCCAAATATATATAGTAAATTGATTTTCTACCAAGATGCCACTGCATTTCAATGGGGGAATGGCAAATATTTTCAACAAATGATGTTGGAACAAATGGGTAAATGTATAAAGAAAAAAATGAATCTCAGCTCCTTCCTCACACTAGGCACAAATTAATTTGAGATGAAGTAGAAACTTAAAGATGAAAGTATAAAGCTTCTAGAAGAAAACTGAATATCATTGTGAACTTGGGACAGGCAAAGATTTCTTAGAATGCAAAAAACATAAACTATAAGATTTTAAAAATATATTAAACTAAACCATCACAATGATAAATTCCTGAAAATAAAAAAAATCACCACTAAGAAAATAACAGGCAAGCAACAGGCTGGAATAAAATGTTTGTTAAAAAATGTATCTGCCAAACAATTCTATCAAGAAGATGTAAAGAATTCCTACATATCAATAACAAAAAGACAACTCTATAAAAATGGGCAAAAGACTAGATTAAGCACTTAAGAAAGAAAGAAGACAGGCAAATAGCACATGTAAATGGGGTCAAAATTATTTGTCATCAGGGAAATGCAAATTAAAACCACAAAGAGATAGCCTTTCAGAAGAACTAGAATGGCTTTTGTTAAAAAAGATTCACACCACTAAATATTTGTGCAGATATGTAAAAATTGGATCTCCCGCCCGTTACTGGTGGGAGTGTAAAATGGCATAAGTTTGGGAAACGGGTACTTATAAAGTTAAACGTAAATAACCTCTGTAACTGCACAATTCCACTCCTACGTTTTTTACCCAGGAAAAATTTAAGCATGTGTCTACAAAAGACTTGTACAAGAATGTTCATAGCAGCTTATTCATAAGCCCCAAATTAAAAATGACACAGTGTCCATCAGTAGGACAATGAAGAAACAAACTGTGGTATATCCATACAATAAAATACTACTTGTCAGTAAAAATGAATGAACTAATGATATACTGAATAATATGAATGAATCTCAGAAACATTATGTTGAGCAAAAGAAGCCAGATTCAAAAGATTACATACTATATGATTCCGTTGATATGAAATTTGAGATATGCTAAACTAATCTATGGTGAGATTTTGAAATCAAAGCAGTAGCTGCCTTGGGGTTACAAGGGATTGACCTGAAGTGCATGTGAGGAACCTTGATGGGGAGATAAAAATTTCCTATATCTTTATTTGGTTGTTGGTTACATAGCTGTTTATATTTACTTAAGGTCTGGAATTTCACTGTATGAATTACCTAAATAAAACAGTTTAAAAATTTCATTGATTCAAAGATTTCAGATTTCTTATAAATCACAATTGTTTAGAGCAAAGATTTTAAAGGTTATTAATTGCTCAGTTTCTAAAATTGGCCTTTATCTTAATATGAAGTTTCCCTGTCAAATTTAATTTTTGTGGTTTTGTTTCAAATATGAGTGGGGTTCTTCATTGGAGAATATTTTCAACCAAATTGGGACTTTGATATCAAATTGTGAATTGGAAATAGAAATAAACCAAAAAAATCTAAGTTCTGAATCCCAAACTTGGCATTTATTTGAAATGTTTACAAAATATGTGGAAAAAAACATTTCAACGAAATGAAATTTACTACCCATAAGCATTATGTAGGGGTTGAGATGAAGTCATGGAAGTTGTCATGCAAAGATGCTTACATGCTCAGAGCAGCCATTTAATATAAGTATCCTCCTTCCCCCACTCCACCTACGATCTTCTAGTCTGTTAGACTCAGTGATCTTGTTCAAAGGTTTAGGGACTTTTCCATGTCAGTAATTATTCTGTTTTGTCTGTGGTTCTGTTTTATTGTAGAAAAAGGAATGCAAAGATGGTGGAAGGGTCTGTGGGCACCACAGAATGGACTTATTCTCTTCGGATGTAAAGAACAGGCTTGCTGGTGACTGGCTGTGAGACTGTCCCATTACTTGGCCCAGGCCAGGGGAAGAGGCTGGGTGGGTAGCGATGCAAAGAAAATCAACCACTAGATAATGTTTTCCCTCCCAAGTAAAAGCCTGCGGCTTAGGAGACTCTTCATAATCTGGCTGTCTCTTATCTTTCTGACCTCTTCTTCTCTTCCCTTTGCTCACTCTGCTCAGCCACTTTGGCCTCACGGCAGTTCCTCAACAAACAAGGCACGCTCTGACTTAGGGCTTCTTCACTTGCTCTGTACTTTGCCTTGAATTCCCTTCCACCAGATGACTAAAGCTTACTCTTCCATCTCTTTTAAGTCTTTGCTGAAATGTCATCTTCTCAGTGAGGGTTCTTCTGACCAATGTAGTTGAAATTGAACATCTCCTATTTACCTGTCTTTCCTTTATTCCCCTTCTTTCTTTAATGTTTTTTTTTTCCATAGCACTATCACTGTCTCATATTCTTACTGCTTATTTATTTATTTTGTTTATTGTTTGTCTTCTCACACTAGAACGTAAGCTTCCCAAGGGTGAACACTACTGCAGTACCTGGAAGAGTGGATTCATAAGACATGCTCAGTACTTATTGAATGATGAAGGAAATGTCAGAGGTCAGATAACCTGTGATCCAGGCTGTCTAGATTTGAAAGCTGGCTCTGCTAGTTTCTAGCTATGTGATCTTGAGGAAATCACCTAAGTAAAATGGGTATTTAGCTCATATGGCTGTTGTGAGGATTAAATGCGGTAACACCATAAAGCATTTAGAACAGTGCTGAGTATGTTTAAATGCTCAGTAAATATTAGTTATTGTTGCTATTCAGTAATCTATGGACAACTTTTCTTGTTCAGGCACTGCTCAAGGCCCTGTGTACTGTGAGAAGATCATTTAAAACTAGGGTCTTAACTCTCAAGGAATTTATAGTTGAGTTTGTATAAAGTTCTCTTCTCCTGGAACACCTTTTCACACTCTACCTATTCAACTTCAATGTATTCTTTAAGACCCAGCTCAACGTTGATCTCCTTGGTGAAGCCACCTCATTTTCTCCAGGTGAAGTAAGCTCTCTTTGTCCTGAATGCGAAGTGTGCATTTTTCATTCTTTTAACTGCAAACATTTGTTGAGTACCTAACACCATGGGCCAGATGAAGCAGCAGTGATATAGAGAAGACTAAGATGTGGGCCTTGACCTTGAAGGGCTTATAGTCTGGGGGGGAGTGCAGACAGAAATAGAAACAAGGACAAAATAGTGTCATGTGCCTACCCAGAGGTAGAATGCTTGTGTGTTTATATCTGTCCCATCTTCTGGATTGTGAGCTACTGTAGCCAGAATCTCAACGTTTCAGTCATTCTTTGTATCACAAATACCTCTTACAGTGCTTGTCAGGCATATGGTATGTACAAATATGTTTATTGAAATGATTGAAATAATGGGAGGAAACAGGAAATGCATAACAGAGACAAGTAGAAGTGATGATGATGATGATGATATTAACAGCTAACACAAGTCAATTACCTTTCTAAGAACCACACATTTCATCTTAATCTACATAGCAATAGAAATAGCAAGGTATTATCATCCACATTTTATGGATTGGTAAACAGGCTCAGAGAAGCTAAGCAACTTGTCCAGGGATGAAGCTGTGTTTACAACTCAGGACTGTTTGCTTCCAAAGACTATTTTTGCCCACTACTCTACACATCAGGATGAAACTAGCTGGTATTGTTCTGGAAACATTTTGTGGTCAACTACTTGTATCTGAGTATTGGGTACTTCCTCTACTATTTTTCTTTCTCTAAACTCTTCAAATGTAGTTACAGACATATAAGTTATGGTCCAATGGCTCTGGGGAGTCGTGTTTCAATTAGCAAATCTGAAGCCAGTGTGATCTGCTCTCTGGATTCTGACATACTGACTCTCTCCTTTTTCTTTTTTTTGGTGTGGTTTAAAATGTGCTGATAGAGAATCGGACTGCTGACAGTGGCACCAACCTACCTATCAAAAAGAAGGAGGCAGTGGGGAATAGTTAGGAGGAATGTAAAGATATTCCATTCCATTTTTTAAAAGCCTTTACTGGCGGAGAGAGAGTGAGAAAGATAGGAAATGGTCCAAGGGGGCTTTGCATTTCATGACTTGAAATGTACTTTGTGTGGGGCAAGAAGTTATTTTTCTTTTTTGGCTTCTCTAAATAAGGCTAGACAGATCTTTCTTAGAAAACAAAGGAAGATTCTATTTCAGCATCTGATGCAATGTAAGTCTTGGTTATATACTCTGATATGTTTCCACAGATATTTATTTAGTCAGAATGCTTTTGGGGAATGTAAAATCATGTAGTTTCAATGTTCAACTTT
Source organism: Homo sapiens (assembly GCF_000001405.40). NCBI lineage: Eukaryota > Metazoa > Chordata > Mammalia > Primates > Hominidae > Homo > Homo sapiens. Next base: position 93,364,065 of record NC_000005.10, on the reverse strand, counting down.
AGGTGAAACCTTCAAGTTTCCTATCAAATGAGCTAGTCAGGATGAAAACCTGGGTTTATTTTAGTAGACTTTTCTCAAAAATACTTTGATTGCAAGATACAAGCATACTTTGTAAGGATGGCGATTTGCTTGAGAAGTCAGTATACACAGAACAAAATAAGCATCTTGAAATATTTTTAAGCAAAATATCAGCTAGTTTGTTAAATTAATTGGGAACAGGACTGGCAGCATATAACGTTTCAAGCAGCCTCAAGAATGGATTTACTTTGAGGCAAATCATGTCATCTTAGGTAGAATAGCTTATTTCTTCAGTCCTGACACAGGCATAAAAAAATCAATCAACTTGAACCACGCCTCAAAAATCCACTTAAAAATTGCATTCTTATTACTATTTACTCCAAGAAAATCAATATGTATCAATATTAGCAGAATGATTGTAAAAATTGTAAAAGAACAATCTTTAAAAATTCTTTTTAAAAAACTTCTATTTTTGGTTTGAGAGTACATGTGAAGCTTTGTTACATAGGTAAACTCGTGTCATGGGGGTTGGTTGTACAGATTATTTCATCACCCAGATATTAAGCTTAGTACCCAATAGTTATCTTTTCTGCACCCCTCCCTTCTCCCATCCCCACCCCACCCCCAGTGTCTGTTGTTTCCTTCTTTGTGTTTATAAGTCCTCATCATTTAGCTCTCACTTATAAGTGAGAATATGCAGTATTTGGTTTTCTGCTCCTGCATTAGTTTGCTAAGGATAATAGCCTCTAGCTCTATCCATGTTCCCAAAAAAGACATGATCTCATTCTTTTTTTATGGCTGCATAGTATTCCATGGTGTTTATTTATCGTATTTTGTTTACCAGTCTTTCATTGATGGGTATTTAGGTTGATTCCATGTCTTTGCTATTGTGAATAGTGCTGCAATGAACATTCACATGTACATGTCTTTATGGCGGAATGACTTATATTCCTCTGGGTATATACCCAGTAATGGGATTGCTGGGTCAAATGGTATTTCTGCTTTTAGCTCTTTGAGGAATCACCACACTGCTTTCCACAATGGCTGAACTAATTTACACTTCCACTAATAGTGTATAAGTGTTCCCTTTTCTCCACAACTTCTCCAGCATCTGTTATTTTTCTGATTTTTTAATAGCCATGCTGACTGGTATGAGATGGTATTTCATTGTGGTTTTGATTTGCATTTTTCTAATGATCAGTGATATTGAGCATTTTTCATATGCTTATTGGCTGCATGTATATCTTCTTTTGAAAAGTGTTCATGAAAAGAACAAATTTGATAACATTAAATGATGAAGACTTTATCTAATAGTAAAATTAAAGTTATGTGTGAGAGAAGATAGATAAAACATTCTCATATAATCGACTACTAGAACATAAGGATTGTTATTAACTTAGAATTGATGTTACTGTATTGATACTCCATGTTTTTTATAGCAAATTCTAATAAATTAAATTCCTTCAATTTTCTGTATTCCACATTAGGCAATTTCTGTATTATCTATTTTCAGAGACTCTTGCATTTAATACTATTTTTGCATACTTAGTTATTATGTTCTTAAATATTGGATGTAAAAGTCTAATTACATAAGGTCATATTAAATCCAGTTTGTAACATAGTTTAAGTAGTTTTGACTCCGATTTTGAGATTTCCTTGACCTTTTCTCCCAGAACCCAATTGCTAATATTATATTGCTTTACATTGTGTTTATCATATCTGGAACAGAACTATTTTAATTATTAGTTATATATATATATAGTTATATATATATATAAGTTATATATATATATAATTATATATAAGCAGCATGGTAATAGGAAAGGGAACATGTATGTCTTTTTATATGTCAGACTAGGATAGGCATTTGATAATATTTGTGGGATGAATGAGAGTTTGACAGTGCATCTTAATATCCAGTAATCACAATAATTATACTAACCAACGTTTACTGTACCATATGTTAGGCACATACTTTTTGCTTTTTATATATTATTTAATTTTCATAAAGACTGCAGATTGGAGAGTTTTAGTTCCTTGTCCAAGTTCAAATGACCAGCGAGTGAAAATTCAAGCCTATTTTGCTCTTTCCCTGGGTCTTCCAGAAGCTGCTCCCTTTCCCTTCGTCTGCAGTATTTTTTCCAACCGTTTTTGTTTAGTCTCAAACAAGGAGCATGTTCTCCAGACTGGACATTGTTAGTGGAGCGGGTGAGCGGATTGTCCTTGGCCCATCTTCTCTGCTTTCTGTGCGGTGTTTGATCTCTTTAGCTCTGGAGCTGTGGGGTGGGTGGATGGACACTGAGTTGATCCTTGTTTCTTTCTTTTTTTTTTTTTTGAGACGGAGTCTCGCTCTGTCGCCCAGGCTGGAGTGCAGTGGCGCGATCTCGGCTCACTGCAAGCTCTGCCTCCCGGCTTCATGCCGTTCTCCTGTCTCAGCCTCCTGAGTAGCTGGGACTACAGGCGCCCGCCACCACGCCCGGCTAATTTTTTTGTATTTTCAGTAGACACGGGGTTTCACCGTGTTAGCGATCCTTGTTTCTAACAAGTGCTCACAAGTTTACCTCTGCTCCACAGATACTCTCTCTTCCTCCTGAGGGGCTGCTCGTGTGCTGAACTGATGCCTTCCAAGCAATAGGATGGAAAGTTTACCCTTTTATGGGCCCTTATCAATATTTTCATCATATCAAAGGGAGAAGCTACGTTGGAGCTGTGAGGCAAATATCGTTTTGAATTGGAAGTCACTTTGACTTTGCATTTTTAATTGTATTAACAGCAGTGTACTGGAGTAGCTTAGAAAATGTTTACAACTTGGCCCAGTCAACAGACTTATTTACTGAATAATTTTCAAAAATTAGGTTAAAATGTACAGCATTTTCTCTGCTATCTCTGCCAGTTGGTCTTTGAGCCAAGCCAAGCCAAACCAAACCAACCAAACTACACAAAAAAGACCAGGTTTGCATGTTGAATCTGGAATGTTTTGAATCCAAGGAAATAACTTACTTATTCACGTTTAGTTGGAGTAACATGTTTATGGGTACTAGATTTTAATGCCAGTAGTTTGAATGGGTGCTTTCATGCATATTTACTTACTTGGTTGACAGAGCACTAGATATCAAATGTGGAGTAGACTGCTTAGGGTTGCATGATTCAGAACGTGGGCATGACATCTTGTCTTTGGGTCTTGATGAGCAAACACTTTATCTCAAGACAGTGTCCTCTAGCTCATAAATATATTTTACTAATGATGCATAAATATTAAAAAGAAATATGGAAGTGTACTATGAAACTGTTCACTTCAATAAACCATGACATAATGAAAGGTAAAGTTTTTAGTTTGTTTTATTAATCATCATGAATAATAACACCCCAGCCCCATTAAAGGGCAAATTATTGTTATGCCTTGCTTAACAACGGGAAACACTTTGAGAAATGCGTCCTTAGGTGATTTTGTCACGTGAACATCATAGAGTGTACTTACACCAACCTAGATGTATAGCCTGCTACATACCTGCACTATACAGTATAGCCTATTTCTCCCAGGCTACAAATCTGTACAGCATTTTATTGTACTAAATACTGTAGGCAATTGTAACACAATGGTGTTTGTGTATCTAAACACACTTTAACATAGAAAAGGTACAGTAAAAAATATGGTATTATAGTCTTATGGAACCTAAATGCTATTATGTGGCACATCACTGTAAGATGACTCCCTCCTCAATTTTTTTTAACCCTAAAGTAGAAACCATTTAATTTTAGTCAGTTTTGTTTGTTGTTTCATACATTTTTCCTCCAGCTTGGATGCAACTGTCAAACTTACTTCTGGATGACCTATAAAGAATGAAAAGTAATTGGATAATACAGTTATTCCATAAATTGAGACACATGTCTCAGCTGGACAAATATTGCTGACTCAGCCTTCCTTCCTGCCATTTAATCCTTTTTACTTGAAATAAAAAAAGTCCCGATTTTCATACCTCAAATAGACTTCTTGAAACAGATTTGAAAAGAAGAGCCTATTGCCAGCGGGAGCAGGACTCCCCAGTTGCGTCTCCGTCATCTCAGCTCACCTGGAATGCTGGTCGGGTGGTGACAGTGACTGACAGGGCCAGGCTCACCTTGGTGTGAGGGCTGAGGGCTCCAGGCTGATGAAACATATCTGGAAATGTGCCCAGTGGAAACACAGAGCGGCGTGGGTACACTTTCATGCCAAAGATATTCGGGAATGGGTCCAAAAACATCTTCTGTAACAGGAAATGAAAGAGGAAATAACTTGTTATTCCAAAGGGGTGAGAGGGTTGGGGTGAGAGTTGAAAGAAGGGCTGAAAAGAGAGAAAAAGAACTGAGCTATGAAGGTGAGGTGATGTTGAAGAGGGGATGTGAGTAGTTGGAGCTGGAAATGTTAATGAGCTCACAAAGATAAGGAGGAAGTAGGGACTGTCTGGAAGCTAAACACACCATCATGGAAAGGACAGCTTTGCCAAGAATAACAACATCAAGATAATTAAAGGAAAAGGCTAACGTAAATATGAGGAAAAGGAGAAAACGCTGACGGGTCTTAAATACCAGAACATTCCAGCTCAGCATTTCGTAATTGACAACATAAACAGGAAAAGGAAGGGAAGGCCTTCTGCAGCCACACAGACATTCCATCCTATGATATTTGTGTTATCATTCAGTTTTCTGTTGACTCAGGATGCATTGGGTGGGATGAGAATTATAACTTTTATTGTTTTATCTCTCTGCGTCCGGTATGTTCTGTACATTTGTCAGAAGGCCATGATACTAGGATACTTAATTAATTTCCTGAATCGTGTTATTCAGTAGTGTAATTTTGTAGTGTAAGCTGTAGAACCAAATCATGTATCTCTATTATATATAAAATTTTCTTGAGCTCTTTTCATGCTAACTAATGGAGTGCCTGCAAAACAATTTTAAAAGTTGATAAAACTAAGTAAGTAGTATACTGACCACACACAACCTCACACTGCATGACACCCCACCTATTCTGTTCTGTAAGCAGTTCACATCAAGCTCCAATTTGTGTTCTCTTTCTGTTCCTGAGCATTCCACAATCTTCTTTCCAGAATAAAATTGTTTGGAAGACTGAAATCTTTTCCAGGGAGAAGGGAATTATAAAGTCCACAAGCAAATAAAAATAACATGTCCTTTTTAGTATGGAGATCCAAATTAGACTTCTAATTTGGTAAAAAAAAAAAAAAAAAAAAAAAGCAATGGTGGGATCTCTTCCCTAAATTATTACCCAAAAGAATGTTTATATATAACTTCATTTATTGTAAAACAGTATGAAAAAGACCAGTAAATATATTTCCTTGTGTGATGAAATTCACCAGTCTAATTCTTCTTTAATGCTTCTCTTTAACAAAATTCTCCTGAGGGTAGTTTTGTGTGTATCTAAATTTATAATACTAGGTATATACCACTCCAAAAATGTGTATCAATACATAAAACCCTAGGAACAGTATGTGACTAACCAAACTCACTATTGCTTTATTTCCTCTCTCTGGTTAACTTTATGATAAGTTTAATCTCGTTCTACCCTTTAAAAATATTTTCATAAGTTGTTTCTTTACTGGTACATAGCATTACTTACATAACAGTTCATAAAATCATAAAAGCTTGACATATTTTTCCTCTGTTGCCAGGAGCAGTTGGTGACAAATAATATAAAATAAAAACTTTAACCTTGGCTTTTTCACCACCATAGGAGCCTGAGGATTTATCAGTTTTCTCTATGTGTTCTCAAAATGTAAAGAACCAAGAAAGACTACATTTGAGTAGACAACCTATTTTAAAGGCAGGAGATCTATTTGGCTATCAGACAGGCATGGAGCCTTGGAGACACAGTCTAGACCTGGCTTTGTCACAAACTGCCTATGTAGCACAAGCAACAAGTCAAGTAAGAACGGGGTGAAAGAGGTGCTGCCTTCTAATGAGGCTGGGGAGAGGAGCAAAGGAGGTGGGGAAAGAAAGAGAGCAAGGCCTGAGAGAAGACTTGGAGTTGAGGAACAGGTTATTCAGACTCATCAGAAGGAAAGAATACTGAAAAAACCTGGAATCCAGTTTAAGGCAAACAGAAGAAAAGATAGTGCATTTCTATGTCAAGGTGTCCCAAGAGGGTAGTCTAGTTGAAACTTTTTAAAGACCTAATGGGATTGTGGTTGGATTTTGAAATTGAGGATGTGGTTTTCAACCACCGGACAAGACTGATAAACTACAAAAAATGCACTCACCTGGCTATTGGTACCCACTGGAAAGGGATGTATTCTCTGTAATTTCTCTGTATGTTTTTTTAAAGCAGAATATTGGTTGGGATTATTCTTATTGCATTTGAGGAAAATATATATGTATTTGATTTCTATTTCTTGTTATATATAACTTTTGAACCATGATCTCAAAAATTTAAAACATCTTTTCAACACATCTCAAAAATATAGCATAGCCCTCAATTATTTTTGATACTAAAACAGAGTGAGTCTGGAACAATTAAAATATGGGAATACCTAGAACTTGAATCTAGAAAGAACCTGAAAAAGTGAATCTCTTACATCATAACTTTTAGTAGAAGAAGGAGAAATAACGACTAAAGATGGGTAAAACAACAAATGTACAAAACAGCCTCATAATGCATCCATGAAAAATTGAAGTTTGCACCGAACATTCTGGACTACATACTTCTTCCTATGTTTTAGAAAAGATTGCTTTTAAGCTCACTCAAGGCAGGTGCTATGACACATTCATCATAGAGCTTCAGCCCCAAAGTTCACCATCTAGCTTACATTTTTTTGCACACAGTAGAGGCTCAATATTGTCGTATCAAATTGAAAATAGGATTCAGATGTTTCTTAGAGTTAAGTCTCCTTTTCATTGTTAATTTTCAATTATAGAGAAATACATAATTAGTGTATAAAAGGAATTTCCACTAAAAGTCTCTGGGATGCTGAAGTGATGATACATCAAATCCAAGTTGTATCTTTCTTCCAGGTGGAATCAGGGACAGACAGACATAGGTATTTATCTGGGTACATGAACCATGCTTTATGGCAACTCAGAAAGTGCCATTTACTTACTGCCCAAGAAGAAGATGTATTGTAAAAGACAGAAATCACCAGTATTTTGTGTTCTGGCCCTGTCTTCAAGGCATCCAGAGAGACTCCTGGAAGAAGGACATTTTTTCTGCAGTTGCCTTAGGACCACATGAAAAAATTTAAATTATTATTTTTTTTCTTTCCAGGAACAGACTTTTTTTTGGGGTAGTATCATCTCTTAGTGTACACCAAATCATAAGAAAAAAATTCATAAAACAATTTCTTCCTTTTGCTTTAGAGTTTAATCAGCTGCAGGATGCATGAGGGGAAGTTTGTGGGCAGGGCAATTCTCTAATAACAGCACTTTAAATACATCCTTATTTTATGGGTTGTGTTTAGAACCCACTTCCTTACACTGTAGGTTTTATTAGTACTTAAAACTAAGCTTGAATTTTCCTGCTTCTTGGACAAATAAAAAGTGAAGTCATAACTTAGTCTGATTACCTTTTCATCCCATGTAAAATGTGAAATGATTATTTTAATTTCTTTTGATTAAAAAACCCCATAAACCCATTCTTCCTTGCAGATGTGACTCTCCTCTTTGGCTCTCATTTAGAGAAGGATGGACAACCCTCCATCTCAGAATTAGAGATGCCCTGGGTTGGGGGTAAACCACTGGCAAATCCTCTCAGCAGACCCTTTTCTGTGGTTCAGAAATAAAAGAGGAGCAGTAGCTGGATTTCTGCCTCTTCCCCTCCCAGGTAGAGGGCATGATAACTTACCTTCCTGGTACCAGAACGAAGAAAAACAATTGTATTAGTTTCCTGTTGCCACTGTCACAAATTAACACAAATTTGGTGACTAGCAACAACACAGACATATTCTTTTACAGTTCTGGAGGTCAGGAGTCCGAATCAGTTTCACTGGGCTAAAGCTAAGGTGTTAGCAGAGCCATGCTTCCCGGGAATGCTCTAGGGGGAAACCCGTTTTCATTTCCTCGGCTTTTTCAGCGTCTGGAGATGCATTTTTTGTATTCTTTGGCTCATGGCCCCATTGCGTGCCCTCAAAGCCAGCCGCATAATATCTTCTTTCTTGACTGTGCTGCCCTCTGCTTCTGTCTGCTTCTGTGACATGGTCCTCTTCTCTTCTGTGGTCAAGTCTCCCTCTTCCTTCCCTTCTTAGACAGATACTTGTGGTTACATTTTGTGCTCATTGGGATGATCCAGAATCATCTCCCCATCTCAAGATCCTTAACTTAATGATATCTGCCAAGTCCCTTTTTGCCGTATAAGGTAACATTCAAAGATTCCAAAGATTAGTACATGGATATCTTTGGGACCCCTATTCAGCATAACAACCTTGCAGCCTTTTTTCAGAAAGATAGGGTGTGAGTCATATTGTTTCTAGAAGAGGCTCCTCACTACTTTTTGCTTTTTTGAAAATTTACAATATAAAAACAACTGTTTCAGCTCGATTAGCTTATTTCTCAGGAGAGATCTGACTATTGATATAAAGGAATATATATGTGTGTGTGTGTGTGTGTGTGTGTGTGTATATACATACACATTCTCTCTAGCAAAATAAACATATCTGTGGAATATCTTTGGGGAAATAGCTTTTCTTAAAATATATATGTGCTATCAAATGTTTTTGGTCTATTTAATTATAATATTTAATTACACATAAAACAAAAATTATAAAATTACATTTTATTCTTATGCAAATAATATTACAATCTCTGTCAGGTGCCTGTCTTTTAAAAATAGTTTACATCAGATATTTTGTCCTCTATTTTAGCCCAATCTACTCGTGTGTTCATGAAAGTCTGATCCTAAGTTACAGGATAAATATGTGTTAGAACTTAATAATTATTTCAGCTAATCTCATGTATTTCTTCTTGCAATTTGAATAATAATTATTTCAGCTTATGGGAAACATTGACAATTCACAAGTATTTTCCCTGTTGAGAGTAAGATCTTATTTTTAGTTTTTTCATAAAGTTTATTAGGACACTTTAGATTTGAAAATACAATAAATGGGAGGCCGAGGCAGGCGGATCATGAGGTCAGGAGTTCGAGACCAGCCTGGCCAACACAGTGAAACCCCATCTGTACTAAAAATACAAAAATTAGCTGGTTGTGGTGGCACACGCCTGTAGTCCCAGCTACTGAGGCGGCTGAGGCAGGAGAATTGCTTGAACTCGGGAGGCGGAGGTTGCAGTGAGCCGAGACCATGCCATTGCATTCCAGCTTGGGTGACAGAGTGAGACTCTGTCTCAAAAAAAAAAAAAAAAAAAAATACAATAAGTTCAGGGTCTGAAGAAGTTCTATTACCTTGATAAGGCCAATCATAAGATCCAGAACTCAGAGAAGACTTTCCCTAGAAGAGAGTTGAATAAAATTTTCAGGAAGTAGGTTTTGTATTATTATTATTTTAATAAGATTTCAACGGATAACTTTTCTACCAAGTCAATGGAATTAGATTTGCTTTTAGTCTTTGAAAAAATACTTCTCAATGAAAAATAAATATTTTGTTCTATTCTTAAAGAAAACCCAAGTTGTTTCAATAGAAGAAACGGAATTTTTGAATCACAAAACAGTTGTTCCTCCTGCAGGGGTTTAGGAAATAAAGGTGTTTCATAATTGTAACTGAATTGCTTTAAAAATGGAATCCAGCTTCAAAGCATGAAAGAGCCTCTGTTCTACAGATGAGGAAACTGAGGCACCATGGGATTACATGATTTGCCCATAATCACACCAGTAGTAAGTGATGAAACTTGGGTTCAAATTCAGAGTCTGTGTTTTACCTACCATACTAGAAGGAAGAGTGGAGGGTGAGGCTCAATTCTAAGGTGATATATGATGCTAAGAAGAGATAAGCTTAGACAGATGTAGGAAATAGTGTTGGCTTGAAAAGTCAGGGTCATAACCTCACAGTTAGAAGGTGGCAAAAGTTTCTAGATTTCCTGGGGTAGTACTTTTCAACCTGGTGTGTTCAACATTTTAGATTTTCATCTAGGTTAGTTTTTGTTATTATTGTTATGAGTGAAAGTCAGCCCAAAGAAAAATTTTGGAACACAAGGCTGGTGCCTGCTAAAGGATAAAGATGGATGTCAAGTGAGAGCCCCCAACCATCCATTCTTACCCGCTCCAGATCTTTTTATATCAGCTAGTTTCTTCTTGCATCATCAATCGCTCACTCTGCCCTGGTTCCTCGTGCTCAGCCTACAAACTTCTTTAAATCTTCTCTATCCTTAATATCATATTCCTTGGACACAACCTCCTCATCATGCTATCACTCAATTCCCCTTCTTCTCACATCTAATTTGTCATTAAGTTCTGTCTTTAGCATCCACATGACCGCCTCTTTAACCTAGGCCCTTATTCTTGCCTTGATTTTAATAGTTTTCTAATCTATTTTTCTGTCCCCAGTCCTCTTCAATGTCCATGCTGTAAGTGATCTGTAATCGATCACTGTCAGGAATGCCTCTTGCCCTTCACGAAGTCCTTCCAAGTCTTCCAGATGCAGCAGGAATGTTGTCCCCTTCCCTGGGGAGGAGGAATTGGCTGCCCCTCATCATACCTCTGCTGCACTCAGTTCCTATTTCTGGTCTGACTCCCCACTCCACCCCCTGCCCTGCTGCCCAAGAGATTGAAACTCTTCAAGGGCAAGGGCTTTGTCTTGGTATCCTCAGAGCTTGGTACAAGGGCCTGGGTCCCAGGAAGTGATCACGAATGTTTGTTGGGTGAATCAAGGGAGTCCTCATGAGAAGACCGATGGATGAATCAATGAAGTTACAGCAAGATGGTTTTCAAAATGAATGAAAGGCAGTTTTCTATGTTATATTTTCTTTCCTTTCATTTCAGGTTGGATTTTAGGGCTCACTGACCTAGACTATTCCTTTCTTACATTACAGGAAGAAACTTTTTTTTTTTTTTTCTGAGACGGAGTCTCGCTGTGTCCCCCAGGCTGGAGTGCAGTGGCTCAACCTCAGCTCACTGCAAGCTCCGCCTCCCAGGTTCACGCCATTCTCCTGCCTCAGCCTCCGGAGTAGCTGGGACTATAGGCGTCCGCCACCACGCCCGGCTAATTTTTTGTATTTTTAGTAGAGACGGGCTTTCACTGTGTTAGCCAGGATAGTCTCTATCTCCTCTCCTCGTGATCCGCCCGCCTCTGCCTCCCAAAGTGCTGGGATTACAGGCGTGAGCCACCGTGCCCAGCCTATAGGGAGAAACTTTTTGAGAATAATGTAAGATAACTAAATTAAGAGTCTCCAGTGAGCACTTTTCTTTCCTAGCATGGGATTAATTTTCTACCCATTAGTCTCCAAACAAAAATTTCAGGAAGCCTCATGTATACTTTGTTAATTGGGAAAAATATTTTTACTTGGCCTCCCAGTAATTCACAGGTGATTTGAGCTGTGTTTCTATCTTTTATAAGATAGGCATTTATAGACAGGGAATTTCCAAAGCAATTTTGAATACTGACTAAGGTCCTCTATTGCAAATTTCACAGAAGGAGGAAACTGTTAAGAAGAAAGGAAGCTAGCATTTACTGAACCTTAAATACTTGCCAAGCCCTCTCCTAAATGCCTTCACAAACATCTCACATCTCAAAACAACTTTGCCTGGAAGGCAAGACAAGACTGAGATGTGTACTCAGGGCCTCTACCTTCAAGTCCATATCTCCAAATATCTAGTTACATTTATACAAAGAATAGGCTGGGCGCTGCCTGTGGGAAGAGCTGAGAAGGAAGATGTTGCACAGGCTTAGCCATCCGTTTATTGTTTTTGCAATTCAGCCCTGGCTGAAAAGAGCAAAGCAAAATCTTGTATTACCTAGACCTTCCCTATTTAGAAGATAGTTTATGCCCAGTTACTATAACTTAAAGATACCTCTTACAATCTCACTCCACTTCTGTACCCCAAAAATAACTGTGTTAGAACATAGGTGAAGGTAGTGCCACAGAGATCCCAATAGCAAGATGGAAGTGTATTTTTCACAGTCCAGTTCGTAAGCATTCCAGGACTGGTATGGTGTCTCTATGGTATTAGGGATTCAGACGGCTGTAGCTTGTTGCTATACCATTCCTAATGTCGGGTTTTCCCTCATGGTCCACAATGGCTTCCTACCATGGCCACATTCCATCGAGTGGGAAGGAGAAAAGGGAAAGCGGGAAGGAGATGCCACTCCCCTTCTTTTTTTTTTTTTTTTTGAGACGGAGTCTTGCTCTGTGGCCCAGGCGGGAGTGCAGTGGCGCAATCTCGGCTCACTGCAAGCTCCGCCTCCCGGGTTCACGCCATTCTCCTGCCTCAGCCTCCCGAGTAGCTGGGACTACAGGCGCCCGCCATCACGCCCGGCTAATTTTTTTGTATTTTTTTAGTAGAGACGGGGTTTCACCGTGTTAGCCAGGATGGTCTCCATCTCCTGACCTCGTGATCCACCCGCCTCGGCCTCCCAAAGTGCTGGGATTACAAGCGTGAGCCACCGCGCCCGGCCCACTCCCCTTCTTTTTATGGGCATGATTTGGAAGCTGCAGGTGTCACGTCCGCTCACATCCCATTGGCTAAAACCTAGTCAGATGACTACATTGAGAAAGTGTAGCCTTCCCAGCCTGGTCACATGGAAGGAAGGAGAATGGATGTCAGATATCAATTATTCTCTGCCGTAGGTTTATCAAATGTATTTCAACTAAATGTGACACTGTTTATGAAAGGAGTTATGTGTCTATGTTTCTCCTCCCATTTTATTTTCAGAGATTGGCAAATATCGGGGAGATTTTGTGTCCCTTTTAGATTGGAATCTTTGGCCACTGCCCAGAGAGCTCGTCTCTTTAGCAGAGTTAGCTATCGGTGCTATATTCCCTTCTCACAGATGAGATCAGAGAGCATCAACAAGATGGGGGTGCCTTGTGTTTCTCTGGGTTTTCCCTGGTTCTCCCTTCAAAATTTAGCGAAATAGAGGATTTTAGCCATTTAAGAGGAGGTCTTAGACTCTGAGCCTTAATAGCTCTTATGGTCACATACTAATATAGCCTTTATATCCCCTGATTAGTTCCTGGATTGTTCTTATTAGTGAACTTTCTGGCAGCTAATAAAAATTAGGATATTCTTTCTGATGCTATGATTAATTTTAAAATTATTTTTTTTTTGTAAGCACTCAATCTCAGCCAGTTCTCTCTCCTCCGTTTCTCTAGATCAATGTCTACAGATTCATCTGGGTTTCTCAAAGAGCTGTGAGTGAAGCAATTGCAGAAACACTGTAACTGAAGCAGTTGTCAAGTACTGGGAACCCAGTTGTTCTAACTGGCAGATCTCATTCAGGGTGACAGGCTCGGACTCTGCAGAAGCCAGTTATGTCCAAACATTTTCAAGGTTTAGGGCGTCAGTGTTTGCTCAGTGTTTCCCCTCTTTGTCCCAATTCTGTTCTTTCTAATCTCTCTTCGTCTTGTCCTAGAGGATATTCTCCAGCTTCAATTTTCTAAACCATTGGAAACACCGTTTTAACATGCCGGCACTAAGAGCTTTACCTTTCTTAACCATTTTCCTCACCTATAAGATAAGAACTGTGAAGACTTCTATGTTACAGGATAGGATATTGAAATATGGAGAGGCTAAGAAACTTGTCCAAGATTATGTAACAGGTAAAGCCAGGATTCAAAACTGCCATTATCTCCATTCTGTAACTTTGGAAAGCTATAGCTACTTGAATGTAAGTAACCTGCCTTAGGCTGCACCGGTAGTAGGTAGCAGAACTGGGGTTCAAGTTCAAGTCGCTAATTCCAGACCTCCTGCTCTTTTTGTCCACCATGCTTAATGTGCAATATGGCCACCTTACAGGGATGTGGGCTCCTTGTGTATTACCTGTGATTCTCCTGGAAGCCTCCCCGTGCCCCACCCCCAGGTAGGAAAAACTGATTGAATCTCAGCAGAGCAGAAAGGCAGCTGTTGCACATATGCTGCACCATAAGGTGCTATGGAAGTATTACCTATATTTCATATCCTTGTTCAAATCTCCACTCTCCCATTCACCTGCCAGCATAAGGACTGTGGTTTTCTTTTGCAGGAGGATAACCTGAAATGCTGCTTTTAGATCAGAAAGCTAAGAGGTTCATACATCCTGCCTGGATGAGAATGTTTTTCAGCCTCAGAGCCTATAAAAATATTGTGGCATGAATGGTACAGCTGAAACAACAGAATGCTGGGAAAATGAGTCTGCAAAATGTACTTGAAATATTAGTCATCAACACGGTATAAAACACCCTTTTTACCATAAAGGGAAGACTGTGCCTGAGAGCTAAGTACACTTTCGCCTGCAGGAGCAGGTGGGGAGCGTAGGTTTATGTTCTACAAACTCTTAACTACCCAAACCCATCTACTAATATGAAGATTAAAGGGTGGGAATATATCTCATTCCTCTGGACTTTCCTAACTTTTCTTCAGAGGTGATAGAAAACATATGTGTCTTCATATTATAAAGACATTGGAATACATATATATATTCCTATATATATAGTTTTATATATATATACACACAATTTAAACAACTAATATAAATATATTTTATATAAACCTATACTGCATATTTTATATTTGTAACCCTGTTGTTCAAAAGTTTGTTTGTGAATTAACCTGGAAACAAAAGGTTTTCTGACTACTCTTTGTTTCAATAAAAACATTGAAACTAAAAGTGTAAATGAAAGGAGAAATACGAAATGATATTAAAATGTGCTAAGGGCATTACTTTGGCTGTCTTCTGGAGAGGTGAATGTGAGGGGCGGGGGATGTGGCTTTCATTAAAAATGATTAAAAATCTTTAAAAAAATCCCCTTCAGAGTTTCTGCAGAATTTTAGCCCAAATTGCCAAAGATTTTTGTTATTAAGGTGACTTTTCATCCTAATCTGTTCAGGTGATGGCTTTAAAATCTCCATCTGCATTTTTGTCAGGAGAGTTCATTTTTTATAAATGCATTCTGATACTTGGCGAACTGTTCCCCTCTTGGGTTTCAGGGTGGGCGGTGTCACCGCCTCAGTGCCAGGGCGGATGAGCTGTGGGGCCACGAGAACCTTTCTGGCCAATGCCTCAGCAAATGCCTGTCCCCTGTGCAGCTCCCAGCAGGGGTGCAGGGGGCCTAGTCAGCTGATGTCTACAGCAGCCTTGAACCCTTTTTACAATAATGGATTCAGAGAGCTTGAGTGAGCCGACAGCGCTGGATTTCCAAACGCATTCTAAACACAGGGGATTGATCCTCTGCTTTAATTAGCAGCCTCATCGATCCTCGCACTTCCCTACGTGTCTCTGCCGTGGTGGGTGCATGCCTCATCTAAATAAATGGCTCCTTTGCAAGTCACTTGTCAGCACAGGGCATTTCCCGGATGCTGGCAGTTTGGCCATTCGTCAAGGCGCCAGCATTTGGTGACTGCTGGTAATGGATTTTCAGGTTTGTTTTACGAAGAGTTTCATGCAAATACTTTGAAGAACTTTGGCAGCACTTGAGTGAACACAACTCAGCGTGGGACATGAACCTCGGAGCAGCGGACGGTGCGCCGTGCCAGCAGCCTGTTCACGCGCTCCTGGGGTTGGTGGTTCCTGAAATTCCAAGAGAGCTGGTCGGCCTGAAGGAGCAAGAAGTCGGCTGTTGTCACCAGGGCAGGGCTGGCTCCCACAGGTATTCTGGCCATGCGGGCTTGGCACTAATTCAGGAGTCTGTGGCTGAGTCCTGTTGGAGTTGCAGAGTGAAGGATACTTGCACAGAACTCTTAGAGGTTCTGGGGCCAAAAGATTTCCATCTCTGAGAAGTTTTTCAGGATTTTGACCTAAGACTTATGTGCTAAAAGTCAGCGCCGGGGCATTGTCTCTGGTGCATCTTGATGCAAGCCTGGTTGAGTGGAGTGAGCACCGGACTAGGAGTCCTCAGGAGAAAGGAGTCTGGTGCTCGCTCTGCTTCTACCTGACCGCGTGACCTTGGCCACGTCCCTCTCTTGGTAGCTACAATGTGCAGCAGGTGGACGGAAACTTCTTGGAGTAGCCAGTTTGGGGAACTGGAAGTGGAGTTGAGGGGTGAGGCAGATTTGTCCACAGGCAGCAGCACACCGTCCGAAGCACCATTAGCCACGGTCTCCCCGCACTGCAGCCATCACAGGGAGGGACCTGCAGCAGCATGGCAGGCAGGAGACAGACACCTTATGGAGTGTGACAAATGAAAAATTTTAAAACGACATTTACTTTTACAAGTCAGACATTTAAGTGGATCCTTTTTATGGAACATTTTCAATTTTTATGTCACCTAAGAGACTTCAGCATTTCTCTCAATTCTTCTTCACATTAAAAATGAATTATAGTCTCATCCATTTTCAAAAAGAATTTGGGGGAATTTGTAAAACAGACAAAGACCACATGGGCCCTGAGACAGTCCAGTAGCTGGAGCTAGTTTCTCCCTTTAATTGATACACTGGTACTGGTGACTGAGGAAAAGAAATAAAATGTCAACCTTTTAGTGTGAACCTAGTGCTTGGGACCATTAGTAAATATTTTTACTGTCCCTCCCACCATTTAGTGTGCTTCTCAATGTTTGTTTGGGGAAAGTCACGTGGACAGGAATGAGGAAACAGTGGCTTCCTCGGGGCCAACACCCTGAGTCTAGAGTGCCCAGGCAGCTGCCTGATGCATCCCAGGACTCACAGCCACCATTTCATGAGGGCTTTGTGCCAGGCACGGTGTCTGTTCTCATTCATTTAACTCTCACACAGCCTTATGAGAAAAGCCATCCCATTATTGGGTATATGCCCAAAGGATTATAAATCATGCTGCTATAAAGACACATCATACACACGTATGTTTATTGCAGCACTATTCACAATAGCAGAGACTTGGAACCAACCCAAATGTCCATCAGTGATAGACTGGATTAAGAAAATGTGGCACATATACACCATGGAATACTATGCAGCCATAAAAAAGGATGAGTTCATGTCCTTTGTAGGGACATGCATGAAGCTGGAAACCATCATTCTCAGCAAACTATAGAAAGGACAGAAAACCAAACACTGCATGTTCTCACTCTAGGTGGGAACTGAACAATGAGAACACTTGGACACAGGGTGGGGAACATCACACACAAGGGCCTGCTGTGGGGTCAGGAGAAGGGGGAGGGATAGCATTAGGAGATATACCTAATGTAAAAGATGAGTTAATGGGTGCAGCACACCAACATGGCACATGTATACATATGTAACAAACCTGCACGTTGTGCACATGTACCTTAGAACTTAAAGTATAATAAACAAACAAACAAACAAACAAACACACGAAAAAGAAAAGCATTGTTTTGTCATCTGGATTTTTCACATGAGGTATCAGGCTCTAACACGTTAAACAACTCGCCCTGCACACAGCTCAAAACCCAGGGTTCTGGTCCAGAGTCCTTGCTAGAGACTGGTCTTCTATCCTGTTTCCTCATGGCACTGGGCTGGCCCCTGACCTTTCTGTCTGGTTTTTATTATGTAGGTTCATGACTAACATCTCAGCAGACTCTGTAAACTATGCTACTACATGTAAGTTTCTTGACAACAGAATCCAGGCTCAGTTTCGTATTTAAGAGTTATTAATGTTATATTATATCAGTGTTATATTAATGTTATATTTGCTGGGTGACTGAATTGAATCGAATGATTAGGCCTCTGTGCATTCTGCACTTCAGAGAAGAATGAAAAAATGCCAGCTTTCTTTCATGGTCTGCAGCACCGGTCGGGCAATGCCATTCTCCCTTGCCCAGTCAGAGAACATCAGATTCCAGAATTTTGCCATCATGTGATTCATCCAGCCAATAGCAATGGACAGAATAAGGAAAAAAGCCATTGTTCTAGATTTATCTGGATTGAGATATAGTTACTTGTGGCTCCTGCAATAAATGCTTAAACTAGTTCTGGAGTTTTTCCCCTAGTACTGTCAGCCATCTTACACATGGCCATAAACAAACCAGAAAGTGGCCGGGCACAGTGGCTCATGCCTGTAATCCCAGCACTTTGGGAGACCGAGGGGGGTGGATCATGAGGTCAGGAGATCGAGACCATCCTGGCTAACATGGTGAAACCCTGTCTCTACTAAAAATACAAAAAATTAGCCGGGAGTGGTGGCGGGCACCTGTAGTCCCAGCTACTCGGGAGGCTGAGGCAGGAGAATGGCACAAACCCAGGAGGCGGAGGTTGCAGTGAGCCGAGATAGCGCCACTGCACTCCAGCCTGGGTGACAGAGCAAGACTTCGTCTCAAAAAAAAACAAAACAAAACAAAACCAGAAAGCACCAGGAAGACGGAAACAGGCTTGTGAGGGGCCTGGAAACTAGATTTTGTGAAGAATGGGGGAAGGGACTGGGAACATTTACCTTAGCAAGAGAAGCTTTCATCTGCATGAGTCATATTATAATTCATGTGGTCTTTTATGAATGAGTAAATTAATTTGTGTAATATTTCAGCTCACAAAGTTCATTTTCTCAGTATTCCCTGGCACGCTGAAATATAGGACAAAACATCCTCACCACAGTTATTTTAAGAAGTTATAAAGCAAGGCTGGGTGCGGTGGCTCACGCCTGTAATCCCAGCACTTTGGGAGGCTAAGGTGGGCGGATCACAAGGTCAGGAGATCGAAACCATCCTGGCTAACACGGTGAAACACCGTCTGTACTAAAAATACAAAAAATTAGCTGGGCGTGGTGGTGGGCGCCTGTAGTCCCAGGTACTCGGGAGGCTGAGGCAGGAGAATGGTGTGAACCCAGGAGGTGGAGCTTGCACTGAGCCGAGATCACGCCACTGCACTCCTGCCTGGGCGACAGAGTGAGACTCCATCTCAAAAAAAAAAAAAAAAAAAAAAGAAGTTAGAAAGCAAATACTGTATAACCTGTATCAGTTCTCTAGAACACAGTCAGGAATTTGATTCTCGTATTCACAGTTATTTTCCCAGCATTTAGAGCTGCATCAGGCATTGTTTAGGTGCTGGAAAATATTTGTTGAATGACTATAAATAAATGAAATGTGTGGATTGCTTAAAAACACTGTGAGTTCCTGAGAGAGATCTCGTTGCCTTCACTATTGATGGTTTATTCTAGCAGTTTAATTTTTTTTTAAAAAAGTGATGTTAAAAAAATAAAATCTTCGACAAAACTTGAATATACAGCTAAAAATATTTAAATTAATGTTTTCCTTATTTTACAGCTAGTCAATGATAACAATAAAGCTGTTATGTGACAAATCAAAAATCTGAAAGCCAGGACTCTGAGTGACAGTGGCAGCCGTATAGCAAAATCCAATTTATTTCTGCCTTTTTATTTTGCTTGCTCCATACTGTATCAAGAAAATATTGGTTTACACAGAAGTGGTTTGTTTTGCAATCTCAGAATACTCTTCAATGAAACTGACTGGGGAGCTTAAGAGAACTAATAGAAAATATTTGTTTCCAAGTTATATCATTAATAGTACAATATCTATTTGCTCACAAACATCATCATCCATTTGTCAGTTCCGAAGTGCTGCAAGCTTTACACAGTGGTAACAGTATTTACAAAAGGGATCCAAGCTAGGCATTCATTTGTTACTGACCACTAATTAGTCAACACATGCCAAGAAGAAGGGTGAAGGAGGGTGCCCTTCAGGTTTACCTGATCCTTGCCTAGATCCCTGCTATGGAGTGAACTTGGATGTCTGCACAAACACATTCTCCCAGGCTTGCAGAACCTTGGAATTCCAAAGAACATTGTTGGTAGGAGGGAAGGAGGTAGGTAGGAGAAAGAAAGCTTCATTAGTCCTTATAAATGGGACTTTGTCTGAATTAGGCATTTGTTCACTTGTATATTCCCAAGTGTCTGTTGAGTGTCTACCGTAAAGAAAGGGCTCCTCTTTAAGGGGCTTAAAATCCAGCTGTATATATAAAACTTATGTTAGGGAAAATGGAGCAGCCAATACAAATAGGATAATGTAGTTCAAATGACTTTGAAGGAATACAAAGAGAGTAATTGGTGTGGGGTGGAGATGGTTAGTGAAGGTTTCTCTACTTGCCAGTTCTTAGAATTGTTTTAAAATAGGAATATTCTTGGCACTCTTCACGTGGCTGTACATACATACACATCATGCAGAGTCACTGTTTTTCATGAAGGATTTAGTTATACAAACTCTGAGAAGTCAAGAGCAACGTCAAAGAAGAACATTCTTTGACTCAGATCTTTTGGGTTGGCTTTAACCGCATGTCATCCATTAATGACTGGCTCAACTTACTCTGGGTCAAAGTGAAAACATATATTAGCTCAATTGGTCTTTAAAATGTTTCACACATCATGAGTACTTTGAGTGATGGGGCACACTTTCTTCTACCCAGTAACTATAGGCTTATTTGAATTTGAATTTACTGACAAGTAAATATGTAAGTTGAATAGCTGGAGTTAAGGAAGCTCACAACCCCTCAATGGCAATGTTGATTTTTTTCTCCTCCCAGTGGTTTGAGAATATGGAGGGAACCTGAGAAATAAGGAAGAAAAAGCAATTTGAAATAAAATAAAATGTTTATAGACTTAAGACCATGAATAAACACCCATTTCATTTGCAGATACTATCACTTTTACACAGGAAAGAAAACTCTGTGATATTCTTCCCTCCTTCTCTTTCAGGCTATGACTGTATCATCATTGTTCAAATTATCATGACTTCCAGAAGGTAGAAAAGAATTAACAATCACTTAATTATTAATCACCTGTAATTGGAACTGAAGACTATAAAATGTAAAGGATGAGAAGCGAGCAGATTAGTGGAATGGGAAAGGAAGTAGGGCTGGGATAACTGCTTTGGGGTTAACTCTTTGGTAAAGCAACTCCTCTCACCTGACTTCCTGGCTGTCTCTCTGCCATGTGGCTTCCCGGGTGTACTCCTGCGGAAAGGAGGAGAGATGTGTAAGGCAAACTTGGTCATGGGGGTGCCAGGAACGGGGAGCTGTACTTTCCTGGTCTAGCTGGAGGCCCAAATCAAACAGCAGGTAAAAGGTCAAGTAAGGTCAATACCAACCAGCCCAGAGAGGCAGCAGCTGCTCTTTTGCCTCGAGTGCTTTTCAATTTGGAAGAACCGAGAAGAGCAGTTTCTCTCTGAATCACTGCTTTCCCAGGCTTATGAATTTCAGAACCTCTTGTACTTTCTGTTGCTTTCCCAACACGGACTTGTTTCAGGCTTCCCTGCACACAGATTGCAGTGATGTGGGCAAACAATTTTGACAAGATATGCAGCTTTGAGAAAACGCACTCTAGGCTTAAAAGGACATGCACTGTTGTTGGCCTCTTTGTAGGGGAGGTGGTGGGAGCTAGGTCTTAAGCACCTGAGAGGGACACCCAGGTCTGGAGTGCCTCCTACGCAGTGGGGCCATGCAGTCAGCATCCTCAGCTGAGCTCAGCTCAGAATTGAAACCAACAGACAGTTATTTTCTGTCTGGACTTTAGAAGAAAGAAAAAAATTGCATATTTCATCCAAGGATTTTTACTCATACTTCTTATATCTGAGTTCGAAAATATTTATTGACTCTATTTTTTATTTTTTAATTTTTATTTTTAGATTCAGGGTCTCAGTCTGCCACCCTAGCTGGAGTGCAGTGGTGTGATCATCGCTCACTGAAGCCTGGAACTCCTGGGCTCAAGTTTCCTCCTGCATCAGCCTAAGTAGCTGGGACTACAGGTGTGCATCACCACCGTGCCTGGCCTGAAAATATTTATTGAAAACCACCTTGTGTACAGAGTGCTGTGGAAGGATGAAGAAGACATTGGAGATCTTCATTCTGTTGTTGAGGAACTACCATCTAAATTGGAGCTGAAAGCCTGTGAAAATTGATGTAAATGCTTATGAAATAGCGGAGAAAGGACAAATGAGCACTTCGACAAAGAAAGGGGAGGGACAGGATATTTTGTGTTTCTTCCCACTCTGACAGTGGCTGCCAGAGGCTGCCTTTCTGCAGCAAACTTCCCATGTTTTCTTTTTATAAGGTTTTTGGCCACCTATTAATTTTCTTCAGCCTTCTCTGGTTGATCTTGTTCTGATTTAGTTTCCTTTTGGGCAAGGATGTGGGTCTAATCATTAACTCAGCCTACAGGCTTGTTGCCTTCAAAGAGTAACTCCTTCAATCCAGGGGGCTGCGGTGGGGAAACAAATATCCAACACTTTTAAAGGAAAGCCAAAAAAAAAAAAAAAAGAATTTAAATTTTGCTCTTTGAAAATAAGAGAAGGGGCCGGGCGCGGTGGCTCACGCCTGTAATCCCAGCACTTTGGGAGGCCGAGGCGGGTGGATCATGAGGTCAGGAGATCGAGACCATCCTGGCTAACAAGGTGAAACCCCGTCTCTACTAAAAATACAAAAAATTAGCCGGGCGCGGTGGCGGGCGCCTGTAGTCCCAGCTACTCGGGAGGCTGAGGCAGGAGAATGGCGTGAACCCGGGAGGCGGAGCTTGCAGTGAGCCGAGATTGCGCCACTGCAGTCCGCAGTCCGGCCTGGGCGACAGAGCGAGACTCCGTCTCAAAAAAAAAAAAAAAAAAAGAAAATAAGAGAAGGATAAAATACTCTATTGTCTGCTTTTAAAATTAAGGGCTCTCCTTTATAACTGGATGCAGCACTTTACTCAATACATATGACTAGCGATAGAATAAATTTCAAGACCATATTTTGGCCAGTGAAAGGAAAGATGCTGTAGAGGAAATGTTTAGATGGGGAAATAAAGAGCTCAGAAAAGAGGCAGATTCAACCTTGATATTTTCCAAATTCCTGAAAAACAAATTCTGCAAGGGTTCGTATGTAGTTCCCGGGCAGCACAGAGTGGTGGAAACACCATGTGCATTGGGGCCAGGGAGGCAGGCATGGAGCCTCGGGGTGTTCTGGGTAATTTTCAGCAGTGGCTTCTGCTTTCAGCCCCGATTGCTTCATGGGGTTATCAACCAGTAATGAGAAAAATGTGCATGAAATATCTGGCACAGGCAGACCTTAAATAAATGTTAAAAACAAAGTCTCGTTTGCTTTATTTTGGTGTCCATAGGCATGCAGAAGGTGAAAATGCAAGCCCTTAGATAGGAGTTTGCTTTCTTGTGGTAACATCTCCATTGAAAATAATCTTGTCGTTTAAACAACCATTGGCACTCATTCTTGAGCCTTGGAATGATGCCAGCCTGGGGAGAGCCTCTCCTGGGCTCCCATAGGCTGTTGTGTGTATTTGTGTGAGGGTGCAAGGAGCTGTGTGGCTTGGGAGCTAGGCTCTCAGGGGCATGTTGTTAAGCTAGATAACTTTCCTTGCTGGGTAAAGCTAGTAACCTTTTTTAGTTTTGATTTTATCTGTAAAATGGAGATAATAGCACTAGCTTTGGAGAGGTAGTGTTGATGTGTATTAAGTGATACACAAGAAGACTGTGCTCAGTAAGTGGTATCCACCACTGTGTTGTCACAGGGAGCCCATTCTTCCACTCAGTGTCCTCCGTGGGCATCTCCAATGATATGGGAGCTGGCTGCCCTACGAGGGAGAAAATTTCATTTTCTGGGTAACTTTTACTGTAGGAAATTTCCTTCTTGTTTTCACATCATGTAATGTGAGCGTGATGGAGAAGGAGAGGAAACTAGGAGAGCTGGGACTCAAATTGGGGAAGAAGTATCTCAGCTCTGGGGCTGGTTCCCAATAAAGGATGAATAGCAGGCAAATGCACATTATTCAGTGGTATGAGGCTGTGCTTGATACCCTAGATGCTCTGATGGTGGGAGGGTGATCTATGGTAGTGAGAAGATTCCAGCCAATGCTGATACTTGCACTCAGGTGGGTCAGCCTCCATGTGGTTTTCTTTAGTTGCATTTAGTCTATTTTAGGATACTAAAGAGCATTGGATTTATTCATCTTGACAATATTCTTAAAACAATGTTCTGTTCTTCAGCTCGTTTTGCTCTTCCTTTTATGTTTTTCGTGCATGATCCCTCTGATATTCAAGGTCACACCAGTTTACTGGGCTGTGGTTGGATTTAGGTATTCCCTTATTTCCCCTCATGCCCTGCCCCTACTTCAACATGTCAGCTATTGTTCTCTTGATCAGCATCTTAACCTTTTTGAGTCTGATTTTTGTCCCTTATCATGAATCATCATACACCAGGGTTCAGACAAACGTCCTACTCGTTTTGGACTGAAGATCTACAGACTCCCAGAGCGCAATGGACTTCAAAGCCTAGGTACATGTTTGGCCTCATTTTGTAGTTAAGAACCTAAGGCCTATGTTGAAGCAGCCTTGCATCCCAGGGATGAAGCCCACTTGATCATGGTGGATAAGCTTTTTGATGTGCTGCTGGATTCAGTTTGTCAGTAGTTTATTGAGGATTTTCGCATCGATGTTCATCAGGGATATTGGTCTAAAATTCTCTTTTTTTGTTGTGTCTCTGCCAGGCTTTGGTATCAGGATGATGCTGGCCTCATAAAATGAGTTAGGGAGGATTCCCTCTTTTTCTATTGATTGGAACACTTTCAGAAGGAATGGTACCAGCTCCTCTTTGTAGCTCTGGTAGAATTCGGCTGTGAATCTGTCTGGTCCAGGACTTTTTTTGGTTGGTAAGCTATTAACTATTGCCTCAATTTCAGAGCCTGTTATTGGTCTATTCAGAGATTCAACTTCTTCCTGGTTTAGTCTTTGGAGGTAAAGAACAGATGCTTCTCAAAAGAAGACGTTTATGAAGCCAACAGACATGTGAAAAAATGCTCATCATCACTCGCCATCAGAGGAATGCAAATCAAAACCACAATGAGACACCATCTCACACCAGTTAGAATGGCGATCATTAAAAAGTCAGGAAACAACAGGTGCTGGAGAGGATGTGGAGAAATAGGAACACTTTTACACTGTTTGTGGGACTGTAAACTAGTTCAGCCATTGTGGAAGACAGTGTGGTGATTCCTCAAGGATCTAGAACTAGAAATACCATTTGACCCAGCCATCCCATTACTGGGGATATACCCAAAGGATTATAAATCATGCTACTATAAAGACACATGCACACGTATGTTTATAGTGGCACTATTCACAATAGCAAAGACTTGGAACTAACCCAAGTATCCATCAATGATGGACGGGATTAAGAAAATGTGGCATATATACACCATGGAATACTATGCAGCCATAAAAAAGGATGAGTTCATGTCCTTTGTAGGGACATGGATGAAGCTGGAAACCATCATTCTCAGCAAACTATCGCAAGGACAAAAAACTAAACACTGCATGTTCTCACTCATAGTTGGGAATTGAAAAATGAGAACACTTGGACACAGGGCGGGGAACATCACACACTGGGGCCTGTTGTGGGGTTGGGGGAGGTGGGGGGATAGCATTAGGAGATATGCTTAATGTAAATGACGAGTTAATGGGTGCAGCACACCAACATGGCACATGTATACATATGTAACAAACCTGCACGTTGTGCACATGTACCCTAGAACTTAAAGTATAAAAAAGAAAAAAAAGAACCTAAGGCCAGTGTGGTTTAGTGAGTTGCTGGAGGCCATTGTTCGCTTCTGCTAGACCCCTTTTCTTCCATAGCATGAGTTCTGACTGGGAAGTTCTGAATGGGAAACTGCCATTTCCTCCTAGTCCCTTCAGGTGTCCACCAAGGATGCTGGCATCATCAGGCATACCTGCATTCTCTGTTTCCTTTGACTGCATTGTCTGCTTCTTAAAGATTTAACACACTTAGATGGGGTCCAGCAGTGCTGGCAGCTTCTCACCTACATGTAGCAAGAGAGTGTCCTGCCGTACATGCTATTTCCTCTTCAGAAGGCCTGGAATCATCATCTAGTGGAAAATATCATACTTGCAGACATTTCTTTCTTTCTTTTTTCGAGACAGAGTCTCGCTCTGTCACCCAGGCTGGAGGGCCGTGGTGTGATCTCGGCTCACTGCAACCTCTGCCTCCCAGATTCAAGTGATTCTCCTGCCTCAGCCTCCTGAGTAGCTGGGATTACAGGCACGTGCCACCAACGCCTGGCTAATTTTTGTATTTTTAGTAGAGATGGGGTCTCACCATGTTGGCCAGGCTGGTCTCAACTCCTGACCTCAAGTGATCCACCTGCCTTGGCCTTCTAAAGTGCTGGGATTACAGGCATGGGCCACAACGCCCGGCTGCAGACATTCTTTCATCTCTCTCTCTTTTTTTTTTTTCCCTATTTGCCAGTCACTTGGTATCAATTTGTTCTTCCTCAGAATCTTTTTCCTTTTGGCCTGTTTTCTGAGGTATATTTTTCTCCAGAGTACCTTCATCATCTCTAGTAAACTAAAGGTAGAGAGACATGTTTTAAACTCCATCATTTTATTTTATAGATATTTAGGACCTACGTGTCCTTGGTAGTCAACTTCATCTGTGAGCCTCAGTGGACCCAACTGGAAAATGAGAATATTACTTATCTCTTAGGATGTTGTGAAGATTAAAGGCACTCACTTGGTCTCTTTAGGTATAAAAATAACCTCACCCTCAAGTAGGTGATAAAAGAATCAATGAGAATGGATGAGATCTCAGAGACAGAACAGGTAGGAAGAGAAGTTGTGCAAGGATTGAACTTCAGAGAATGTTTGCTTTTATTGGATAGGAGAAAAAGTCCAGGCAGGCTGGAGCAATTTCCGAGTCAGGAAGGTGACTAATTATGGAGTGTTAGGAAGACACAGGTAGGCTGGTGTTTGGATATCTGTAGGAATGACAGTGCAGACCACTACAAGCAAAATAACAAACCCTGGGCAACTCAATATGTATAGTAATAAGAAACTTAGTACTTCAGGTAATTTTGCTAAATCTTAGGAATGGTGTGTGACGCAGTGTTGGCTGTTACCTAAATCCTGTCTTCTCTTCTTCCAGTACACATGGCTGCCTAGCTAGAGACTATGTTTCTCTGTCTCTCTTACAGCTGGGTGTGTCCATGTGATGAAGTCTTGAATATAAAGGGAGGTGATTTGTGCAACCACTGCCTCATTTACTGAAAAAGAAATTGTTCACTATAAACTTCCTCTGTTTATTATTCCTGTGGGGTGGAAACAGATTTGGAGGCAACCCCACTGTAACCAAGCAGATGAGGACAATGATGATGTAGCAACATCAGCTTGGCATGAGTCTGGGCTGATGAGTGGTATCGTGATCAGAATTTTCCTATCAGCTGAGATTGGGTGCACTGTTTTGTCAGAGAGATCTAAACTTCTATCTTAGGAAAAAACCTCTTACATTTGCTTTGTCTTTACGCTAATGAGTACAGTGGGATTTTAGGTATTATCTATTGGGAGAGTCACTAGTTTCCAGGTAGCTTCTGAAAATGGGAGGCACGGGTACTGAGCTCTTGCTCTTCCTGAAGATCCTCTTCTCTGGTTTTCAGACTTTCATGATACCCCCAACTTCTCATGTGAGTCAGCATCATGTCATGATGCTGAGGTTCCCATGGGGCAGCTCAATGGCAAAAGTGTTGCAGTGGCAGGGAGGATGCCTCTCCTCATGAGCACATATTTCTGTGCTAATTGTTAATGATTAAGAGGGTTGCCAGAGTCAGGTGTCCCATGAGATGTACATTGCTTTCCAGGGAGCATCACAGCTGATGTTGTGAAAATAATGCTAGGTAATTGTTTACTGCTTGTGGTAGGCAGAATAATGGCTCCCCAAAGATGTCCATGTCCTAACCCAAGGACCTGCATGTTAGGTTACATGGCTGCTATGGTCTGAATGCTGGTGCCTCTTCAAAATTCATATGTTGAAACCTAACTTCTAAGGTGATGGTATTGAGGGTGGGGGACATTAGACAGATGATTAGGTAATAAGAACTCCACCCTCATGAATGGGACTAATACCCTTATAAAAGAGGCTTGAAGGGGCCTGTTTACCCCTTCCATCATGTGAGATCATATGAGGTCACATCGAAAGTGCCATCTATGAGAAACCAGCCCTCAGCAGACACTGAAGCTGCTGGGGCCTTGACCTTGGACTTTCCAGCCTCCAGAACTATGAACAATAAATTTCTTATTGTTTATAAATTACAGGTCTAAGGTTTCTTGTAATAGCAGCCTGAAATGGCTAAGACAATGGCAAAGCGGAGTTA
Source organism: Homo sapiens (assembly GCF_000001405.40). NCBI lineage: Eukaryota > Metazoa > Chordata > Mammalia > Primates > Hominidae > Homo > Homo sapiens. Next base: position 93,335,899 of record NC_000005.10, on the reverse strand, counting down.
GAATTTCAGATGGAATTAATGTTGCTAACCAGCTACCTCAGATGGAAAGATTATCCTGTGTTATTCTAGGTGGGCCACTGTCATTACATATATTCTTAAAAGTGCAAGTGGGGGTTGGAAGAAAGAACCAGAGAAATGGCAGCATGAGAAGAACTCGGCCTGACATTCCTGGCTTTGAAGATGGAGAAGGGGGATCATGAACCAAAGACAGCGTGGGTGGCTTCTAGGAGCTGGAAAAGGCAAGGAAACAAATTCTCCTCTGCAGCCTCTAGAAGGAACACAGCCCTACTGGCACATTGATTTTTAACCCAGTGAATCTCATTTTGAACTTCTGCCTTCCGGAAACATAACATAATAAATCTGTGTTGTTTTAAGACACTACATTTGTGGTAACTTGTTATAGCAGCCATAGAAAACAAATACACTGTCTTAATAATTAGCAGAGGTGATTATCAATGTTCAGAGACATAGTTCTCAGATCCAAATCTCCTTAGGGATAGATAATTTTCCAACAATAGGTTCTGGGAACAAATCAGAACATGACCACAAGAACAAACAGGTAGTGATAGCTAGAAACCCAAAGCGACAGCATTACAGCTCTGATCATGTTGTTACAATTAAAGATGTTTCCCTGATCCCAACTTTTTCCTTTTTTATCCTCCTGTATAGTTGTTCTCTATTTTAAAAATAAATCACAAGCCCTCCAAAAAATGGTGTGACCTTTGTGTATACCCATTTATAAAAGCATCGTGGGGGTAAGAATCACTAAAATATTAAGGCAAAGAAAAATCAGAATGTTTTTAGGTTAATATACCGAGTAAAATTAGAATCAGTTGATTACTATAAGAACATGAAAAATAAAGAAATTTTAATGTGGTAGCTTAACCTTCAAACACAACCATTTAAGCATATTTATGTCACTTAAAATTATACATGGTAAAGTATGCAAAACTATAAAACTACTAATTTGAATATCTAATTTGAATCCACACCATAGGGTATAGTTTATTCCTAATTTAGGAGTGTACATCCTAAGTATATAAATATGATGCCTGTTAATCTTAAGTGCTGAAATAGATGTTTGAGTCAAAGGACAGCTTCCATTAGCCAAGGTTGTTATTATATTTTTAAACCTTAGGCTTTTCAGAGAAGCACAAGAAATGAAATAGCAGCACTTGGTTTCCCAAGTTCCAGACCTTCTAGCAACTAGAAATTAACTGAGTTTGTTATATTTGGGGAACCAATTGAGAAAAGTAAAAAAGGTAAAATTCACGGTTTCATTCAGAGATGTGTGTTCAAGAATAATACTAGTAAAAAACCAACATCTTATCATCAAAATGTGTAGCAGCTTAAAAGAGAAAGCTGTTTTTAGTGTATATAATGAAGCATAATTGATTTAAGCATTTTCTTATAGAATACCCCATAACTAAAGAAAAATAGAGTGCAATGCACTGTGTTTAATGATAGAGGGACATCTTTTGACTCATCTGGTTTTGGAGACTATACATCTTATTACACATTTCAGAGAAAACAATAGAGAGATAAATGATAAGTGCAAATTTTGAAAACAGATAGAACATAGGGAATTAGAAGAGACAATGGCTGATGTCAAAAGGTGCCAAGGAAATAACCTATGACATTTAAAAACATGTTGCTTTTTATAGACATAGAAAAAGTCAAAGCAAGAAAACCAAAAATCCTACAATATCAGTTCTGTGATTGTTTTATATAAAAACTCATTTTTGAAACATTGGCAGCTTTGTCATGCTCTCTATGATAGTTATTGAGTTAAATCTCTTCATGTATCTCTAGGAATAGATAAACTTTTCCAGGTTACTGAGGTAATGATTTTCCTGAAGGGAAAGCCCAGAAAAATCTGGGGTCCCAGGGGTTTCTCACTCCTATTTTAGTTTATCCTTAGTCTTCAGCAATTGTCAGAATTACAATTTAATTGTTCTTGTAGGTTATGGCTTCTGCAACTTCTGCTCTAGTTAAGCAGATCTTGTAGATACTGGTTGCAGTATGTTTCTGGATATGCCTCTCTCCAGATTTTGGGGTCGCAGTTTGCCTTTGCAACTTCTTTTATCTGATAGATTTAAGAAAAGTTTTTGATTTTTCATTTTGTCCGGCTTTTCCTTGTGAGAGTGGGAGCAACAACTTTAAGCTCCTCATGTGTCAGAGCTGAAACCACAAGACTCAACTTTGAATTCTTTTTTAAAAGTTTTATTTTATTTTTAATTGATATATAATAATTGTACATATTCATGGTACATAGCATGATACCTTGATACATGTATACAATGTATAATGATCAGATTAGGATAATTAGAATATCCATCACCTCGAATATTTATCATTTCTTCTTAGTGAGAACATTCAAAGCCCTCTCTTTTAGCTATAGTCCTGTGCTACATAACAACATTTTAATCAATGACTATACCACGTGCATGATGGTTGTCCCATACTATATTTTTACTGTGCTTTTTCTATGTTTTCATATGTTTAGATACACAAATACTTACCATGCATTATAATTACCTAAAGTATTCAGTACATTAACATGCTGTACATGTTTGTAGCCTAGGAGCAACAGGCTATACCATCTAGCCTAGGTGTGTAATAGATATACCATCTAGATTTGTGTAAGTACACTCTATGATGTTGGCACAAGGACAAAATCACCTACGGTGCATTTCTCAGAATGTATCCTCATCTTTAAGAGATGCATGACTGTATTTTGAAACATCCCATGTGTTCTTGTGAACTATAGTCACCTTGCTTGCCATGGAATACTAGAACTTATTCCTCCTATCTAACTATAACTTTGTAACTGTTGACCAACCTATCTCCGTTTCTCCCTCCCCACAACCCTTCCTAGGCTTTAGTAACTAATAATCAACTCTCCACTTCTATGAGATCAGTTTCATTACATTCTACATGAGTGAGATAATGCAGTATTTGTCTTTCTGTGTCTGACTTTTTTCACTTAACATAATGATAGACACTGAATATTGAATGATAGTGTATTTCGTATACAATGCTGAATTGAGTTTACTAACATTTTGTTTGGGATTTTTGAATCTATGCACATGAATGAGATTGGTTTATAATTTTCCTTTCTCATATTACCCTTGATTTTGTATGGAGAATTTATAAAATAACATAAAATTTACTGTCCTCTCTTTCTTGTATTTCTTATACTCTGGAAGAGTTTGTACAAGACTGAAATTAGTTGTGCCCTAAAAGGTTTGTAGAAATTGCCTGTAAAATTATCTGGACCCATTGTTTTCTTTGTGGGAAGATTTAAAACTCTACTTCAGTGGCTTTTATGGTTACAATACCACTTGGGTTGTAAACACCTTGAGCATGTTTTGGTAAGTTATTGTTTTCTAGAAATTTCTTCACTTAGTCTTCAAATTTATGGGTACAAATTACTCATTACATGGTCCTATTGGTGTACCTATTTTTTTCTCTGGTGTTTTTCCTTTGTAGAGAGGATTATAAATGGGCCAGAGATAATTATCTTTAGGTAACTTCTCTGGTAACCCTATGTGTGATTAGGTCAGGGCTGTTTTTTAAAACATCTACTCCCTGCCACCCTCCAATTAGGGTTATCTGTTACTAACTCCAGGAGTCACATCAGCCTCCAAATATCTTCTGTTATTCTGTAGCATATGTTGGGACTTGGCCTAGACTATGCCTGGGCCTGTAGATTTAAAAAGGCTTTAATAATTGCATCATTTTGATATCTTAACATTTGATGAAGGTCTCTGCAACCAACTTGGCTAGATTCAGCATGCAGCACTCCAATTCAGAGGCTGCATTTAGATACAGCCTGTGAATCCAAAGTAACATGAGCAAAGTTCTAGTCACGCCACAGTTTGTGGCTGCCAAAATGTGGACACGGAAGCAGTTATTTTAAAACTTGATAAGCAACACAGCATTTTGCAGAACTATGGAATAAAAGGAATACTGCTAGTTGCCCAACTGGGAAAGCATTTGCAGGATTATTGACATCCTGATCGTTGAATCCTATTTACCTGGTCAGAGGATGTATAATTTAGGTATTTTTTTACAGCATAATTTATATTTTAGGCAAGATAATTTTTTTCAAGCATGATTTATGTTCTAGGGACTTTTCCGTGTTTGGCATTTTATTCTCATGAGACTTAGTAATCTTTTGTTTAAAATGAGAATATATTTAATTTTCATTTTTAAGTATAATTTTTACACAAATATAGATTGATCTATTTATCTATTCATCCATCTAGCAATCATATATTTAGATACCTAGATGCCTCAGTATAATATTCTTGTATTGCATTTTTTTGAGGGGGGTATAATTTATACACAAGTTAAATTGGGAAGTTGGAAACTTCTTCAGTGTTCATGTAATGTTTAATTTAAATTATTTCCAACCACAGCCCAAGTCTCATGCTGCTATGGACAATCTGTGTTTCTTGGTATATGTTCCAACATTTTATTTAACAAAATAGAAATAGAAGAACAAATATAAAAGCGCCAAATGTGAAGTATAGCTAGAAGGCTTTGACAGACATAACAGCAAAGCTACTTTATCTTTACAGCATTTGATTCAGGGACACTGTAACTCAAAAGTTTTCATCTTTGAGCATTTAATTCTGTAATTTAAAGAACAACTCAATACAACATAAAAAGGAGAAATGTCCAGTTCGGTCCTCATGCACATATATCTGACAGTATGAAGTGACATCAGCTTTAGCAAATTCAGTCTTGATCTGATTCTGATTATTTCCAAAGAACCTCCTCTTGACCCCTCCTACCAACTTCCTCATTTAGTCAGAATCAAGGATATTAACTCAGCTTGGACAAATAATTATTGATGATTAAAAATATATACTACATTGATAAAATATGATGTTGAGATCTTGAGATCTTCAGGGCACACATTTATAAATGAAGTGAACCACATAAAAAGATAAAATTTCCATTCATTTAGCAGTTAAAATGGAGACATTAAACATTAGGGTAAACACTGTCTGATATAATAAAAAACATTCAAACCCAGTCATAGATTTTCTTCCCCTACTCTCGCCAACAGTCTTAACCAGTTAAAAGGAACAGAACTGTGTCTATGTTGGTAAACTGGGATAAACCAGTACATTTACGTAAAATTTATATAAATATCTCATGATTCACCTTTGCTCATATCTATGACACAACAAGAATAGGGAGTCACCTTACTCATTGCATTCATGTAGTTAGAAAAAACTTTAGTAAATCAGACCAAAAAAACCAGTTTTTCAGTACACCCACCAAAAGCACAGCATAATTAAGCTCTTAAGGAGCTCACTAACCTTTTTTAGGTCTCTGTGAGATCTTTGTTACTTAAATGAGAGGGAAGAAGGCTTTATGATATAGTCAGCTAAGTCCAAATAAGTGACCTATGACAAAGGGAAAACATCCAAGGACTGAATAAGTAGTTATAGTAGAGGAATTTTGAAAGCCATATTTTTCCTGAATTGAAAGGATGAAAAAGCTTCTCTTCCACTCTCCTTACCTAGATCTCTTAGAAAACAAAAGGTAACTACCGGTGGTTTATTGCAAAGTGTAATCTCAGGAAAGCAAGAGTGGGAAAAATGGAAGGCAGGCAGGCAGGAAAAGAGCAAACCCAACATGGTCCATTGTGGAACGGAACGGCAGCAAACAAAACAGATCTGGTTGTCAGGTCTCCAGAGAGGCTCTTCAGAGCATTGCATCTTGGAAGAGTCTACTGCAGAGATATGAGTATTCATCTGCTAGTTATTTCCCTTCTGTATTTTATTGGCCTAAATCAAAAGAATTGACTCCAGGTAAATTCTGGGTTGTGTTATCTGGCCCTTCTGGACAGCTGCTGGAAAAACTAGGGTCTCTCCTGTCAATTGGTGAAGTGCATGGAGTTTTTTTTGGCTTTAGCACTGCGGGAACAGCCTATGCCTTTGCCAAAGCAGCTCCTAGCAGAAAGCAAGAGAAGCAGCAGAAGCCAGAGTTGGGGGATGGTGGCTGAAGGGAGAAGGCAAATTTGGGATGGTGCTCAAATTGATTCCAGTGCACCTGTGAAAAGAGTATATATGAATGTCTATGTGTGTTTGTGCAAGTGAAGAATTCAAGGATATACATGGATATGATTCCCCAACAGGAGTCTATCATCTAGGGTTATAAGTAAATATAAAAGTGGAGGGCATATTGTCACTGTACAAGAGGCTGTTACAGTGCCTAAAAGAGAAACCCAAAGCATACCAAAGCTGAGAATCCCTTAGATGTTTTAATGAGAGCAAAGGAGATCTAAGTATGAGGAGTTTCTGGGTGGCATTAACTGTGCTGGCATAAACCTAGAAGGAGTACAGTTGACAGACGGTGGTACTGAGATGAGGTATTTGAGCAAAGGTAATCGGGAGGGTAACGTGTGGCAGCAGCCTGAAGAAACAGAGCCAAAGGAAAATTCAAACAAGCAGTGAGGCAGCCACACATCCCAAGGTCTTAGTGGACAGCCGTGCAGGACACATTCCCACTGAGTCTGTTTTCCACTCATTCCTAATGGTTGGTTTCTCAACATGGCATATATTCCTATTCACCTCATCTGCAGAAATTTAAATATTCTCATAACTTTAAAGAGATGGAAGAGCTTCTGATGGCCTAATCTATCAGCAAAAACAAAGGCTCCATCAGGATCAACACACAGAGGTGTCAGGGTATGCAGAAATTGGGAATAGCAAATGAGCAGTGTAGTGTGACTCAAAAGGCAATCTACAGGCTAACCAAATCAACACAGTTTTTCCTTTTTGACCTACCTGGGTTTTGTCATGTAGACACATTTGATGCCAGGAATGTTATTTGGAAACGCTATTGCAAATAGAAGGGTGCTTTGTATTCAGCACCCAATTTTTTTTAGTTTGAATTTGGAAAATTTCCCAGATTTTACATCTGGCTGTCTGTTTCCCACCTTGGAGGATAAGACCAACCAGGTGGATGGTGAGACTAAGTTTAGTCACTGGAGAGAAAATAAGTCTTCTTATATGCCATTTTTGAATTAACTCTTTAGGGGCAGTTTATATTTTCAGCATGAGCTAGATAAGATTTATAGACACACTGTTATTCTCATCTAAAAATGCTTATTATTTGTTCATTTACAATATGTTGAGAATCTATTTTACCTTATGGAATTATAGATCTGCTTATGGAAGATCATTTAGAATATAGATTTGTTTCTGTGCCCGCTGGTGAATTTAATGCAACTTATAAAATAAAAAAGTTAAATGAGACCTTTTCCACATAGCCACATATTAAAATATCTTTGGGTGGCATTTATTTGTATTATTGCAAAAATGGTTTTTAAGAAAAATATTTTTCTGGATAATAATAATGTCATCAATGGTTTTGGCTCCATAACTGTAAGATGTAGTTTGGCAGTGAAAGCTTGGGTAATGTGAGTGTGAACCACCATTTTTTTCTGAGAAAACATTTCAAGCATCCTGACAATTACCAAATTACTGATGACTACAACTTTGAAGAATAATTTTGGATTATGGAGGTGACTGCGTATCTGTCGAAGTCACAGAAACCCACAGGATGAGGCTGAAGCTGGAAAGTGCTCTCCGGTCCCTTTGCTCATTCAAACCTGCTCTTGGTAGATGAGGGTAGATCTTCTCCAACCTTTGGAGGTAATATTCGGCAAGTTCCATGACTCTTCTAGTCACTCTAAGAAAATCAAAAGCCTTCTAGTCCGTCTAGTCATAAAACAAATTCTCATTTTAAGTCCTATGTAATAGTAAAACTTTACACTTCATATCAAATTAAGGCTTCTCCTCTCCTCTGGCTTGGCCTGTTCTGGCTGGAATCTGCAGTGGCAGGCAGGTGTGGAGAATGGATTTATGTTCTCATATTTCATTTCTTCCCCCCTATTTACTCCATTTGGCTGTCTCTGGGTTTTCCAAGATTGGAAGGAAGAAGGAAGAGAGGGGACACACAAGAAATACCGTGATCTGGCATTGGATTCTCTGGTTTTGGCAGTTGTTCAAGGTTGACTCTGAAAAGAGAAGGGATACTTTAATGGGTCTATGAAGCTTGTCCCATTGGGTCCACTTGTGTAATCTTCCTATGACAAAAGCAATATGTTCTCCATCTTCCATCTGGCTGTTTTAATTTTTACCTTCAGCCTCAGGGCATGCAGTAGACCATCCCCTCATCCCTTCCATGCAGTTCTCTCAGCCAAAATCTAAATGGCTCCAGGCTGCTTCTGTCCTGCATGGCCAACAGCTGGTTCCTGAGAAATGCTTATATATTCTTGTCTCTACTGTCATGGTTGCTACTACAATTTACCTCAATACAACTTTCTTTCTAAGCTGCCATCAGGCACTTAGCCGTTTCTCCCTTGTCTGTTTTTTCTGTGTGATTTAATTACCAGTTCACTGGGTCCCTGAACCCCAGGGAAGACACACCAGCTCCTCCCACCTGACTTGACACAAGGAGAAAGCAGCCTCCTCCCTTTCCCTGTAGGTAGCAGGAGAGAAATGCCATAGCACTCCAATACCTTTCTCCAAGGACATTATCTTGAATGGCCTTTCAATCTCAAACTTTTTATACCCTCCGTGGGTTTTGGCCTAAGGGTCACAAAACTGACTTTAACCCCTTCTTTTTGTATGTCATGCATAAGTGGTACAATACTTCACTTTAGAAAGGGGGATATCTTTCATCAATATTCTCTCTCTTAGAGGCTCCGTCCCAGAAATGAAGACAGAAATGGTCCACTTTTAACATCCTAGTAGATAAAGTAGACCCAAGCTATGAAATTTATGGTCATATTAATATTTTCTGTTCATCATGTACGGATTCAATAAAAAACTGTGTTACCAAAGTATAAAAATCCATTAACAGAATGAGAAATCGAATAGTGTCCTAAACACTGTGTTTGTATGTCCTATTTTATCAACAATTCAGGTTACATATGTAAAAATAAAACCTCATAATACACAATGGCTAAATGAAAAACTGAGTTTAAAATTAGTTACATTTATTTATGTGCTCAGCAAACATTTATAGAGCTCTAGTCTAGACTAGGCACAATGTTAGACGGAGGAGTCCCTATCCTTGCAGAGTGGGGCTAGGCAGGGAGATAGGGCAGAAGAAGGAATGTCTGTGGGTGTTCGGATCGGGTTAGGCTATAGAGTTGGCTATGTAAGGCTGGAAAGAAGAAGAAAGGTTTGCCTAGAGTTACAGAGCTGGAGTAACTCAATGATGATCTTTCAGAGGAAAGACTAAAAAGCAACAAAATAAAATGTTTTTTTTTTTTTTTGCCTTGTCTTAGAATGACCTATATTGGCAAGGCCCAACTGGAAATCAGGTTGGAACTTGTAGTGCATTTTCCTTGAAAATAACTGTCTTAGGCCAGTCGGCAATAGCCTGTTTAGGCCACAATACAATGGAGCACAGAATAAAAAAGATTCCACATAACTTCCTTGCAATTTTTAGAATGAGAAGTCTCATTTGTGTTCTAGTTTGGAATTCCAAAAAACCATCTCCCTTTGCCCTGGCTGCAAAAGTGGGGCTGGTCCTGGTTCATGAAAAGCCCGTGAAAAGTTGGGTGAACTAGATACACTTGGGAACCAGTAACTTGTTAAACCTCAACATTTGTATGACAGAAGGCATCTTTCTGGGTCAATCTCATCCCTGTTCTTAGTTGAGGGAAATGGAGCTGCCACCTGGAGATAGCAGACGAGCCAGGGCCGGTGGAGCTGTGTGGGCCGTGTGAACGTGGGGTGCTGGTGTGCTGAGCACTGTCCGCACTAGAAGTGTGTGTTCTTTTGTCTTCCAAACCCTCTGAGAATTTTTGGAAGCGGTGGACTTTCTCCACAAATGCACATATACAGGTTTTTCATAAACGTTCAGAGGGTTTCTAGACCTCTTGACGCCCATCTATAGATCTCCTTTTTATACTACAAAAATAAAACATTCAATATGTTCTCATAAAAGAAAGCTTATATAACTACTTCTAAGGAAAAAGTATACTAGAAGTGTAAAGGATAAAAATGTAATCATATATGTGTCTAAGACATATAGGTAAAGGCGTAGGAAAATAGGAGTGGCTTCTAGGAAAAGGGCTAGGGGGAAAGGATAGATTTAGACAATCAATTTAAAAGGGATGCTATGAAGAAAAACACATCCACTTGTAAATGAAGGGCACCAAATGAATGAAACTGAACTCTTCAAACAAATTTTTGTCTCTAACAACAAAAAACATAAAGAATAGGAATGTAGTCAACTTGGAAGTAGTGAAGGTATTCTGAGAATAGCAATTTTCCATGAGTGAGTAAGGAAATAATTTTTAAAAACTTTAAGAATTCCAAATGAATAGGTCAGAATAGTAGTATATTAAGGGATTTAGCCATTATTCTTATAGAACCACTAATAATTATTTTTGAAAATTAATTGTAGAGGCCAGATAATTGAGATTTGTGCAAAATAATTATATGCTATTTTGATCTATATATACATACCATTTATATGTTCTCCAAGGGCCAGATCTTTCACTTATTAGTGCTTCCTCACAGAAAACCCTGTGAGATATAATTATTATTGATAAAAAATATTTAAATCCTGGCAGTATGATTGGACGAGTGAGATGGTTGATATAAAAATCACTTTGAAGTTTAAGCAAATCTGGTTAACTATCTATACCACCTACATCAAATTAATGCAGGTAATTGAATACTTTTCTTTGCACTCTGTAACCTTGATAAATAAGGAAAGCTTTAAGTGGCATTAGAAATAGGCTATTGAGGAGTTACTTGCCCAGAAGTGGATTTTTGGGAGACATCAGAAATATTCAGAAGAAACACTAAAATGTGATCAATTTGGAAGAGAAACAACCAAGTGTACCTGGCATCTCTGGAAGATAATTTCAATAAATTGAAACATAGATATTAAAACATATGTATAATATTGACATCTAGAGTGATCCTGGAGGGTTAACTTGAGAAGCACTTATCTGGGGAGTTTTCTGGAGGGGAAGTGTCGGTAGTTTCTACTAACCAAGATACCCATGTGTAGACAGTACAGTCCATGGGGAAGTATATTGCTAAGAAGACAATGACATGACTGATATTTGTGGGGATAAACCTGATGGTAAATCTGATATCTGTCATTACTTTGCCTCTGAAATGGACAGAATGAACAAGTGTGTTTCTAGTCTGATGGGAACTAAAAGATCTAGTCACACTTCTAAAAATCCCTAAATACTAGAGTTTGGTGTTTAAAGAAACATATCCTGATATTTGTCAAACAAGACGAGATAGATTATGAATGTTTAATGCCAACTGTCCAAACCAAAACTAGGAACATCTGTCAAATGATTTTTACTCTACTTTTTAATGCTATTTTTTATGTTTTAGTTTTTTCCAAACACAATATGACAGTTGTACTGAATGTCAATAGGAAAATTCTTGATATAATACCAGGAACATTGGACTCCTTGAAGTAGCTATAGGCTTGGAATCAATTATTTTTGTGTTTGGATATTATGACTGGGGAGTTCCACAGGGTATTTTTTTTCCCAAACATCCTAATGTCTTAATAATTTTTATGGCTTTGATAGTGGTTTATCAAGTTGACCTTGAAAATATGTATCTACTAAGCAAATTATTACACCTCACATTACTGGTAAATTGAAGCATCTCTTTTATTTAATATTAAGGATAGCTATCAATTAGAAATAATGACTAGTAATAACTTGAAAAAACAAGTTCGATAATTTATATTTAGCATAAAATGCTTATGACATTAGATAACAATTGAACATATTGGTTTTTGACAATCTTGGCATGTTAAACTTTTTTTGAGTTTAAAAACATGCAATGATTTAATTGATTAGGCTGTTTCACATTTTTTTAAAGCAGGAGCATTACTTACGCTGGAATCACTGAAGTAACTCAAATCCTGTAATATTAAAAGACGCATGCAGTTTAAGCTGAAATACTACTTGTCAAATATGAAAATGTGAAAACCGTCCAATATATCCTAATTGGTAAACACTTTTTTTTGGCTTCTGCTTTAGCGAAATACAGAATCAGGACAAATTTGCATAAAATCTAGAAAAAGCACAAAGCAAAATGTAGTTCTTCAAGGGGAACATGGGACCCAGACTGTCCACTCCATGTTCAGTTTTGCTGTAGCATTTCTACCCAGCGACTGTCCCAGTGGAGACGTAAAAATACGGTTTCTGTGGAAACATACATAAAGTTATAGAAACAGTCAAAATATTAACAGAAGATATTGCCTGTTAGTCTTTGACCAAGTGATGTAAAGTGGCAACTCTCCAGCCTCCGGCTAACTTGTTGCTGTTTCCTGATCCTTCCCTAATTAAAATGAGGACTTTTAAACCCTCTTGCAGTTAAACATTTACATAGTCTTCTGCATATATTCATCAACTCTGTTATCAATGCCCCTCAAAGCAAAAAACATTCTTTCTCCTATAACTATGAGTATGTTTTTTTCTTCTTTATAGAGAGAAAAAAGATCACTCAGCAAGATAATAAAAAATGGAAAATTCTTTTCATGGTGTTATTTTTGTAGGAGTAACAGGAGGTGGTTAATTCTGAACATTTATCTGAAACTTTATACCAGCTTTGCCCTGGGCGAGTTTGCAAATCTTCTTTCCTGCCATTAGGTCTGACTGAGGAACTTCCATTTGCAGAACCGTATGTGCTAAAACTAGTCCTTGGGGTCACCCTGGCAACCACACAGTCCCCTCATTCCAAGCCACACTGTGCTTTGCCAATGAGAGGGACAAAATGGAGGATCCTAATGTGATGCTGAGAAGAAGAAAAGAAAATAGGAGAAAATTTTGAAATCAGATGAGGTGATTTCACTCCGCTCCAGAAAGACTTTTGTTAAAACACAGGTGATCTAGGCAGAAGTGGATCGTTGTTCACTATTCCATAAATAGAATAATAGACTGTATTCTGCGGTGGTTGTGATGAGAGGTATAATTTAGAAATACAAATATAAAAGACTGAAAGTAAACCGTATATCCAGCATAGAAATCCAAACTATCCTTGTTTTAAAGGAATTACTATCCAGGAGTGGCAAGAGCAATTTAACGCAAGAAAGCAATGTGGCCGGGTGTACTGGCTCACGTCTGTAATCCCAGCTACTCGGGAGGCAGAGGTAGGAGAATTGCTTGAGGCCAGGAGTTTGAGAGCAGCTTGGGCAACATAGTGAGACCTCATCTAAAAAAAAAAAAAAGCAATGTGTAAAACTAGCCTTAAGAAATAGTTTTCAATTTTGCATGTCTCTCCCATGACACTCCCCTTCTATCTTGGTGTGTCTCTCTATTCGTCCCCTTGCCCTCCCTCTCTCACACACGTACACATATTTTCTCTCTCTTTCTCTTTTTTACTTGTTAGATGAAACAATAAATACATGAAAGAGAGCACCTAGAAGGTGAAGGAAAAAAAATCTTAAAGCATACAAAAGTAAAAAGAATTTTCTTTTCCTTGATTATGATAGGGATATGAGGGGTAATATATTTGGGTTCTGAGAAAATACAGTTTTACCTCTCACTTTGACATTTTGCCTTGTTAATAGAAAATAGCACCCCTTGGAGAATCTAGTTTCTAATTCAGAGTTCCGTTAATTACTGAGCAGGAGCCATTCTTTCAGTCTAAGGATGAGATCGTTGGTATTCCTGATTTTATACAGAGAAAGACATCTTTGTAGACCCTAAAAGATCTCTTGAATCCAAAGGAAAAAAAAAAACTGTGGGAATCTGTGACTCTAGTCAAACAGCAGCCTAAAAATTTATGTCAGCATTAAAGGAGAGTTTAACGCATACATGCAATCTAATTTGAGCTGTCAGTCAAATGTTTATTTTAAAAGCGAATAACTTAAAATATTTGTACCTATCCAGATGTAGGCTCTGCTCCTTGCATTACTAAAAGGCCGGCAGTATTCTGTCAACAGGATATTTGAAGACACATGGGATTGGTTATAATGTTTAATCATGTTTAAAGCAGGACTGATATTGCTGGTAATGTTAACGATAACAAATTGAGTTTGAAAAAGGTTGTATATTTCAGTGACTTTTATTCTGGCTGAAATACTAGAAAGAGATAATTTTACTTTTTTCTGCAGGAAATTATGATTTAAGCTTTACATGTAAAGGTGTATGTGTCTATGTGTGGAGGAACTGAAATCGTTTCCCCAAGTCTAATCACATCTTTTCACTCTGGCCTTGTTCCCTGCTCTCCAGTATTTGGGGATGGGTGAAAGATGGTTAAAAACAAAACAAAACAAAAAAAACCAAACGAACAAAAAACTAGGACAAAAGGATTTGGAAAGGTGAGGGGAAAAGGAGGGAAGGAAAAGAAACAAAATTTAGGGAGAGGGGAGAAGTAAAGGAGTGAAATCAAGACTGCCTACACCTTTCCAATCTCCTTCTTACCATCCATCACCAGCCACATCAAACACTACCAGTCAGGTTGGAAAAGGCAGAAAAAAAAATTTAGATACCAAATAAACAAAACCCAGAAAGGTCACAGAATGCTGTGTAGCTTATCTGTATTAGGAATGACCTGAATTTTGGTTCCTGTCCAAGTCAGAAAATCTCCTATAACCCACAATTCTTTACATAAAATTCCTTGGCAGTTGCCACTGCTAATCTTCTGGTCTTTTCCTCTCTCTGAGAAATAATGCTATAAACGCAACTGCTGTCAATCACGGAAGGCTGCCTCAAGGTTATGCCAGGTCAGATCTGGAAACCCAAGGATCTGTGAGTGAGGTGTTGATGGCAGGGTGGGTGGCAAATGTGAATGGAGAAAGCTTGAAATTTACAAGCTGCTGTCACAGGGAGATTAGGGATGAAAGAAGGCACAGGTTTGAAAGGGAAAGTCAAGAGTGAAGGAAGATCAGGAAGTAGAGCACAAAAATATGTTTCGGCTTTGTTACAGAAAGGTTCATGAATTTAAGGATATAACAGTCAACTAAAAATCTAAATTTATAGCAAACGTAATTGTTCCTTATAACATGACCAAATAATATTCCATCTTCCTTAGAATTTCTCCTTTATTTCATGTGAACTGTCTGTCTCACAAGACATCCCTATGTTTCTTTGAGTTGCATAGTTTCTGTATATCTTGTTTCCCACTTTTCTGTTTGGAATTAAGTTTCTTGTTTGTCTCAACAGATTGTACATGATTAAAAAGGATGGCAGTTAAGTCAGCCAACACACATGCCTTTGACAGGAAAAATGAACTCAGGAGTAAATAAAAGTAGAAAAAGAAGAAGATAAGTTAGTCATATTTCCCAGCTTTTCCTCAGTTTCCCCTCATCCGTTTCTGGCTCCTGCAGGACTGTTCTAAATACTTAATGAACTGTCACAAACTATTGAAAATGCTTTTCTAACAGCTCATTCACAAGTTTTCAACATATTTTGACAAATTGATAAGTTTATACTGAAATCTGTCTGTATACTTTACCTGAATAAAGTGATTTTTATGCTAAGTACATTTAAAATGTAAGTTTTAATAAGTTTTTCAAATTATGAAAAAGTTTCTAGTAATTAAAAAGTATTTGTCATCTCTCTTTCCTTCACTATGAAACAGTCATCAGGGTTATTCAATGGCAGTTGAGAATGGGTGTGTGTAATTGATGCAGTTTGATATTTCTATTTTTAGTGTAGAACACACCTCAACAGAATGTCTTAATGTTCAGTAACTTAATGGCAGAATTGTCAACCAGATCCTTCCACATTCAGCTACTACAGTACCTCCATTTCAAAAAAGATTTGAAAGAATCAAAGATTTGATTTACATAACCAAACCTAATCAGCCATTCTTTGGGACTGAAACAGATAACATTGATAATATAATGAAAAAATCTAAAATCCATGTAAAATATTATTAATATTTTTATTCAGTCTCACATATATCATTATAATCAGTCTATTCAAAATATGCAACAGTTCTTTTCTCTCACGTATTTGAAATTAAGTGGGACCATGAAAATAGAAAGTCTAGAAGTGCTTTATGATTGTTTTAAAATGTCAGAGGCAATGGAGGTGAGTTTAAGCTATTATTAACAAAGGCTGTAGGTATCACACACAAAGGAAACAGCAGCATCTTCCTAGAGGCAAATACTCTCTTGAATTACTCCACAAATATAATTCATATAAAATCTGTCAAAAGAATAACTGGGAAGAATGGATTTGCTTTAATAAAATATTTTAAGCCTGTGGATCCTGAGTTCTGAGCATGAGGAAGTTTCCTTACTGGAATGGAAGGAAATTACTAGCTCACCATGATGGTTCCCACAAAAAAGGTCTCACGGACCTTTTCCCTGGGCTCTTTCTTGGGCTTCTGTGACCACATGTTCTGTGACTTTTCCTGTTGCCTTTCAGTTGGTGGTTTCTCAGCTTCATTTATGAGCTCCCCTGTCTCTCTATGGCCCTTACATGGTGATACTATTGGAGTGTTGGCTTAGGTCCTCTTCTCTCCTCACAACACTCACTCTCCTTGGGTCCATTCACCCAGGACTTTGGCTATCTTATGCAGAACAAGAGCTCTCCAATGAACATCTCTAGTCTACCTGTCACTCGTGACCTTCAGATCTGAAGATCTATTGAACCATTCTGCTTGACTCTCCTATGTCCGCTCAGATTCAGCATGCCACCAGAAAACTCATGGGCCTCAGTCCCTTCATTCTGCCCTATCTTCTGCGTTTACTCTTCATGTGTAGTGGCATTATCCATCTTGGGGCCAAGAAATGGAGCAGAGTCATCACAACTCTGCCTTCTCTCTTAGTGCCTACAGCCAATTAACCACCAACAGTTCTCCCTCTTACACGTCTCTCCATTCTGGGCTCCCTTTGCAATCACCTATTGTTTAGGCTACTGTCATCTGTCTCGTGGATTAGTGCAAAAAAGTCCTAATGGATCTTCCTGCTTCCAATTTTGCTTCCCTTCAACCCATTTTTCAAACCACCCCCAGAGTGATTTTCTAGAACGTGAACCTGGCCTTATCATTTCTCTGTTGTAGCTCTTTAATGTCCCAGTGCCCTCGGGTTAAGTCTAGTCTCCTTAATGAGTTTTCCATGGTCCTTCGTGATTTAACCCCTGACTGATTTCCCAGTCTTCTCTCTCCTTCTCCCTATTACATTTGTGCTCTTTCCTGAGCCTAGTGGAATTTCTAATTTCAAATCCTCAGATGGAACATGCTTTCTTTCCTTTCTTTGGGCCTTTGCTCATGTGATTCCCTTTTCTCCCCTAGAGAGGCTATTTTGTGTTATAGTGAAGAGCAGAGGCTCTTAAATGGGACTGCTTGAATGGAATCCTGGTTCCCCATTTCCCACTCCTTTCCCTTTCTAGGCCTTGATGGGGAAAGTGAGGATGATGTGATGTTGTTGTTGATGATAATGATATTAGCAATAGCATGTACCTTTAGGGGCTATTATAAAGATTGAGTGGGACTTAGAGTGGGATCTAGTAAGCACTCAATCAATATTAGCAGCCATGACTATTATTTCTCAGCTAATTAGAGATCATTTTTCTGCAAATCCTTCTCTGAGGCCCTGCATCTGATTACGTGCTCTTTTAATCTTTTTCCATCACATGCTGCATGCACCCTTATGAGTGCAGGTATCGCACTATATGGTAACTGACTCTACTTATCTTTCTTCCTTGATTGATTATAAATTTCTTGGGGTCAGGATTTTCTTTTGCTCACCATTGCCTCATCACTGTATCTAAGACAGTGTCTGGCTCATAATAAGTTCTCAATAAATATTTCCTTAAAGAATTTAGGTCATTTGTAATTAATCACCATAGGCAGCTCAATTTCCACATAGAAAAATCTTTTGCTTTTCAAGAACTAGGATTTCAGGAAAAAAGATGAGATTCAATGTCTCTGTATTTACATGTTCTATCCTGGCAATGTATTTTAAGGATGTATTTATATTTAACTGGGGTGTTATGTTGAACTGAGGAGATGTACAGCTAGTTGGGCTTCTCTCCTGTAAACAACAAAAACCAATAAGGAGACAATTATAAATAGCTTTCCTAGTATAGTCAAAATCTGCCTGAGGTTACTGCTGTGTGATCAGAACTATCAAGTGTTTCCAACCCTTTATAGAACTTAATAGAGAAGAGGCATAGAAGGAGAAAAGAGAATGCACTTTTTACAGTGAGAGAGAAGTACAAAGACCCTGGGATTAAAAACAGGCAAGGAGTTGGTTATGAGGAACCAGGAAAAGCCTCACCAATAGCAAGTAGATTCCGCCAGCTTCTTTCTTGCTCTTTTCAAGAGCCGTCTCTGAGCTCTGTCATTCTGTCAGTCCTTATTTCTGTCTCCATTTGTCTTCTGTGCTTGCCACTGATACTCCTTCTACTGATGTCCATCCTCTCACTGAATTTTAAACACTGTAGGTTGGAAGGTGGTTGTTGCAAGATCATTTCTACTACGGATCTACTTTAAACATGTAAGATAAAAATGCTCCTGTAAATGACATATTTTAATTCCTCATTCTTTTTTTTTTCTGTTTCAATCCAAATCAGAATGAGGAGAACATGTCTAGAAAAAAATAACACTAGTTTTATATAGAATTGAGCGAAATTTTTTTCCAACTAAAAGACATAAATTTTTACCCATTGGTGGAAGGGCAAAAAGAGGAGGCATTTTGCAGGTATACTTCATACTCCCTTTGTTAGTCATCAAGTGGGGCCTCATAATCAAAAGAAGCATGTGTTTTATACAGGAAGGAAGAATATCAAAATTGGTTAGTAGAAATAATAGAAGTGGCCAGTAAATTGAGGAAAAATGAAGAGGTAGATGAGATATGGTGGGGAAACACACAAAACAAAGACCTCAAAATGTCTGTAATGTTGTGACCTCAGGACAGAAGCAAGTCAAGTGATCAAGTGGAGAGTCGAGGTCTTAGTGAAGCATTAACCATACCTGTAACTCTTCTAGTTACTTTGGAATGAGTCCTCATCTCATATATATGCTTGCTGTCTCTCTCTCTTTTTACTTTTTCATTCTGTAAAGTTTCAAACATAAAGAAAAGCTGACAGGATTGAGTATAACAAACTTCCTGTACCTATCAGTCAGCTTCCCCAATGATAATTATAATGAGATATATACATATATGCCAGTCAGGGTCCTGGCAAGAGATGACATACTTAAACAGGAGAAGTGGAGAAGTGTTTAATAAAACCGCCACTTCACAAATGTGAAGGTGTGGCCAGGCTTTGGGGACTCAACAAGGGGCTTGAAGGACCCTGGAGCCAATAACAACGGAGACTGTTACCATCCCTAGGCCTGAAGACACAAGAGGAAGTGGCTGTTATTGAAACCCAGAGAGGCTGTCTGGCTGGAGTGGTGACTTTCAGTGAGGGACCTTTTCAACACTGGCATCCTGGCAGGGAGAGATTCTGACATGGGCTACAACATGGATGAAACTTGAGGACATTATGCTAAGTGAAATAAGCCAGTTACCAAAAGTCAAACGCTGTATGATTCTAGTTATATGAGGTACATAGAGTAGACAAATTCACAAAGACAAAATGTAGAAGGGTGGTTGCCAGTGGCTGCAGGGAGAGGAGAATAGGGTTTTTAAACACACATAGAGTTTCACATTTTCAAGATAAAAAGAGTTCTGGTGACTGGTTGTGCAACAACATGAATGTACTTAATACTACTGAACTGTGCATTTAAAAACGGTGTTATTGGCAGAACTGTGTCCCTCCAAATTTCATATACTGAAGCCCTAACCCTTAGTACCTTAGAATGTGGCTGCATTTGGAGATAGGGCCTTTAAAGAAGTAGTTAAATTAAAATGAGACTGTAGGGTGGACCCTATTCCAATCGGACTGTCCTATAAGAAAAGGAAATTTGGACACACGGAGAAACACCAGAGATGTACATACACAGAGAAAAGACCATGTGAGGACACAGTGAGAAAGTGGCCATCTGCAAGCCAGAGGGAGAGGCCATGGAGAAACTAGACCTACACATTGATCTTGGGCTTCCAGCATCTAGAAAATGAAAAAATAATTTTCTGTTGTTTAAGCTACCCAATCTGTGGTATTTGTTACAGCAGCCCTAGCAAACTAATACAGATGATGAATTTTACTTATGCATATTTTACCACAATTGTAAAATACATGTAGAAAGCAATGGTCTATCTGGCTTTAATCTTGGGAGAAAGTCTGGGGAGAAGTTTGTGAAGCAATAAATGATGAGACTAAGAAAGACATATTCTGCATAAAATATTTTGACTGGGATTGTGTGTTCACACACATCTTGAGTACTCCAGAGCGAATGAATAGATTTCTGAATTTGACTGAGGTCAAAGTAGATAAAATAAAGGTTTATGGGCCTTATTTGCTTTGTTTATTGTGATCATTGATTGAAAGGAAGCTCTTAAGAGGGCAATGTGGGTTCTTGAGACTTTCCCAATAGTACAGGTATCACACAATCGTGACAGTTCTTACAGTTATGAACAAACTTCTCCATGCTTAATATAGTGTTGGAAAGATAGATATTGATGACATAAACTAAATATTACTATTCTCATGTTACAGATCAAATTAAAGCTCAAGGATGTTAAGTTGCTTAAGTACCTATACCTCATAACACATGTATTATATATGTAACTGGACTTGAAGCAGGGAAAAACACATATAATTTTTAGCTCCAGCGGCTGCAGTAACTGAGACATGTCCAGTAGGAAATAATCATGTGGTAAGGGCCTTTTAGGTAATAGGAAGAAATTATTTTCTATACCACACATATTGAAAGTCTTTCTATTCCTGTTTAAAGTGGGGCCTGGGGAGATCCATAGAACCTTTCCAAACTTACTTGTGCTAGTGTTTGGAATTTGATGAGCTTTGACAAATACACACGTATCCCTATAAACTATTACCAAAACCAACATAAAGTAATTTTTCTTCTTTTTTTTTATTTTAACTTTTATTTTAGAATCAGGGATACATGTGCAGGCTTATTACAAAGGTATATTGTGTGATGCTGAAGTTTGGATTATGAATGAGTCCATCACTGAAGTAGTGAGTATAGTCCCCAGTAAGTAGTTTTTTCCAAACTGTCCCCCACTCCCTCCCTTCCCTAGTCTTGTATTCCCTAGTGTCTATTATTCCCATTTTAACATCCACGTGTACCCAATAGTTAGCACCCATTTGTAAGGGAGAACATGTGGTATTTGGTTTTCAAGATACAGAACTGTTTCACCACCCTTGTCTAAGGCACGGTTCTCCAGAAAATAGAATATATCTATTGGTTCTGTTTTTATATTATTAATAACAACTAATTAATAAATAATATTATTTGTGTTATTAACAATGTATATGTCATACAGAATTGGCTCATTTGGTTATGCAGGCTGAAGAGTCTCAAGACTTGCAGTTGGCAAGCAGGACACCCAGAAGAGCTGGTGCTCTAAGTTCCAATTTGAGAGCAGGAGAAGACCCATGGCCCACCTCAAATACTCAGGCAGGAGGACTTCCCTCTTAATGTACCTTTTTGTTCTTCTCAGGTCTTTGATGGATTGGATGAAGCCCTTCCACATTGAGAGGACAGCCTGCTTTACTCAGCCTACTGATTCAAATGTTAACCTCACCCAGAAACACTCTCACAGACACATCCAGAATAGTGTTTGGCCGGATGTTGGAGTACCTTGTGGCTCAGTCGAGCTAACATGTAAAATTAACCATCATAACCCCCCAAATTTCCATATATCCTTTATCAGTCAGCCTTCCCACTTCCACTTTGTTATCTTCTCAATACTTCCACACCAGGAAAGTACTGATTTTCTTTCTACTACTGCAGATAAGATTTTTCCCCCCTGAAATTTCATATAAATGAAATTATACACTGTGTGGTTTTGTTTTGGTCTGAATTCTTTCAGTGAGCAAATGTTTTTGAAATTTATTCATTTTGTCTATGTATCAGCAGTTTAGTCCTTTTAGTGGTTTTTATTGCTGAGTAGTGTTCCACTGAATGGATATACCACAACTGGTTTATCCATTCTCCTGTTGAAAGACATTGGCTATTATAAAAAAAGCAGCTACACACATTCAAGTACACTTGCTGTATGAGCACATGCTTTCATTTCTTTTGGGAAAGTACCTATGAGTTGGAATGCTGAGTTGTATACACATGTTTAACAAAAAACTGTCAAACTGTTTTCCAAAGAGGTGCCATTTGCACTCCCATCAGCAATATACAGATTGAGCATCCCTACCCTGAAAATCTGAAATTCACAGTGTTCTAAGGTCCAAAACCTTTTGAGTGCTGACATGATGCTCAAAGAAAATGCTCTTTGGACCATTTTAGATTTTAGATTTTTGGATTAGGAGTGCTCAACCAGTACATATAATCAAAATATTCCAAATGCCCCCAAAATTCAAAATCTGAAACACTTCTGTCCCCAGGTATTTTAGATAAGGGATACTCAACCTGTGTAAGAGTTCCAGTTGCTCCACATTCTTACTAGCACTTTGTACTGTTGACTTCTTTAATTTAGCCATTCTAGTGAGGATGTAGTAGTTTTTCACTGTGGTTTGAATTTGAATTTCTCTGATGACTAATGATGTTGAACACTTTTTCACATGCTTATTGCCATTTGTACATCTTCTTTTGTGAAGTGTCTGTCCAAATTTTTGGTTCATTTATCATTATGTTTTTTGTCTTATTATTGAATTATTTAGACACTAATACAAGTACTTTGTCAGACATGTGTTTTGTGAATATGTTTTCCCAGTTAGTGGCTTGCCTTTCTGTATCTTAATGGTGACTTTTGGAAAGTTTTAATTTTAGTGAAGTTTAACTAATTTTTTCTTTTTATGGTTATTAATTTTTTGGTGTTCATTAGAGAAATCATTGCCCATCCCAAAGACACAAAAGGATTTTTTTTAGCTTAGGAATTTTGAAGGAGGTATTTTATAACAGGCATTTATGCTGGAGCAGGGTCATGTAAACTTGAAAATTAGTAAATAGAAAAGGCAATAGCCAGAGCTAGAATTATAGCTTAACGATTATATGTTTAAGACAGTGATTTAAACAAGTTCCGTATTGGAAACAGAAATTTCCAAAATTAGCATATCACCTCTACAGAATGAAATTCCTAACTCGTCTTGGAGCAGTGTGTGCCATCGAGAGCTGACCTCATGAGGGTTGCACATGTGCATGGCCAAAACCAAAATGAGAACAGAGGCAAACCAAAACTGTAATCAAGGCAAATGTGGCACAAATCTGACCAA
This sequence comes from Homo sapiens, assembly GCF_000001405.40. Lineage (NCBI taxonomy): Eukaryota > Metazoa > Chordata > Mammalia > Primates > Hominidae > Homo > Homo sapiens. Next base: position 93,312,618 of record NC_000005.10, on the reverse strand, counting down.
GGGTGCTGCTGATATGGGAGTGACAAGGGAGAGCTAAAAGCAAGTGTGTATTATTTATAAGTTGCATATATATTTATGCTTGAGTTAACTTTAGTAAGTTGTATATATTCCATTTTAAAACAGTCATTTTTGTTTTCCTGATTAAAATTCTTCTGTGATTTATTTACTTAAGGCTTCAAGTAGAGATATCTGAATTGAGTGATACCAACCAACATTCTAGCACTTCTGAGCAATATCCTGGTGTAGCCTGTTACAGAGGCACAAAAAGGGCTTTATTGGCTTCTAACATGGAACCTAGAGTAGATAATTTTTTAAGTGGAAGATAAATCATGGTATTTCTTTGTTATCTAGGGTTTTGATGAGGTGAATAAAAGAAGAACCCCTTGTCCATTTGAGAGCTAAACTTGAACTGAACATTTCTTTACCTTGTGAAATGTTCAGTTAAGTGCTTTTGCACTTTAATTTTCCAGCCTGGACCAAGACCAGAAATGCCAAAATGATATGAGAAAGGCTGTTCTTACTGTTTTTCTGGCTGGGATTGGAAGAGAAAGTGCCAGCAATCTTGTGAGAAAGCCTGTTCTCTAAAGATCTGCAACCCAGTTTGCAGAATCATGGGGTTTGGATAGTTCAGATGAGTTTGGCTGAGTATCTTGGTGTGCTCATCCGAATCACACCCTGCAGAAAGCATTTTGTCTTATCGAAGTCAACCACAGAATACTTTGTGTACTTCTTCAGACATCTTAACCATTATGTGTGCCCATCCAGATAAACCGCTAAAGGCTAGCTGAACACTGCCAAATTGAAATCCCTACAACTAGATTTCAGATTTCAACCTGAAATAATGAAACTAGTAATCACAGTGGTGATTTTATAAAATGTTTACACTACAGAAGTCTTTAGGGGTGATTTAGCTTAACCCCTCATTTTATACTTTGGAAATTTAAGGTTCAGAGAGGTGAGGTTATTTGTTCAGTATCATGTAGCAAGTTACAAGCAGAGTCCAGCCTGGAAAATAGGATCCCCTCTTCCCTACAATGCATTGTAACATAGGCTGAGTGATCTGCTCTTTACAACATATGTGTGCCTAAAAGGGAAAAAAAAGTAGCTATAAAGTAGCTATATGGTCATGGTATGGCAAGTAAAAAAGAAATTCTTTGATGCACTGAAATGGAAGACTATCATTTCAATATTCAGGTCTGGAGGGCCAAACAATATATTCGAGATTATTAAAATCCCTCGTTGATATGGTTTTAATATATGTTACATTTTTTGTCATATTATATGTTAGAAGTTTTTCTTTCAGTAGGATTTTGAGACATTTTTAAGGAAAGAAGTGACATGGTTTGGCTCTGTGTCCCCACCCAAATCTCATGCTTAATTGTAATTCCCAGTGTTGGAGGTGGGGCCTGGTGGGAGGTGATTGGATCATGGGGGTGGTTTCTAATGGTTTAGCACCATCTCCCCTGGTGCTGTCTCCTGACAGAGTTCTATGAAATCTGGTTGTTTGAAAGTGTGTAACACCTCCCCCTTTGCACACCTCTTTCTCTTGCCAGTCATGTAAAGATGTGCTTGCTTCCCCTTTGCTTTCCGTCATGATGTAAGTTTCTTGAGGCCTCCCCAGAAGCAGAAGCCTGGACAACCCACAGAACCACAAGCCAATTAAACCTCTTTTCTTTATAAATTACCCAGTGTCAGGTATGTCTTTATAGCAGTGTAAGAACAGGCTAGTACCAGAAGTTATTGCTCTCAGGATCTAAATTGGGAATACTCATTCACACACATCTATTCAGAATCAGCAGTGGAAGCAACCATTCATCATGACCATCCTATCTAGGATATGGTAAGGACAAGGCATCTTGGCTGAACACTGATAAGCGTGGAACAAACCTCACTGGTGGGCCTACAGAAAGGATCAGTGTCAATGTCCCTGAATGAAAATCCTTGCTCATGGGGGACCAAGTGACCTCAGTGGCAGGCAGCGTTGCCAGTTCATGGCCTTCTTTTATGAAGCAACACAATGGCTGCGCCATAGTGGTTTCTGTACCTGGAAACAGTTGAAGCCTACTCACTTCCAAATATACAAAATGGTGGATACTTCTCTGTTGCCAAATCCTTTTTTTCCCCCTCCCCTTGAGGGATACCCATTTCTCATTTTTTGTTCTTTTTCCTTCATATAGATGCCATATATATATGGCAGTAGAATGGGGGAAAAAGAACTATATATATAGTGAAAATAGTAATCACAGTGATATACGTATATGTATATATTTCTTTTTCCCCATTTCTACAGCCATATATATATATATATATATATATATATGGCACATATATATTTATATATGGCATGCCATATGTATATATACCCACACACACACCATATATATATGGCTGTAGAAATATATATATTTATATATATGGCATGTCATATATATATACACACATACATATATACATATGACACCTCCTGTTTCTCAGCCAGGAAGCCAATCAGCCAGCCTCTGAATGGGGTACCATATATATTTCTTTAACAACAATACTATGGGAACCTGGAAGGAATGAATGTAAATAGATTTCCAACATGACCACATCATGTCATCTTAACATGCAGGAAAAGTATTTCTATATGCATAGCATATGCACTGTAAAGTTTCTATAGTATTAAACACTTAAAAGTTATGAAAAAATCTGTACTGAAGCAGACATGAAGAATTTTGGTGACCATCACAAGTGAAACCTCAACTCTGCAGCATATATGTATTTTACTACCTGGGCTAAATACCCACTTGCTGGAGTAATATAAAGGAACATGTGCTATTCTTCACAGCTGACAGTTTATTCTTAAAGCACTTAAATACAGTCACATGTCACTTAACAGGGATACATTTTGAGAAATGCATTTTTAGGTGATTTCATAATTGCGCGAACATCAGAGTGTTATTTAGACAAACATAGATGGTATAGCCTACTATACATCTAGACTATATATAATGCAGCCTATTGATCCTAGACTACACACCTGTATATGGCATCTGACTTTTCTGAATACTGTAAGCAATCGTAATACACTGGTAAGTATTTGTGTCTCTAAACACACCCACATGTAGAAAAAGTACAGTAGATATACAGTATTTTTATCTTATGGGACTGTCATCATATATGCAGTCTGTCGACCAAAACATGGCTATACAGCCCATGACTATAATGGTTTAATTCCTAATGACTATTGGTTGGGATAATGTAGGCACAATGGCTTTTTCAGAATACTATGGACAGGCATAATATTCATATGATGATAGTAGTACCATTGATTTTCCTTATTTTATTTACTCTCATTGGTTTTATTTAGCAGATGCCACAACGTAGGCAATTAATATTAATGGGAGTTTTGAAAATTTGAAACCGGGCTTTCAAGTCAACCAGCTGGTTCAGAAATGGTATTTATGTACACATGCATTCTATGTGATAACAAACCTAATGCAAAATACATTTTTTAACAATGTAAAATCTCACCTAAACCTCTACTCTTTAAATAGCTATCTATTGTACTGTGGAGATTTAAAAAAACATAAAACAATTCTTAAGCACTAGGTCTTACTATGAAATACAGTATGTGTTCATTAGAAACTCATGAGGCTTAATAAGAGTTACTCCCTGTTGGATCAACAAAACAAAGATTCTTTAGTAATCTTGGACATTTGCAAACCAGGATAGGTGTATTCACGACAGCAGGAGCAAAGAGTGTGGAACCAAGGTGGTTGCCACCAGCAAGGTTCTAGGCAAAACATGCAGCAGGCCTTTGATTAGTCATCCTCTCACCTTCCTTTCTTTACTCCTTCCTCTCTCCAAGTCCACCCTCCTCACACCACCCCTGCTCTGGCTGTTGGTCTACCTGCTTACTGCTACTTTCTTGTTTTTCCCCTCCTACAAGCTGGGATACTTTCCCTCTCTCTTCTCTATCCTCCAGTAGAAAATACCCATTCCTCAGCAAATATACATTATTTTGAGGAGACTGTTAAATTAGATAGTGAATGCTGAGTTCCCAGATATTCATTGTATGAAACGTACCCTGTAATTGCATTTTGAAAAAGCAGGTTATTAAATGAAATAAATATAAATTAATATGGGAATGTTTCTAAGTAGGAAGAGATTTTTGGTATTTTCCCCCTAGTTTGGCCTACTGTCAATGTGTTTTCAATAAATTTAAAAAATAGTGCTCGATAAGCAATAATCACTTTACTTGGAAACTTCGCAGACTCTCTCCCTGGCCAAAAAAATCCCAGTGAGGGTAAAAAGCTGTGCCTTCAGAGGAATTAAGCAATTCAAATAAATAAGACTTAAATACCCACCTTTTTCTTAATAGTAGTTGTATTTCCATGTTATTAGTTTCTTGTGCAGATTTCCAGAGATTTAAAAAATGTTTATGTAAGCAAATGCTACACACATTCCTTTCCCCACTTTTTAAACAAATGTAGCATACAATACATCTTTCCCCCGCCATTTAACAATGTATATTACACATGTTTACTTATCAGTAGCATAGAACTTCCTCATTCTTTGAGTTTCTTTTTTTATTGTGGTTGAATAGTATCCCATTATTTGGGTGTGCCATAATTTATTTAAAGTTTTTTATTGATGAACTTTTAGATTGTTCCCATCTTTTGCTATTGTAAGAACTGCAGCAGTAAATAACCTTGCACATTCATGATTTTGCCCATGTGTGAATATATCTGTAGAAGAAACTCCTAGAATTGGAACTGCTGAGTCAAAGAGTATATGCATTTGTAATTTCAATAAATATTGCCAAATTGCCTTCCAGGATGATTATACCTATTTACACTCCCACCAGCAATGAATCACTGTTCCCATTTCTCTCTATCTTGCCAACCCTAAGGGCTGTCAAATTTTTGGATTTTTACCAATCTGATAGTGAAATATGGTATCTGGATGTAATTTTAATTTGCATTTTTTTCTATGTAGGAGTGATTTGAACATCTTTTCATATATTTATGAGTCATTTGTATTTCTTTTTCTGTGAACTATTACTCACTTTCTAATAGGGTTTTTTTCCCTCTTTGAATTCTATTTTCTCCTTATATATTAGACTGTATTGTAAATTGCAAATAGTTTTTCCTAGTTTGTTGCTGTCTCTTAACTTAAAAGAGTTGTTTTAGAGACCAATATGGGTAATTGCATTAGTGTTCCATGTTATTTTTGCCTGCATACACAGCTATGGATGAGGATAGAAAGATAGATAGGTACACACAGTTAGATAGTGTATGCATGTGTATGTATATGTGTGTGTGTGTGTGTGTGTGTATATATATATATATATATATATATATATATATATATATATATATACACACACAGGCCCTCTTTTTTTCTTGAAGCATAAATAACACCATGCGGACAATGCATGCATCCACATACAGGGCCAACCTTCCCCATAGAAAAAGGAGGAAGGCAAACATATTATCCAAAAGTGGTTCAAAGTGTTTACTGAGTTGCCTTCTAAGCACTATACATTGACACTGGCACTAGGGATGGGAAAATGACTGAGACATAGTAGGTTTACTCTAAAAGTTTATAGTTTGGTGACAAGGATGGAGAAGTTAGATGTGTAAAGAAATACAATAGGGTAGAAAACATAAAAATTAACATGTGAGTAAATAATTAAAATAAAGCAGATGAAACGTGTATATAGTCAGCTCTCCATATCTTTGCATTCTGAATCTGTAGATTCAAATGACTGAGGATCAAAAACATTTGGAAAACAAAAAAGGATGGTTGCACCTGTACTGAACATGTACAGGTGTTTTTTTTTGTCTTATGGTCATTGCCTAAACAGTACAGTGTAACAACTATTTATATAACATTGACATTGTATTAGGTATTATAAGTAACTAGAAATTATTAAAGTATATGGGAGGATGGGCACAGGTTGTATGCAAATACTATGCCATTTTATGTAAGGGACTTGAGCATCTGCAGATCTTGGTATCCGCAGGGTCCTGGACTCAGTCCTTGGAGGATAACACAAGAGAATTGTATAATTATGAAGGCAGTGATAAGGAAGAAGGGATGGGATGAGTGACTGTAACCTATAGTGATCACTAAGTCACTCTATCAATCAAAGTTCAGTGCAGAAAAGAGAAATTGCTCTGGGAGCTTCAAGCAGAAAGAGTTTAATACAGGGGATTATGAATTTACAAAACCATGGGGAGAGATCGGAGGAATGGAAGTCAGGTTGCTGACATCTGATTTCCGGTTTCTTGTTGTTCCTTTGCTGCAGCAATTGAGTGGTTAGAAAAGTGCTGGCCACTACCCCCACGGCTTCTACTTCCTGGCGGCCTCTCCCTGAGGACACTGGTGAGCAGTGAGGAGGATGTGGAGTCCAGAGCTGCCAGCACAGGTGACTGTCAGAGCTTGTTTGGCAAGTGCGGCTGCCACTTGAAGATAGCTTCCCTTGTGTTTCAGATTTGTCACAAGTGCATCTCTTTGGCTGCATCCAGAATACTCACAGAACAGCTGCAAGGGAGCCTGGGAAATGTAGTTTTATTCTTTCCAGTGCCTGTAATTCAGAGGGTGGGAATGAATGCCAAGAATTAATACTCAATTTCAGTCACCTTGGAATGAATTTATCAGATTATCAAGCATAAAGCAGGTGACTGAAGAATGGGTACATTAAATTGATACATTTTCACTAGGTCAGGAAGAAGGGATTCTAGAAAATAGGACTTCAAAGAGCCCACTTGGCAGGAGACCTGGAGGTTGAGAGTGGAAAGACTGAGGACATGCAGTTATAAAGCACGGGCAATTTATCTTGAGGAAATGTAAATTGTTTTTCATTATTATATAGGACATATAAAATAATGCTAGAAATACAAATAAAAACAACAAATGATATGATGATGAAGACAGTGTATGTGTAAATGTCTGATCAACTCTAAAGCCCTGACATAAATAATACTGCTGGTAGGTGTTATATTCTCAAGGAAACAGGTTTAGGAAAGTTAGCAACTTGCCCAAGTTCACTCTGCTGCGTATTAGTACTTGAACCGAATCTTTCTCTATTCCTCCTTTCCATTCTTCCTTCCTCCCTCTTTTTCTCCTTCCTTCCTTCTTTCCTGTAAATTACTGAGCATCTACTATCTGCTACGGTCTTTGCTTAGATGGTCAAGACAAAACCCTTTCCCTCAAAGAGGCAATAGCCTTCTAGCTTGTCTGATGTTCATTCAGGATTTTTTTTTTCCATTTCATAATACGTACCTCCCAGAATTATATTAGGAGCACTGGACTCTGTTAGGAAACTAGCCCCTTTTATCTTTATTAAGAAGACAGAAACCAAGGAATAAGCCAGTTTTAACCATGAGGCAGTAGAATCTATATTCAGATCTTCAGGACTCAGTTGAGGCAGTCAGTATGGCCTCCTTGTTGGTAAATAGATCATGTGGATTTTATACAGGATCATGTGTAAGGGCTATAGGATTTGACTCATGGGAAAAAAACAAAATGAAAGACTAAAAATGGCTTCAAAATATCACCAGGGTATTAAAGTGAAGCTAACCACATAAAAGACACATGACATTTGCCTGTGAATAGATAGACTGAGCATTTCAGTTCTTATGCTAGTTTTTAGCTGCCAGTGATTCTTGTGGCACCGATCCAAGTTTTCAGGACACTATCACATTTTAAAGTTTTCCTAATGAATTATAATAACATTTCTGTAGTTTACATCAAATTGTGTTGAATGGCATTTTTAGCAAATTGTGTCACTTTGTGAATTTCCAAATTTTACAAAATTTCTTGTGCCAAAAAATAATCAGTGAAAATGATTTTGTGTGAAACTTTTTGAAAGCCAAGTTTAGCTGATTTTGCTAAACAGCACAAGCAAACAATTTATTCAATCTTTCTCCAAGTCCTGTTTCTGTGCCTTGTTCTCTGCTTCTAGGCCCCCCTTCTTTCCCCCTTACTAAGCTTCTTTCACTCTGTTTACTGGCCTTTGTTTCTGCTCGGAGTTTGTCTTTCTCTAACATTATCAGCCCTTCCCATACCCCTCAACCCCTAACTATACCAAGCCTTGGGCGATGGTTTTGGGTTGAGGGTCACAGAGGTCATGGATTTTCCACTCAAAGAAAGAAAGAAAAAAGGGCAAAAGAAATGATCACTTTTGCTCTCTCTTTTGCCCTTGGTGCTGAGAAATTCATTTGTGAGTACCCTAGCAAGCATGGTTACTGTGGGTTTGAAACAAGCATAGTACTCACCACAAGAGATGCCATAATAATGCTGCTTAGGATAAAAGAGTGTATTTATATTTGTCTGGACTCATGTTTTAAGAACATTTCATGTGCATGGTTAGAGTACCTAAGTAGAATTTTGAGCTTGTCCTTCTGATCTATTTCCCAAACATGGAGAAAATAACGGGGAGTGCAAACAACATAGATTTTGGAGGCAGTTTTTGGATTTGAATCCTGGCTTTCCAACCACTTAATCTTCCTGAGTGTCCGTATTCTCTGTTACCAAATAGGGAAAACAGCAACTGATATAACAATAATTAGAACAATAGTTACCATTAGTCAAACAATTATTATATGCTGGGCAATCTGCTAAGTACTTGTATGTATTATTCTAAACCCTGTACAACACTAGGTAGTAGCATTATTATCCCCATTTTATGGATGAGGAGACTGAGGTAAGGAAATGTTAAATTACTTCTAGGCCACTTAGGTAAGAAGTGAAGATGGGTTTTGTCTAATTCCAAAGCCCAGTTTTTGAAACGTTATACCAGATGGACATGAGTTTTAAATGATACAACAGAGTATCAGAAATATAGGAAGGGGACATTCTTTTATTTTGTTTTGAGTTGTTTTAAGGTTAGAAATTTCAGGAAGCATAAGACAGCTCCATTTCCTGCTTTGGCGTCTTTGGAATTTTCTCTACTTATCTCCTGTATGTGGGCACAGACTGGATCACAAGACGGTGGCTGAAGGCTGTGACCTAGACCATGGGAGATAGCCAGTCAATTACCAGCTCTATTTCTTTGACCACATAAAAAAATGTGGTAAACTGTCTGGAAAATACCACAACAAACTGCAACTGGGGCACTGCCTTGTCTCAGATCAAAGATTGTAAGAGGATGTTGTGCCCCGAAGGAAGGAATACTCAGAGGGTGGAGGGTGGAGAAGGGGATGGGATTGAGACCAGAAACATCCCCGCCGTCAATTACTCTTCATTATGTCCCTAATGGAAGCCACAGAAGCTTACAGTGACTATTGCAGAAAAGCCACATAATTATAGAGCAGCAGTCTTGTGGCTTCCATGTGTGTTTTTGTGATCCTAGGCTGTATCTAGCCCACGTGCTAATTTCTACCTGCTGAATACAATTTGGTTTGCAATAAGCGATGCTTTCGAGAACTTTCTCAGCAACTCATCTTAAGGCAGGATTTTTGTCTAAACCACGTGAAGCCAGAGAATTCTCACAAACATCTGATGGGTATGTTTTGCTTAAGGAGAATAATGAGACTTCTGCAGAAAAAGTCGTCTGAAATGAACTGTGGCAAGTGCTTTAGGTATGTCTGTAAATTTGGGCTTCTGCGAATTTAGTTATGCCTTTTAGATCACAGTTTGTGAAATCACAGTGGGTTTTTTTTCCCTGAGGTTTCAGGATGTTTTTGATGATTTCATGACCTTTTCCCTAAATAGCACCTATTACTTTGATACAGAATTTTTGAAGTGCTTCACAATCTTTTGCTATTCCCTGGGGTCTAGGCCAACATTCTTATCGTCTCTATTTTAAGATGAAACACAGAGAGTTTAAGTGACTTGCCCATGGGCTCCCAGCAAGTGGGTGTCTGTGCTGGACACAAATTTCTTAAGCTTTTGGCTTTAGATGAGTTCACTGAGCTACGTATTTCCCCCAGCAATTATTTATACACATTATGTGTCTGACCTGGATATGCTGGTGCTTATTTTCCATTTGCATAATGAGGAATACATCAGGCATCCAAGAAGGAAGGTGGCCTCAACATAAGGGGCTGAGTCCTAATGTGGACCTGGCTTTCTAGGTTCAGGGAGGGTCAGGGAGCACGGGCACCTTGTACTTGGCGCAGGACTGGAATTGAGCATTCTGGGTAGAATCTAGTCAGAGCGAAGTGAAGCCCATGAGCTGGCTATGCCTCCAGACAGAAAAGCAGAGGGGTCGTTTTCTTGCTGGGTCTTTCCAAATGTAAAATACAGTTCAACTGTGGAATCCTTTTCTACCTTTTAGGCAACCAGAGAGGGATCTTTGAGAAATACTGTGGGTAATGAAGCTTATATTCAGGTACAACAACAAATATAGGATCTAGGTGAGGAGAGAAACCTGTTTTTTGTTGTTTGTTTTTGTTTTGCCTCTTGAACTCAGGAGGATACATCATAAAGGGTATTTTTAAAAATATGCAGGGATAATTAAATATCATAGTTTGATAAGTTATTTCTTTTTAATTGACTTTTATTAATCATTTTTTAGATTATAAAATGATCTTGTCCTATTATAAGCTAATTCAATAAACTTTAGGAAATATAAGTAGAGACAATAAAATACAATCACCCTGAATTTCACAACTCAGGGGTAACCTTTATTAACATTTTGGCATATTTTTCTCTTTTTTAAAAAATATGCCTCACTTTGCATCAGGCTCTGTTAACAAAAAGGTGGGGGAGCTGACTTTTTTCTTTTTGACAATAATTATATATTTAAATAAATTATATAATTTATTACCTATTTTATATACACATAGGATTATACTATGCATATTGCCTTATAACCTGCTTTATAAACTTACATTTAATATATTTTGAATATCTTCTCTCGTTATTAGTCTTCCCCAGTATCATTCCTGATGACTGCATAGCACTTCATTGCATAATCGTGTCATCATTTGTTTAACCAGTTCCTCATTGCTAGATATTTATGTTGTTTCCAAGTTTTCCAGGTTATAGACAAGCTATGATGAAGATGTAAATCTTACTTATAACAGCATCAGATCATATATTTTATCTGTATCTTCTGGAAGACCTGAAACATAAGGTTGTCAGCAATATTAATGCTGTATTAATCTTTTAACAGGAAAACTTGAGATGAAGAAATGGCTTTGAGTCTAGCCAGGGCTAAGGTGATAATATGTCAAACAGTAAAGTGCTCATTCTCATTGACTAGAAATGCAGACAAACTCAATAAGCTAAGAGCCATATGTGGCTAAGGAAATATATTTCTCATATAGCAGACTAGATAATGGTAGACTAGTATTTAATTAAGATACTGAATACAACCCTTAACAAGTGTTAAAAAGTAGGTAACTTATTTGTATACATTTGAAGTGTGCTGAAGTAGTTGTCAGGACATAAATGTTTCAGTTCAGTCATCTTTGAAGTGGCCTTCTCAAGGCACATTTCCAAACTAAAAACCAAACTAAACAAACAGAAAACCCCCAACTCCCAAACAATAACTACCAGCACAAAACCTCCCAAAACTCCACATTTTGTTTCCTTCATTTGATTTTCCATTAGTAAGATCTGATTCTACCTTTAAAAATTCTGTAGATCTCACTAAATGTTTTTAGAAAGATCAAGTTACCTCATGCAATTTTTTCTTGTATAGGTCTGTATTGCTAAAGAAACACACTTTTTTTTGTATCATTTATTTTAAGCTGAAACACTTTTGTGAACATTAAAAGAAGCCTATTTAAATTTTACCCATTCTTACCTCAGCTTTTTTTTTCTCTCCAGATTATTATTATTATTATTATTTTTTGCACATATATTTTCTCTGACTTTCAAGCCAGGACTGATGATGACTTGACTGGCAGACATGAATGTCTGGGCTGAAGAGACGTGATCTTAGCAAATTGCAGCAATTCTATAGACTGAAGCAATCAAAAGCATGCATTTTTGACAACTCGGACATTTATAGTTTGTATCTTCTATACCAGGACCCAGAAGTGACATAATGATGTCAGCTTTCCCCCCAGATAGTTTGGATGGCTCTGTGAACATGGTTAGAGAATACCATGTTTTGTTTTCCTTCTCCTTGGGGTGACCATTGTCTCCCGTTAGTCCTGTGCTCAGTGAGTCATTAATTAAACCCAGAATCTTTATAAGTGACCTGTTGCGGCATTGAGGTTTATTCCCAACTTATTCTGCTTCACCGCATAATATTCGGTCAATGTGCCTTGTTTTTATTTTTTAAAAATTTCGCTTGTTCTTCCTTACACCACGAGGATTCATTTTTGAGATGGAGAGCAAAAGGCTAGGTTAAGAAAAACATAGCCACCTCCAGAGTGCAAAAACTGCAATAAACCCATCACCTCTAACAACAGCAGAGCATGAAAAGATAAAAAACAGCCTGCCAAGAATGTAGTAACCACCCATTCACTTTTAAATGCTCTCCACACTTCAATGCACAGACCTAATTACTTTTCTGCATTCCCAAATCCACTTTGCCCATACTGCAATCAGAAACCTGGCGTTAAAATATTTTAGACTTGGAGGATCAAGACTAATTACGGGCCTTAGCTGCACCTTTTGGTTTTTCTCCCCCGTTCCCCCTCCTCTTCTTTGGGTTACTTTAAAGCACGCTCCACTGGAAGAAAGGCTGCCCAGTCCCAGTGGGGGGTGAAGCAGAGAGAGAATAAAACAAAGAACAACTCAACTCAATTCAGTAAGCTTCAATGAAGCTGGTATATTTAATGTGAGCCCAGGGTTAGCCCACAGAATTGTGGCAGAATGCAATATTCTCAACAAAAAAAGATGTGTTTAAGGTCGGGTAAGGCCCCATAAGGCTGTTGTTGGTGTTTAAGCAGTCCACTGAGGTATTTAGCACCAAGGGTTTCTAAACATTCCAGCTGAGAATTAAACCGCAGCTTTACAGTAGCTGCTTAAAGGTTTGGGGGGCTGGGAGCGTCCCCTCCCCCTTGTATTGAAAGGTCAACAAACAGTAGGAAAGATCATGTCATAACAAAGATGAAGTCACCTATTATTGAGTATAGTGACAGCTAATAGCACTATCAGAGGAACTAATCCAAGGTATTAAATAGTGTAATTGTTAAAATAATATCATGGTTATTAGAACACCCAAGCATGAGACGTTCTTCATGTTACGTAACATGAAAGTTTTACAGGTGAGCTTAACTTTCCTGTGACAGGCACTTGCTATAAATATGTAAATATTAGAAAATTGCCTCCGTACTACAATTTTCCTGTAGCATACAGAATGCATTTTTGATATGCAGATGTAATGTTTCATGGCATTTACTAAACTACTTTTGGGTAATTATGCCAAGACTTACACTCTTAAAAAGCTTTCATTCACACAAAATAATTTACTGTGAAAGTTGGTGTTAATGTTTTACTTTGTTCAAGCATTTTTAGTTTCACGGATTTAATAAGACAAATACACACAAAAAAGCACAGTTTCTCGAAGATGAATTCCTGAAACAGCTAAGGGAGGCTGAATGCTGATAGAATTAACTTCATGGAAATTTCAGCTCTAAGTTTGAATTCCAGTGTTATGAAACTAGATCTGGGCATAGATATCAGGTTTATAGAACTATTATTCAGAATATTAGGAAGAAATGTGGTCACCTTGAAGGAGTACAAATGTCACAAAAACAGAGGAAACCTCAACATCAACTACCAAAATTCTTCTCTATTTCTTTTAGTTTCCACTAGTAAAGAATCCAGATCACAAGTTGTGTTGTAGGAGATGGTTAAAACCAATAGGATGCTTCAGGTAGTCAGAGCTTGCAGGACACTTAAAAAAAACAATGCAGGTCGGACGCGGTGGCTCACGCCTGTAATCCCAGCACTTTGGGAGGCCGAGGCAGGCTGATCACGAGGTCAGGAGATCGAGACCATCCTGGCTAACAGGGTGAAATCCCGTCTCTACTAAAAATACAAAAAATTACCCGGACGTGGTGGCGGGCGCCTGTAGTCCCAGCTACTCGTGAGGCTGAGGCAGGAGAATGGCGTGAACCCAGGAGGCACAGCTTGCAGTGAGCCGAGATTGTGCCACTGTACTCCAGCCTGGACGACAGAGTGAGACTCCATCTCAAAACAAAAACAAAAACAAAAAACAAAGAAAAGATGCAAGGGGCACATCCATTGGCTCACAACTACCAATTAACCCTTCTTGTTATATAGGTAATTTATTCCTCTCAAAGGCATTAAATATCAGAGAAATCACAGGCCAAAACAGTAATTATCTGCAGGGAATCCAAAGGCTTGAAAGCCAATAATTCTGAAAAAATAAAAACAGAGTTCTTTTCACTGTATAGACTTCATCTTAAAACCTATAATAAGAGCCAGACACTGGCTGTGAACCTTTAAACTTCAAGGTTAAAAAAGAGGTTGCAGAAGGCAAAGACAATAATCATGGGCTTTCTACATAAAACTCTCTGGAAGTGGAGGTCAAAGACCAAACATTCTGAGCACCCGCTCTATTGCACAGTGTCCTGATCCAACGTGGAAATGAAGGCTGGATTGACCAAAAGTGGGAATGGGGGAAAATATTAAATTATGGAGCTAAAGAATATGACAATAAACTCCATTTAAAAAGCCTAGCAGTTTAATTTGAATTTTTAAAGCTTGAGTGAAATAAAATAATCTTTTCTTGGATAAAAAAGTAATCACAGAATTTCTTAAATGTCATGGCAAACTCTTCTTAAGAAAAGCATTTATTCTTAACATCTCATCTCCTTTATGCTACATTCATATTTTATAAGGTCTAGTCTTGGAAATCTATAGCTAGTGGATTTGGGTATTGAATATTTGACAATGATGCTCTCTTTTAATTGTACTTTCTCTTAATTGTACCCTCATTTTTTTTTTTACCTTTTTCTATGTTTTTGCTGTATTAAAAAGAAAAAAAAATGAAGGCCCTAACTCAACCCTGTAATAAATCATTTAAGTTTTATCTAGATATTCCTAGTAGAAATGTACTAGCATTTTGTGTTTCCACCCTTTCAACTCATGGCTTCTTCATATTCTGTAGGGGGTCTTGACTTTTACACATTTACTACCAGTTTCATAGAAATTCATAGTGGTAACACCTACTTTTCACTTAACAAGGTCAAGGCACAAATCCACATGCCTAATTTAAATGATTCCCTTCTTTTTTTTTGCATCATTATAAATCCATACCAGATGTTAGGGAAGAAAGAACGTAATTCCCTGTAGTTCAGTTGCTCTAACTACCTCTGATGATTCTCTTGTGGACTTGGGAGACCAGATTTGTGTTTTCTATAGTAAGCTTTCCCAATGCAATAGAACTTTCCAAGATTTCTGTTTTTGTCCTAAGTTAGGTTAATGTTAGAATTGGACGCAGCTGCTGTCCATGACAATCTAAGATACCAAATCAGGTCACTTTGCAGACTGAATAAGAATAAGGTTCTTGGGTGATGTTTGAGGACAGTTGACAAATTTATGTACAAGTAATTGTGCAGCCCAGCTGCCATCCAGCAGTGACTTAGTGGACACCTCCTGGTATGTCCAAGGGGTTCCAACTCCAAGAGATTGGGCTAGATCACTTTGATGCTCCCTTCCAATGCTGAATGTAGTGCTATAATCTGTCCAACTTAGATCAAGGCATTTTATTATACTTAAGAGAGCACTTTATTTTCTGACTTTAGGTGTGTAACAAAATTCTTAAATTACATTTATTTTAGTAATTAAATATAAAATTGCCTGTATCTCAGCTGGCAGGAATATTAAAATTCTCATACAGCCAATGCTGAAGTGCCATTTTTAGCATTTCAAATCACTTAACACATTTTAATTCTCTCATGTGTTCCTTTTTCAGGGGTTTCAGCAGAGAAATAGTGGCTACTCCTATTCAAAAATGGAAAGCAAGAGCATAGATAATGAGAATGCTCCTCATAGCCTGCCTGCTCCTCAGAAGTCAGATACTGAACATTTTGTTATGTTAACTAAAACAGAACAAGAGATGAACAAAATGAAACTCCTCTTGTCGACTTGTGGACAGGTAGAACATCTCAGTGGCCATTTAAGCTACTTAGTCAAATGACTCACTTTCTACCCTTTTCTCTAAGTTGGTGACTCTCATCTTTCTATTTTCATTCCTGCCCAAAGGTTGAATCATTTTGTACAACTCTCTGCAGCACATTGTTACTTGTATGTCCTAGTGTCACATGGAGCTCAATAAACTTAGAATTAAACTCATTCTGTTTCTCCGTTTGGCACCTCCACTGGGGTGTTTATTTCCTTCCAACTCAAAGGTTTTGCTGGTTTCTGTCCCAGATCTGGATGCCCATCTTCCTTCCTGGCTCAGCACTTACAATTATCAGCAGTATTGCCATTGTCTAAGTTTCCCACATTCAAAGCCCTGAAGGCATTTTTAACTCATTGCTTCCCTTCATGCTTCAAATTATTATGTTCTGAAAATTTTTCCTTTAGAGTTAGTGCTGTGATGTTGTTCCTTTCTGTTCCACAGTAATCAGACAGCCCCAGACACTTGTCATCCCTTACCTGAATTAATGCAGCAGTCTTCCAGAAGTTCTCTGTCTGCCTCTCCCCTCTCTAATTCTGCTGCTAAACAAATGTTTGTAACACCCACTCCTCTGCTCAAAAGCCTGCAATGGCTGTAAATTTCCCAATATCGTGCCTAAACTCTGCTGCTTGAGTTTCTTCCTCCATCTTAATTCTGGAATCATCTTTACCAGGATACCCAAGTCTTATTGCTGTGTAGCCTGGCCTGTCTTGGCATTCTTGATTTTACTAATTCTCAGCTTTCTACTGTGGTCCTTTCTCTTCCTGTTTACTTCCTCAAATCCTAACCACTGTCCAGCCTCTTCCCTGTGAGATTTTTCTGCTTGTTTCCATTCACTTTGATTCCCTTTCATTTGTACTACTACGTCGCGTCTTGTCTTTAGATTTGATGATCATCATGGCAGCTTAGGTAGAATGGAAAGAACCCTGGATTGAAGGCAGATAAACTCAGTTCCAAAACAGATTTCAACAACATATTAACTCTGGAGCTGGAACAAGTCATTTCACCTCTCTGTGTCTTTCTTGCCTTTTCTATAAAATGGGGATGTTAACAAATGAGGTAGAAAATGATAAGAAATGTGAAAGCACTGGCATGTAACAATATCATAAGTGTTATTTAAATTTGATTCTTCAAAATTGTTTTCAACTACTTTATATCTGTTTGTATGTCTTCTGAATTTGGCTTCTGGAGAGTGAGTATTGTGTTTTATGTTCCTCTTGCCTTCTAAAAGCCCTGGATATTGTTATGTAAAAATTTGCAGCCAATAAATAAATCTGGAATAAAACTTGTATTTTGGTAACTTGGCCGAGAGTTGTCCAACAAGACATGTGAAAGCTAGTTCAATCTCAGACTTTGAAAATACCAACAGTAGAAACAAATGAACAAACCACAGCCATCTAAGACTTAAGTCTTGTATAGAGACATCTCACCCACACAAATTCTTTGGACAAAATGTTACAGCTTTATATAAACTATTAGACCTGATAAAAATATAAGATATCATTTACTGAATAGTTCATCCAGTTTTCTTATAAACTAAATATATCAGTTGTAAAGAAATAAAATAAAGATCTGAAGACATCCTAACCACCTCTACCCAGTGTTGTTTCTAATAAATATTTACTATTCCTTCATAGATTATTCTTTTATTTATTTAGCATATATATATATATATTATTTTTAACTAAGGGCAGGTGTTGTTCTAGCACTTTACAATTATTAATTCACTTCATTCTCACTATCTACGAGGCGGACAGTGTATTATGGTTTTTTACTGATAAGAAAACAAATGCACAGAGGGCTGAGCAACATGTCGAGGGTTGCACAGGTAGGAAGGTTGGACCGAGATTTGAAACCACGCAGGCAATTGGCTCCCAGAGTCCCATCCTTTCAACCAACAACCTGTGGTGCTTCTTTTGAATCTTTTATGTTTTTGTACTTTTCTCCTTGTTTGTACCACTTTCATCGACCCTTGAATGATAGCTAGCAAAGCTCTAGGATA
Organism: Homo sapiens; assembly: GCF_000001405.40. Lineage (NCBI taxonomy): Eukaryota > Metazoa > Chordata > Mammalia > Primates > Hominidae > Homo > Homo sapiens. Next base: position 93,294,574 of record NC_000005.10, on the reverse strand, counting down.
CCATAAATATTACTCACAGTAATCACACTCTGCTCTATGCCTTGACCTGTTGGGTTGGAGGTGGGGCTGTCATACTCTCAGAGGAAAAATCTTCACAGGTTTATGGGGTTGGATAATTAATTTCTCTTTTATGGGAGGGTAGAGGTTGTTCCTCTCATACACAGAGGGTGTTTTGCTTTGCCTCAGAAATTAAGAAAGGAAAGGAGAGTTGACTCAATTGATAGTCATTCTTCTGGTTACCACCAAGAATTTCAAAATGCATGTAAATGCAGTGTCAGAACAGAATTGCCTCAGGCAACATATTTCAAAAGGTGGATTTGATGGCAGCAAATTATATCAAGTTGGCCAGTTTATTTAAGTATATTTTGCCAGTACCAAACTAGTTGCCTGAATTGTAACTTTAGATTAGAAGCAGTTTGGCACTTCCTGAGGAGAGGACTTAAAATGGCCAATGTGTTCAAATAGCCTATTTTTCTAGAGCTTTCTCATGTTTAGGTCATGGGTCATCATGCCACTGATGTCACATTGTTTCTCCTTTTTTTTCTGTTGGGATATTTCTACCTGCTTCTATTTCACAGTAATATGGATGCTGCAATTTATCACTCAGGTGCTCAGAGAAGTTACCATTACTTCTGATGTTGTTATAGTTTAGCAGGTTTCTTACCTCAGCCTAATTAGTTTGGGCCTCTCATGTAGAAGGGCCTGCTAATTTCTTATTAGCCTTTGCAGTCACATTGTATACTCATAGGAGAACTGATGCGGTTTGGCTCTGTGTTCCCACCCAAATCTCACCTTGAATTGTAATAATTCCAAAGTGTCAAGGGCAGGACCGGTGGAGATAATTGAATCATGGTGGTGTTTCCCCCCATGCTGTTCTCATGATAGTGCATTAATTCTCATGATATCTGATGGTTTTATAAGGGGCTTGGCTTCTCCTTTCAATCAGCACTCATTCTCTATCCTGCTGCCTTGTGAAGAGGTGCCTTTCGCCATGACTGTAAGTTTCCTAAGGCGTCCCCACCAATGTGGAACTGTGAGCCAATTAAACCTCTTTTCTTTATAAATTACCCAGTCTTGGGTATAGCAGCATGAGAAAGGCCTAATACGAGAACCTAGCTCAATGAGCCATTTTTGTCTGCAAAGAATTTTATAAGCAAATAGAGGCTGGCTACTCGGGAGGCTGAGGCAGAGAACTGCTTGAACCTGGGAAGCGGAGGTTACAGTGAGTCGAGATCATGCCACTGCACTCCAGCCTAGGCGACAGAGCAAGACTCCATCTCAAAAAAAAAAAAAAAAAAGAGAGAAAATAGAGGCTGGGTGCAATGTCTCACATCTGTAATCCCAGCACTTTGGGAGGCTGAGGTGGGCAGATTACTTGAGCCCAGGAGTTTGAGACCAGCCTGGCAAGAGGGTGAAACCCTGTCTCTACAAAAGAAAAAAAAAATTAGCCAGGTGTGGTGGCGCATGCCTGTAGTCCCAGCTACTTGGGAGACTTAAGTGGGAGGATCATCTGAACTTGGGGAGGTCAAGGCTGCAGTGAGCCATAATTGCACCACTGCACTCCAGCCTGTGTGACAGAATGAGAGCCTGTCTCAAAAAACAAAAAGAAAGAAAATAGAAATACTTTTAATTGTAAGAAGTATTTTAAAACCCAGATTCCTGTTTTATAAATGTAGATTCTAATGGGGTTTTAAAAGTCACTATTTTACATTTGCTAAAAATAACCCATATGTGTTATTGGTAGGTTTTCAGTCTAGGCCTACACTTTACTCTTCATAAAGGTAAAAGGGGAGGGTTGATACCTTCTCATTCTTCAGTACATGGAAAGGCTGTTGCTTTCATTAATTAAATATCTGTGTAATTCTCAAGGCAAAATGGCTGTTAATAAAAAGCATAGTAGAGGGTATCATTATCAGTCTGCAAACTCAGATGTGGAAGAAATATCGTATTTCTTTGTTTCTTTGGGATAACTACCATCCATCTCCTAGCCATCTTGTGAGCCTGACAAAAAGGATAGTCCCAGATTTAGGGTTTTCTCTTTTGCTGTCTCCTATGTTGTGCAAAGGCCCCAGATGCACTGTGTACTCTCTGACCATCACTGGCCTCTGAGGTAATTACCTTTAAGACATCCATTCTGTCAGTCTGGATATTCACTGCTGATCAGGAGGGTTTTTTTTTTTTTTGCCTTACTTCTGTACCAGGAATCTTTGCCAAGCCTATGAGACCCTGTGTTTGCAATCTGGTCTTATAAGCCACACAAAGCCCTCCTTTCCTCATCAACCTGGGTCTTGACCTTTTGCAAACACTACCATGGAACAGTGCAGGGATCCTACTCCTCGCAGTAGCCCCTGGGCTTTGACCTCCTTGCATTGCATGGGAACTCTCCCTCTTACTCTTCTCAAAGCCATTTCTGTCTCTTCACAATAAGTTCAAACTTTCACAAAAGACATGAAGAGCAATTGTCTTCTGCAGCTTTTGCTTTTTGCTCTGTCACAAACCAACCTAGAGTTAAGAGAGCCCAAAACCTGGCCCCTGGTAGAAATGGTAGGGGAATGAGGGTGGGAAAGATAAATGAAGAATTAAACCAAAATGATTCCTTGGTTAATAATTCTACCACCCTATGACGTAAATAAACAAATGCTCTTGTGCTAGCCTTCCCTTTACTTATGTTATGTCATAACATCTCACCTCAGTCCCACGAGGACAGATTATTGTCTCCATTTTACAGATGAAGTGTTGTTCAGTTACCCTCCTACAGCGAGCCACGAGGCTGCTGAGGACTAGCCCAGGGTTTCAATTCACTGTCAGCCTCTAATGCTGATACTCTCTTTAAAAACATGCCTCAAATGTGAGACTGACCCAGATTTTTCTTTCTGTTCTTTTCTTTTTGAAGAAAGCATTTCCATCCCTAGGGTATTTCTGCCATATTAATAATGTAAATGGAATCTGACGGTCTCTTTTGCCTGGGCTTCTGTGGGCTGCCTGCCTTCCTGAGGCATCACTTCGAAGTCCTAGAGAGGTTTATTCTGCTAATCCCTTTAGGGCAGAGTTTCCCCAAAGGATGCTTCCTGAAGGGGTGTGTGGTATTTCAACCTGTGCTAGGTGAGTGTTCTTAAATGTCAGCGTGCTTCTTGATCATCTGAAGGTTTGTTAGAACACAAATTTCTTGGCCTCACCCCCAGAGTCCCTGATTCCATGAGCCGGAGGTAGGGCCTAAGAATTTGCATTTCTAACAAGTTCATAGGGGATCAGAAGCTAGTGGTCCAGAGAACATACTTTGGGAACCAGTATTCTAGGTGGTAATGGCATCTTTAATTTAATTTAATGGCACGAACATGTGCAGTTCAGTAGAGTAAGATGAGTGTTCTCAGGCCTCCATTACTCAAGGGATTCATCTCAGCTCCATATTGCTAACTACTGTAGAGGTTAAATATTATCCAGTTTAAAAAGGTTTCTCTCCAACATAGATTATTTAATTTACACCTATAATGAACTGTTCCTTAAGGACAAGAAACACACAAAACATAAGGATACTGAAACGCAACAAGTTTGAGGAGGAGTATAGAAATGATAATTATTCTGCAAATTTTCCTCAAGATACTCTTCGACAGTTGCATATGTTGTATTCATCTGATCAAATTCTTGTACAGGAACCAAAATTAGTTTAGTACTGTATTTAAAAAGCTAATGTTAAAAAGAGAAAATATAGCTTTCCAGTTGACTTTTCATTTACAACAGCATACTCCAGTGTAGTTTAATTTCTATCCACATTTAACTGTACTCATATAAAAACATGTTACTTTAAAATTGTGTTACTCAAGAAAATCATGCTCTTTACTACACAGATTGAAGTTCATTAAATAACATAAATTTCTTGTTAAATGTGAAAAACTAAAAAAAATTGTTTATATAAAATAAATTGTCAAATAATTCATTAAAATGAAATATATAACACTAATAACTCACTAATCTAAAATAAAAATATACCACTCTTTAGGATATAAGATGCAAAAATTATTTATAATATTGCTAAGGATGCTCAAGAGGGTAAATAATCAGACTTCTGTCCTCTTAACACACGCTGAGCTCTGGCTACCACCCTGCTGATTTTTCTTTGCTATCTTCGTGCCTCTCCCCTGACCAGGCATGCCATTCATGAGCATTTTTTATCTTCCAAATCCTCCTTCTGTTATGAGAATGAATATTTTCTGCCTAGTTAAATTGTGCTGAAATTGACACTTGTTTATGTAATGTGTATTTCTGCCACTGAATTGTGAGCTCTCCGCTAATCATCTTTGTGACCTCCTTATTTAAGATAGTCAGTGTTACACTTTTAAAGAAATGGAGTGCCTTCAGGTCTATTATTCCATTGAATCCCCACAGCAATTCTGTAAGGGTGGTATTTGCCTTGTACTGAAAGCAAAGTGACTACAGAAAATGTCAAGATACATTGCATAGCGGCACTAAGGAGAATTGCAGAACTAATAGGAAACCATGGCATCAAGCCAAAGCAAATTGACAAGCAAAATATAGGTAAAGAAACAGGCTTCACAAAATGATTGTTGCTACAGACTAGGGAAAAGTCATTCCTAGTAACTGGGGTAGCAGGGTCTTCTGGCATACATTTTGGGAGGATGTATCTATGTATGGAGATGCCGTGGGTAGTGATGTCTTCTGTCATCTGTGAGGAAACATGCCTGTCTTCTGAAGAAAATTGCCTTATCTGTAAATAGACAGATTAATGCTGCACAATTATGAGGGGTTGGTTATGGACACTTGCAATGGGTTGGTTTCATTAGGATGACTTATGCTAACTAGTGCTAGGTAGAAGAGAACAAAATCATGCAAGTAAAAGTCAAGGCAAGCTAAGTTTATTAAACTTCACCAAAGCAAGACTTTTGATATTTATATTTCTTTCTTTCTAATGCAGGGAGACGGTGTCCTGGCAAGAGCCCCAGGATGCCCTGACTTTGTCATCTCTATGACTTTGAGTAAACTTGTTCATTTCTTAGGACCTCATATTCAAAATGGATTAATGAAATCTGCCCTATATGGGGTCTTGTGAAAATAATTTGAGGCTGGGTACGGTGGCTCATGCCTGTAATTCCAGCACTTTGGGAGGTTGAGGTGGCCAGATCAACTGAGGTCAGGAGTTCAAGACCAGCCTGGCCAACATGGCGAAACCGTGTCTCTACTAAAAATACAAAAATTAGCTGGGCACGGTGGCACACGCCTGTAATCCCAGCTACGCGGGAGACTGAGACAGAAGAATCTCTTGAACCTGGGAGACAGAGGTTGCAGTGAGCCAAGATCAATAGAGCAAGACTCTGTCTGAAAAAAAAAAAAAAAGAAAGAAAAAAATTTGAAGTAACTTGTATTAAAGTAATTGTATATAAATAATATAAATAAAACACTTGAATTATTTATTTTATGCTAAAGATATAACACATTCTAATAACTTAAAATTATATTTTTATTGCTTTGTTTTGTTTTTCTTTAAATACCTACTTCTTGTAGACTGAATTTCTGCTCTGGTCCTCTCAAGTTCTTCCTAGGTTTATATTTGAACATAACTACATGGGTTCTCATGGTTGGGACCTGGCTGCTGGCCTCCTCTGACATCGATAACTTTGTATGCTGCCTGCTATGAACTGAATTGTATTCCCTCAGATTTAGTGTTTAAGTTTAAGTTCTAATCCCTAGTCTTTCAGAATGTGACTGTTTCTGTATTTGGAGGTAAGGTCTTTAAAGTGGCAGTTAAGGTTTCATAAGATCATTGGGGTGGGCCCTAATCCAATCTGACCGGCATCCTTATAAGAAGAGGAGATAAGGACACAGAACCAGAGAGAAAAGACACAGAAAGACAGGCATCTGCAAGCCAACTGCACTGAAACCTTCATCTCAGACTTCGATCCTCCAGGACTGTAAGAAAATAAACTTCTGTTGTTTAAACCATCTAGTCTGTGGTACTTCATTATGGCAGCCCTAGCAAACCAACACACTGCTCCTGTCACAATACGTCAGCAATCTGCCAGGATGTACATTTATAGTCCACAGAAGGAAGTTTTGGAGGTACCGACCTGTCTTGATTTTCTCCTATTCTCTGTTGCTGGGACCACTCTGGACTTTTTTCTTTGCTATATTTGGTTTCCGGGCCATCTTTTCATTGAAACTTGAAATAGGTCCAGAGGATAAAAAGTCTATCAACATTAAAAAAACATTTTCCCCAACATTATATAGTGAGTGTGAAACTAAAGAAACCCAAGATTTGGGGAAATTTCTAAGGTCAAAGCAAAAATGTCCAGGCATAGGAATAAGACAGATGGGACTATCCTGCAGAATGATAACAGCATCTCGTGAAGAGTTTATTGAAAAGTAGTAGCATCATTAACTTTCAAAATCTACATCCAAATAATATTATACTATTGTATAATAGTGTAAGAACTTAAACAATAACTTCTATTTCCTCTCTTCAATTCTTTGCACTATCATTGTCATATGTTTCACTTTTACATATATTGGTAAATCCCATAATACGTTGTTAATATTTTTGCTTTATTCAGTCAGTTATCTTTGAAAGAAATTATAAAATTTAAAAAGTGTGTATATTTACTACTTTTTAGCACTTTTCATTCCTTTGTGTAGGTCCAAATTTGTATCTGGTATCATATTACTTTTATTGGAGAAACTTCTTTTAACCTTTATTATAGTGTAGGTTTGCTGGCAATGAAGTTTCTCATTTTTTTGTTTATAGGAAAGAGGCTTTATTTCTCTTTCATTTTTGGAAGTTATTTCCCTGGATATAGAATTCCGGGTTGGCTTAAAAAATTTTTTAGTACTTAAAAGATAGCATATTGTTTTCTTCTGATGATCACAGTTTCTAAAGAAAAGTGTGTTGATATTGTTTCCCAGCATATAATTTATTTTTTTCCTCTAAATACCCTCAAGACTTTATCTTTGATTTTCAACAATTTGACCTATAATGTATCTATGTATTCACTCCCTCACTCCTTTCTTTCTCTCCTTTTTTCCTCTTCCCTCCCTCCCTCCCTCCTTCTCTTTCTCTCTTTCTTTTTTTTTTCATTCTGCTTGGGGATCTCTAATATTCTTGGATCTACAATTTGTTGTAATTTTTTAGCTTTGGATAATTCTTAGCCATTATCTCTTTAGATATTTCTTCTGTTTTTGTTTTTTTCTGTTTTTCACTCTATTTTTTCTCTTTGTGTTTTAGTTCGGATAATTTCTATTGGTCCGTCTTCAAGTTCACTGATTATTTCCTCTGCTATGTCCAGTTTGCTGATAGAACTGTTGAAGGCAGTCTTCATTTCTGTTGCCATGTTGTTATCTTAGCATTTCTAGTTGGTTTAAAAAATAATTTCCGTCTCTCTGCTGGGATTCCCATCTATTTGTAAATATTGCTTACTTTTCCTACTAGATCCTTTAACATAATAATCACATTATTATAAAGTCCTTATCTAGTAGTTCCAATATTTGGGTCATCTCTAGGTCTGGTTCTGTTAATGACTTTACCTCTTGACAGTGGGATTTCTTTCCTTGCTTTTTTATGTCTTGTATTTTTAAACTGAATGCTGAATATGGTATGCAGGAAAACACACAGTGAGGTCATCAGTATTTATATTTAGAAATGGGCATATCTCTTTTTCAGTCAGAACATTAGTATGGGAGGTTTAATCAATCAGAAATAAAGTTTGATTTTTGTTGCTGCTATAGTTAGCTGTCTGCAGTGCAACACAGTCTCAATTCCTCCAGCATCGAGCTTCTTCTACCTTGTTTATAGGGGACCCAGAATCTGGAGAGTTTTCATTACTGTTCCTGCTCTACTAGCAGCTTTTAACAGGCCTCGCCCCCCTGTGCCATAGAGTGTCTCCTATTGTATTCTTTCCGCTCCTTTAATGGAAGACTGCTATTCTTGTTATTTAATATGAGATTTGTGGTAGAAACAGCAAATTCTTGGTTCTACTGGTCCATCCTCATTCTTAGGCAAGTCTTGTGTTCTTGTACCTCAGTGTGGGGCTTCTCACTCTGCTTTGTATCAGAGGAGGTCTTGGGAAAAAGAATTTGCTGCCCCTCCTCCAGTGGTAGCAGATCTCACCATTGTATGAGCACAAAAATCTGAGCCAGAGCAGATTTTATGCCTCTCTCTTAGGGACATACAGGTTTTACTTCTATTTCTCCTTCAGTGGTAGTGTACTTTTGCCTGGAGCCAGTGGAAAGGATGGTACCCTTCCCTTAGTGGGCTTTACTTAGTTCAATATACCTGATCATGGCATTTGTGGGGGCAGTTTCTTGTCTCTTTGTTAGGGGCAGACAACTTTTGTTTCTATGTTTCTACCTTTTCATTAGTGAGAAGTTTCTTCTTCTTCTTCTTTTTTTTTTTTTTGCCTGGGACATGGGACAAGGGCATTTTGGACACCTCTCCTAGAGACAAACAGTGGATCTTTGCCTGGGCCCTGAGAGGGGGCAGGGTTTCCTGTCCCTCGTCTAGAGACTGAATGCTTTTGCTTTCTATGAAATAAGTTGCTGAGGGTTTGGGGCCTCTACTCCACCAAGGGTGACCTCCTGCAGATTTTCTGCTTTGCTCCAAAGCTTTCTCAGGAGTATCTGGTATGGAAAAGAGCTTCCAAGTAAGTGCAGACTCCTCTTCTATCTAGAGCTCCCAGGATTCCAAGCTTTCATGTTAGCCCACATTAGGCCTTTAAAAATTTGTTAAAATTTTAGCTTTCTTCTCACCCACTTTTATGTTTGCCGCCTCTTTCCCCCATGTTCTGCCAAAGGCAAAACAATTCATGTGTCCTGTTTATCCTCAGAGAGGATTGTCACCTTTTAGAATCAGTTACTTCTAAAGGTGGAAGTTTGTCTTTCCAATTCAGTTTTCTGGTGAGATGTAGATGACTCAGCTTTTTCTCATTGTTGGAGTAGGAGCAATTTTTCTTGCAGCATTTACATCCTAAGCCTTACCCCAAACTTGGATTGGGATTTCAAAGGCTGAGTAGCAGACAAGAAAATAGGGATGGTAGGGCAATGGAAAGCATCCTGAATGAAGGCATAAAATGTGAAAAGGTAAAGAGGCAAAAGCAAAAGTTTCTGTCTGTGCAAAATGATTCATCTTTTCTAATTTATTTTGGGAGTCAATGGCAACATGGAATTTAGTTTATAGATATTATCCTACAACCAACTTGACTAGTCCATATCTATCTATGGGAGAGAAAACTGTATTTTTATTATTTAGGATTGTTTTAGTATGGATATACTTGACTTTGATTAATTTGGGGGGCTGTCTGAAATATTGTGCAGTAATTAGGTTGATTGCTGGGTATGGCTTATGGAATCAGTCTTGTTGGTCTGAGCATATAAATTATGCTTCAAAACCATTTTCAGAATTAAATTGAGGTTTTGGTAAGACACATAAACTCTTTGAGGCCAAAGTTTCAGTGTGACAGCTATACTCTTAAATTTTCATGTGTTAATTTACTTTTTTATGCATCTAAACCATTTCTTCCTAACCCAGCTTAAAACAATAAAACAGCAGCAGCAGCAGCAGCAACAACAACAATCCCTGAATTCAGTCTTACGTTTTATTCTTTGACTTACTCTTAGGTTGGGAATAGTAGGCTTATATTCCATGTGACATGTGACATATAATTTGTTTCTATATTTAGACTTTTCTATGACTTTCCTTGTTAGTTATTCTCTATTTTACAGGGAACACTAAAATTGGTCCTGAAAACTGGTGGTTCCCAATAAAGAAATGGGGCACAGCGTATGCCATTTTTTTTTTTTTTTGAGACAGAGTCTCACTCTGTTGCCCAGGCTGGAGTGCAATGGCGCAATCTCTGCTCACTGCAACCTCCATCTACTGGGTTCAAGCAATTCTCCTGCCTCAGCCTCCCGAGTAGCTGGGATTACAGGCGTGTGCCACTATGCCTGGCTAATTTTTGTATTTTGTTTTTTTTTTTTTGATAGAGATGGGGTTTCACTATGTTGGTCAGGCTGGTCTCGAACTCCTGACCTCGTGATCCCCCTGCCTCAGCCTCCCAAAGTGCTGGGATTACAGGCGTGAGCCACCATGCCAGGCCATGTATGCCCTTTTAAGGAAAATTTATTAACAAGATGATTCCAAAATGAAACATTCTGTTGTAGTGGATCGAAGATGGCCACAAAATCCTTGACATTTTTCCTGTTCAGAGGTAGGTCTGTGTCCCCTAGGCTTGAGTCTGGGTGATCTCTGTGACTGCTTTGACCAATAGAACATATGGAAGTACTGCAGTGACAGTTTCTGGGTCTAGGCCTTGAAAGATTAGAAGGGTATACTTCCTGCCGCTTGGAATTTCCTTTTTTGCAGCCCTGTTCTACTGTGTAAGAAATATAATGATTCCGAGATTGCCCTGCTATGAGGAAGCCCAAGCTAGCCATGTGGAAAGGCAGCAAAAGAATTGCCCAATATGAGACCTGTACTAATTTCTGACCTACAAAATCATAAAAAATAATAAAATGGTAAGTTACAAGGTTTAGGGGATAGTTTGCTCTGTAACAATAGACAACTAGAACTTTAATCTTAAAAGCTTATATAATAATGATGTAAACGTCTTTAAAAAATCCTTATTTATAATCATGTAAAGTTAATTTCTGGCAAAATCTAGAACCTTCTAATTTGAGTGACTTGGACAAATTTAACATTCTGTTTGGGTATTCAAATTTAACTATTCAAAAAGTGAATTTATATGCTTATATCAAACATAAATGTTAAATTTCTTTAAAAATGTATTTTTGCTCTCTTTTTAAAAATAAACTAAATGAGTTTGACATATTATGGTATTATATTGTATTTTTCAGTAAAATGAAATGTAACAGTGCCACAAATATAGATCTTTTCATTCTGTGACTTGTTTGAACAAAAATTTTATAATATATAACATGGGATTTAAAAAGGAGAATGTGGATAATACAGAAAGGCTGCCTCCTTTACTGATAGTGCTTTGGACACAAAAGGAATAAGTTGTCCAGTTTATATGTTCATTTTATAAAGCTAAAATATCCAGATATATAGAGAAAATAATTATTTCTAGATTTCCCTCTTTGAAAGGAAACATAAGATATTAAAGATCAGTTGATGTCACATGTCTCTATCAGTGGATATAAATTAAAATTTAGCTTACAATGTAAGTGAGACCTTACAAAATATAGAATAGCATTTTCATGTGGAATTAAAATGTTCCTAGAATCTTCATTTGAAAAATTATTCTTAAGCATATAGGAGCTAATAAAGAACTGTTTTCATAATGAACATTTTTCTTTTCTTTTTCTGATATCTATGTCAATAGAAGAGAACCCCCCAAATAAGTGGTGCTCCTTCCTTATCATGCAAATGTGATTCCAGAGCGCATTTCTCTGTCTTAATCACTGAAATTATTTGGTTATCAAAGCCATACACAGTTCATGATTTGACTTTCATCCCTTTCAGATTTATCCATGATATTGGTCTGGCCTTGAAAACATTAAAATGGCCTTTGTTTGATATTCAACATGTAAGTTCAGAAAGACGTGTTCATTTTTAAAATTGAGACTGAGTATTTAGTGTGATAGAAGAGTCTTAACAAGGCCTGCAAATAGAACCACATTTTCCAAGGGTCGGGGTAGGGGTGAGGATAGGTTGAGTAAACAATAAAATGACGGAGGGTGTATTTGTGTGTGTGTGTGTGTGTGTGTGTGTGTGTGTGTAGAGACAGCATGTGCAATTGTTGAGTGTGTATGTATATATGTGTGCATACATTCAACTTTCTTCCCCAAAGTGGCTAAAAGACATTCTTTAAAATAGAGGGTATTTAGAAAAGAAAATATTTAAAGTCCTTTTTAATAGAATTATTCTAAATTTGCTAGTTTGGGAAATAATATCTTCCAATATGCTGTTCCTAATAAAGAGGCAAGAGGCCAGATGTTCTGTGACAAATCAGAATTGTTTTGACAATGGGAGTTGCAGAACCTGGTTTGGAAGCATCTGGACACTAAGAGATTAGATGTCATCTGCCCTCTGTTAACCTAGCCCTTCTGTATGAAGGTATTTTTCTACATTAAATTCATATAAGAATAACATTATTTTATGTTTTCAAAATAGAAATTAAGTTACTTTCTGATCAGTGTGTCCAGGCTTTCATGCTGCTTTCTGACATCATCAGTGAGTGAATAGTTTTTGTGCAATTTCTGCACGTGGCTTCTCCTACAGAAGGAGTTGTATTTATTTGATTTCTTTTCTTGCTCTGGGTCTTGCGAGGCATGGTGATAGGGCTGGTCTTTGGGGACTCCTAAATGTCCTGGCAGGGTGTCCTAAACTAACATGGGTCTTAGAAGAGGAGGTGGTTTTCAGAAGGCTCCACCGTGCCAGATGGCCCAAATTCACTCCATGAGACACAGTGTTCCAGGGGTTGTCACACTGTCCTTGACACTGAACAGACCTTACACAATATGAGAGAGCACCAAGATTTCTTCTGGCCTCAATGAATAATCAATTTAATGACATTTCAGAGTATAAAATTGATAGATATTTCTTACGGGAAGACATCACATACAAACTCAATTTATTAACAAAAATATCTTTTACCCTTTAACTTTTTCAGGACTGCTCTATTAATATTTGTGTTCACCACCATGGCACGTGTATACCTATGTAACAAACCTGCATGTTCTGCACATGTATCCCAGAACTTAAAGTATAATAATAATAAAAAAATTTGTGTTTACAGTTCTGATGTTTGTGTGTGAAATAGTTTGCCATTATGCATTCTTAAGAAGGCCTTCCCCAAATGTTCTTTTCTAACGAATATGTTTGTGCCTCTGCCTAAGAAACCCTTTGAAACAACCTGGCTTGATACATCTCTAGCTGAAAAGCTGGTGAACCTCCCTGACTCCTAATCATGTTACCCCTGCCCATGCTCCTGCTTCTATTTTTGCCATTTTTCTTGGTGCACCCTCATGACTGGTGCCCCCTCATGCTAAACTCTGGCAGCTGTGGTCATGCAATCAGACCACCGCCACCTCTTTAGCCTTATACTGTCAGGAGTGTGCTCCAGGGACCAGTGATGCTGAAGAATTCCACAGGTCATCCTCACTGACCTAGAAAACTGGAGAGGTTCTAGCTTTTGCCCACGGCTTGCGGCAGTGACACAGCTCTGTTTAGCACGGCTAAAGCATTCAGCAGCCCAGGACATGGTTAGAACGGCCACCTCAATGTCATGATGGTGTAGGAATAGCAATCTGTGTTCTTAAATGTAACATAAAAAACCCAAGTCACTCCAACTGCCATTTTCCCCTTTTGCACTTTGATGACAAAGCTGTAATGCTGTGATTCTGTTGTGGGAAATCCACAATTCATTCCAAATTATTTTCCAAAAGGTAGGAGTAAGCAAATAGCACAGACATCCTAAAGGACCTCAGCCAGTCAAATGTGGGTTCTCTTACTTCTTGTTTGCAGTTCCTCACTTTGATAAGAAAATCAACTAAGACAGACAGACAGAGGTTAATTCCCTCACCTCGAAGCTGAGCTGTAATCCAGGCTATTGTTCTTCAGTGAGCTTGCACTTGCTGGAGACGTGTTAATGTCTTGATGAAAGGACAGGGAAATTATCACTCACTGATTTGTGTTTTTAAATTTGGAGTTTCTAAAGTAAGACTACTTAACGATACAGGCATGCCCATTTCCAGGACTGGATCTGCAGCTCCTGCATTTGATGTGTAACCTTGAGGGCTTCCTGTGAGGTAATTATCGTGCTGGGATGAGCTAATCTCCCATAGAAGAGTACACCTGCCTCATTCTGCTAACAAATAGGCCCCTGCCTTCTAAAGACTGCCTGAGCTGACTTATTATATCTCCTCCATCAGCAGAAAGACTCATATCATCACTGGGCCAAAGGTGAATTGCCTAGAGACAAAGTTGGAATGAATTTTTTGCAGTCCCATTTCGCCAGACATTCAAACCACTTCATTCTGAAGAGTGGAGACCTTTAACTCTGTCACATATTTATATATGCTTATAAGGCCAGGGAAGGGTCTTTCTGCAGACCTGCTCCAGATGAATGTATCAAAATAGCATTCCAGAAGAAACTGAGTCTGCCTCACAAACCTTTGTTCCCCAATGTTAATACTCTGAGAGAAGAGAAATACAGTTGCTGGCTTGTTTTTAGTTTACTTGCGTTTTGGAAGATGGATGTGTATACATTTGTCATGTGGTAATGGGCACAGAATTTCAAGTCCAAATATAATATGGAGCTGTGGTAGGAGTGAGGGCCACATGAATGTCCATTTAATACTGAAAAACGGACTTTTTAGCTGATGCCTGTTTTCCGTATAAAATGTGGCTTTGTTTTTTTTAATAGTTTTTCTTATTCCCTACAGCAAAAGAGGCTAATATTCATTTAAAACCCAATAACAATTAAAACCCCCAATAACAATTAAAACCTACAATGAACAACTGCTCTAGCTTTGTTTATTGCATGCATAAATAATCATACTTCAATGAACATGTTAGTATCTATGATCTCTTCCTGCATTAAGGTTGCCTCGAGACTGCTTGCTTTGGCTACTGTAAATGTGACATGAATTACGCTCAGGAAAATGTGTCTAACATGCTGGGTTTGAAGTAAATTATTTTCTTCTAATATACCTACACAACTGTCACAAGGAATTACACTGCAGATTTAGTGATGTTAAGTGTCAATTGTAATTTGGTGACAGCCATTTTATTGGCTATGCATACTGCTCTGCTAGGACTGCTTCTCAGTATGGAGGCCACCGTATCATTAAAAACCAGTGATCCTTCACTGATGACATAATTTGACTGGCAGGGAGAGGAGCAGAGAGGGGCTTGCTTCCACCTGCACAGAATCTGCTGTATGTCAGAGATGAATTTGCCTTCAAATTAGAAACAGCACTGCAGATGAGGGGCTGTGATTTTGCTTGAGTTCTTTTAAGGCGTTTTTCTGGAATGGTTACTGAGCAGCTGATAGAAGTCTCCTTTAATATGTCAAACATATATATTATGCAGCCTGTAAACATTTCAAATATTTTTAGTCATAGCTTACAGTGAGTTATCTATAAAACAGTTTCAGCTGAATTGAGCCACATGTATTTCTGCACACTCATCCATCCATTCTTTTGTCTATAACTCTGTCTTTGGCATAGGTTTCAGGAATAAAATTTATATGATAAAGTGGTAACCAAAGAGAAAAAAAACCCCTAAAACCCAACCCAACACACAAAAACAAACCCTAACAAAAAACAAGCAAGGTTTCATATTAGCCCAGTGTTTCAGCAGGTGGGATAAATCATTGGAGCTATGTAAAAATCTACAGTAAGAACAGAACTATAATCATACATTCTGAAAATTTTATAAACTGACAATTCAAGTTATGTGTTTTATGCTAATATACATTGTGGTAGGTTCTAATAAACTGTGACTCACTCATAAATAGTAGGAAAGCTGACAGCATTCAAACGCGAGCACATACATAGACTCACACACACTCCACACTTATGCAGGAAACAGGAAATAGATTCCAATACTTGCTTAGTGAATTTAAATCAATATAGCTGCATTCCATTTTCAGTATTTAAATTAAAATTTTTTTTTGCTGCAAGGCACTGTAAGGAACAAAGCAAAGTACCTTAAAAGAAAGTGTATCGCTCGTAATTTTAGCTCATTTCACACCTATTTGACAGCTTCTCTTAGCCAATTGGTTTCATTCAAAATGCTGAGAATATTCACCTATTAGAGTCCTGCCCTTCTATGTGGGGACCATTCCTCTTAGATACACTTTATTAGCTTCCAACATGGAAAAATAACTTTTTCCCTCCTCATGTGACTGACATTTACCACTATTTTCCTCTTCTCTTAACACAGCATTATTTATTTATTTATTAAGAAAAGAAACTTTCCAGAACAATAAATAGCATAAATTATTCAGCCAATTTCAGTCCAGCCACATAAATCATACTCAAGCAGACAAGCTACTTGTGACAAATGCTTTGTCTGAGAGAAATATACCACTGAAGGTTTAATCAGAGGCTCTAAACATTTTAGACTTCCCCATTTTTATTCTTGGCCAGAAACTCTATTTCTCCATCTACAGAGGCTCTTGAGAATGTTCTTTTTTTTCCCCATGAGAATATTGTGACCATTTTCATCCACAGTAGGGAAGAGGGTGTTAATAAAAGTGCACTTTTCTGAAGAAAAATTCAAATAGGGGTTGGCAAATCTTCTAAATTCTTGAAAGCATATTTCAGGGCCAACTGTGGCTATGTTAATAGCTTTTCATATGACGGGCCATCAAGTCCTACTTTTCATGACTGGTCAGAGGGTTCCCACATTGACCAAAGAAAAAGTAAAAATTTGGAAGCAGAATGAGTCCAGTCTAGCTGGCAAAATCGGGAGACAGGGGTTCCTCTTTTGTCTTGTCATGGACTCTTAAGGATTCTGAGACTTCAGTTTTTTTTTATCTGAAGCTTCCTCCTTTACTGCCTTATTAATATAAATGGGATCCATAAAAATGCTTGATTATACCATGGTAGGCTAAAATATGCCCATAAAACTTCTTTTTTTGGTAAGCTTCAAATAATGGTGATTTTTTTTTCCAGTAAGAGGAATGAAATCTTAGTTCCCCTAATACTTTAATTGCCAACTTCTTCCTTTCATAATGTTTAACCAATTCCTGGACGGTCAATGATTCAAAGCATTTATGTTTCTGGGGACATGCACTATTCAAAAATACCTTGAAACTTAAAAAAATATATACATTGTAAGTCCACACCTGATTTTAATAAGCATTTACTCTGAGGGAAAGGAGATTGTGTTGTCTACTTTTAAACCATTAGGAAAAATTGGGAGAAGGTGGGGATAAGCTGGCAGTGGCAGTGGCAGTGGCAATGGCAATGGCAGAGCATTCAGGGATTGTGGTGTGGGGGTACAAAGGCAGGGGACTTGTCACAAAAATGTGTCTACACCTATGACACCCCCACAGTTGGTGTGGGAAGGCAGTCTCAGCAGGCCAGCACCTCCAGCGTGTGTGAAGGTACCCTCAGGGACCCCAGAAGGAAAGGCACCACCGGGACATCCCTGGGGGCCTGTTTCTGCAGTGGTTTCAGGATTCAGCCTTGCTTACCTTACAAGCTCTGAGTGAATTGTGGCCCAGGCAGCTGTGGCCATGGCCCACGTGACCAAGTATTCGTTTCTGATGCACATGTGGCATTTTGCCATAAAAAGGTACAGCACATGGATCTCCGGAGGAACATGCATCAAATTTATTTTCTGACTAGTAAATGAATAAATTTTTCTGACTCAATTGGGAATGAAAGGAAAATAACCTGCCTTTGGAGCTATCCCAAGATCTGATTCCTTTGGAGCGGTTCATGTAATTTAACAACAACAACCCAGTCATCAGAGAACTGCAGCGTAGTATACAGCCAACTATAAGCCTCGCAGATGAGGGAACTCTGGATCCACAGGGGCTAAGAAGAAGTAGGTAGCTTTGAGCAGTGCTCGGTGAGATAATTTAGCTCAGGGAAACGTCAGTAAAATTCCAAGCACCCTGTTTTAGATAGACACATTTAAATCCCCAGGTTTTTAGAAGATAATAGTAGAATGGACTCTTAGAAATACTTTGGTTGTGAATATTGTCTGTCCAGAGTTTGTGTCCATTTGGTTATATTTGTCATCTATTTTATCAGGGTGAGTATGAAAGAAATTGGGGAGAATCCATAGTAGCTTAGTGAAGATGCTAAAGAAGTCAGCTGCAAGAATTGGGATCTTATCCCAATAAGATTTCAGAATTTTTTAAATAAAAGGAAAAAAGTCAGTTCAATGCAGAATTTTATGAAGTTTTCAGTGACCAACTGCTCATTCTGAACTTCATTTCTCTTAACTAAGTTATCATTGTCCAGAAGTAGGGTGAACCTATGTCCCAGTTTGCCCAGGACAGTCCCAGTTTATGTCTAATGAGCAGGCTTAATTATTAAGAGTACCGCCTTTTATTCTCAAAAGCGTCCTGGTTTGGGAGATAAATTAGTCACCCTAACCATAAACAAAGCTCTCTTTGAAGTTAATAGATTTATATAAATGATGAAAGCTGGAAAATTTTGATTTGTTTTTCAAATTTGGTTTTCTAAAGTCATAGATTGAGCAGGCAGGGTACATGGAGACCAGAGCAAACCATGCGTGGGTGAGAACATGCCTAGGCGCTGTGTCTTTCTACCAATTGCTCTCATTCTGTTTTGTATTTTTTTCTCAGAACTTCTTTGAGGATATTTTGAAATGTTTTCAGATAAACTATTTAAGACTTCAAACAAATTTCAGATTTTCTTTTTAAGTTGTAATATTTAGAAAAAAAAAACCCTGAAGAACTGGTTTTTATGACTTGTTTAAATTTTTGTAGAGTGTTGGGAATGGAATCAAATTTAATTTTACTTCATTATGAGAATTATCTTGGGTCGTATGTTAGAATAGATTCTAGTCTTCTGAGGGCAATCAACAGTGAATTATAAGTAGGGTATGACCAACAGATTCATTTTTTATATGGCATGGGAGAAGTTCTGGTTCTGCCAAAGTTAAAAAAAACTGTCAATGAGTTAACTTAAGAAACAATACGATTAAAAATATTTGTAAACAGGGACACTATTTTAAAATATTTGAGCAAGATTTTTCATAAAATTGGAAATCTCAGTTAATCATATTATGTTAATTCCTTAGATGTTAAAAATTACACTTCATTGCTTGACAGACTTTTATGATTAAATACATACTGGTTAATGTAAGGTTGCTGTAAATAATGATTTTTGTGTGTTTTTTTTTTGCAAAGCATGCATTAAATTAATTACTTTAAAATGTATACATGAAGTGATTCATTCAAGGTCTTTGGGAAAACAGGAAATGTAGAGTACTGGTATGTTTTGTTAGGAATATTAGCTTCCATTTTGGTTCACTTATTTTCTGTGTAACAAAACTCTAAATTGTTAATTGAGGAAACACCTGTTTTACCTGATTTTCTTAAGTGCAGTGGATGGATATTGAATGCCCTGAAGCAAAAGTCTTATTAAACCAAGTATCCCATGATATGGGCTACAATGGATGGATTATTGCATCCAAGAGAATATTATACTAAAACTTCACTGCATCATGGTCCTCAGGGGCTTTGCTATAGAATTACTTGTAAATGGAAACATTTTATAAAAACATCCTTCTGATGCTTCAGAATGTCACAGAATTGGATCAGAAGAGATATTTTGTTATAGATAAGAAATTGATTTGGAAGAGAAAAGAAAGAAACAAATGGCCATTTCTTGATGTGAAAGAAAAGGAAATGACAGGCCACACAGAGCCCATTATATTTAACCTCTCTATAAACTGCCTGGAGAAACTTAAATGATAGAAATGTCCAAACTGTGTGCTGTCATTTTCTTGGCCCAATCATCATGTTATACTCCTCTGGCATAGCCATAGGTGTGTTGGCAGCATGGGACCTGAGCCAGCCCAACAAGAGGACTTTGAATACTGGACTAGAAACACTTTCTCTGAAAAAGTTTGAACTTCACTTATAGCTGAAGCCATCCGACTTCCCCCAAGGGAAGCCAGCTTTAGGGTAGTCTGTTGGACACTTTCAGGGTAATGTTACTGATAAATTTGCTGTGAGGATTTAATATGGAGATGCTATATTGTGAAATTTTCAAGCTTTATCATGACTTAAAAATATGGGCTTTTGGTCAATAAAAAGTCAAGCTCATGAGAACAGGTTGAAGGAAGATTTTATAACCTAAGCAAGTAGCTCTTACAAGCAACGACTCAATAAATGTTTGTTTTCTTTCTCCATTGCTGATCAGTTTCCATTCTCTAACTTGTCTCCACCCTTTCAGTTTGATACATGGATTGGTTTCCTTCTAGGCTCCATGGCCCAGTGCTTGGGAATTCCCTATCTATCTACCAAGGGGCATGAGAAAACCCCATTATCAACCTTCGCATGTTATTGCAGCCGATGAGTGAACAGTACCCGGCTATCCCATGTTATTAGACACAGCAGTTTTACCTAATCACAGAGTAGCTGGACATTCCAATCATTCCTTAGTTAAGTACAAATTTCCTTTGAGGAAAACCTGATTCAGGGGCACAAGCTGTGGGAGCTTGTATATTCCACAAATGAGCACAACAAGATTTTCCCTTTAGCATGATTTCCAGAACTCTGCCTGTATTAGTTCGCTTTAACACTGCTAATAAAGAGATATCCGAGACTGGGCAATTTACAAAAGAAAGCGGTTTAATGAATTTACAGTTCCACATGGCTGGGGAAGCCTCACAATTATGGCAGAAGGCAAGGAGCAGCAAGTCACATCTTACGTGGATGGTGGTAGGCAAAGAGAGCGAGAGCTTGTGCAGGGGAACTCCTTTTTATAAAACCATCAGATCTCGTGAGACTTACTCACTATCATGAGAACAGCACGGGAAAGACTTGCCCCCATGATTCCATTACTTCCCACCGGGTCCCTCCCACAACACGTGAAAATTAAAGATGGCATTTGGGTGGGGACACAGCTAAACCATGTCACTGCCACTCCCCCAACAAAAGGCAGAGTCTAGGTCTCTTCCCCTTGAAGCTGGGTGGGCTTTTGTAACTGTTTCAAAAGGAGATAGAGTATGACAAAAATGATGCTATGTGATTTCCAAAGCTAAGTAAAAAAGAGGGGAGACAGCTTCTGCCTGGCTTCCTCCCTGTGGACGCTCTCCATGAGAACCCAGACAGTATGCCTCAAGGAGGCCCAGGCTATGTGGGGAAGAACCTGAGCCCCTTCCAGCTAGCAACTGGCACCAACTACGTGCCCTGAGAGTGAGCTGTCTGTCTTGCATGTGGATCATCCTGCCCTCCACTGGGCTGTCCCTCCTGATACTGTGTGGAGCAGAAATGAGTTTTCCCTGATGAGCCCTGTCCAAATTGCAGATTTGAGAGCAAAAATAAATGACTGTTATTGTTTAAATCATTTTTTTTGTGGTTTGTTATGCAATTGATATTAATCCTCACCAGTGTATGAGGTCGTGCTGCCGTCATGCCCACTTTATAGAGAGGAAACAAAAGCATCCAACAGGTGAATAACTTGCCAAAGTCACCCCAGTGATAAATGCTATAGGCAGATTCTAGAGCTGCCCCCACAGTGCAGCTTTTCACAGAGGGTAGAGCACTAGTGTATCAGTTATGACTCACAGTATGGTGGTAAATAGGGTGAGCTCTGGAGACAAACCACTGGAATTTGAGCATATAAATAGTGCAGAGCACTGCTCTTAGATCTTGAGGGAATCAGTGTGGAACAAAACAAACAGAACTCCCTGTCCACATGGAGCTTCCTTTCCAGTGTTTTCGGGATAATAGTAAAGAGTCCTTAGCATATGCTATGGTTTGAATATTTGTCCTTTCCAAAACTCATGTTGAAATATAGTTGGCATTGTAACAATACTAAGAGGTAGGACCTTTAAGAGATGATCAGGCCATGAGGGCTTTACCCTCATAGATGGAATTAATGCCATTATAAAGGGCGAGTTTGGCCCCCGCTTGCTCCCTCCTTGCCCTTCCACCTTCCGTTATGTGATGATATGGTGAGAAGGGCCTTGCAAAATGTTGGTGCCCTGATCCTGGACTTCCAAGTCTCCAGAGCTGTGAGAAGTAAATCTCTGTTCTTTAAAAATTATCAAGTCCCATGTATTCAGTTATAGCAGCACAAAACGGACTAAGACAGCATATAAGGAATTTAGCACAGCGCCTGGCTCATAAATGAGACATGAATATTGGTTGTTGGTATAATTATTGAACATTAAGAGAGTATGGTTATTATTTGTGACCCTCATGTTATGAACAGTGCCGCTTGTCCATTTTAGCAGCCAAATAGCTTGGATGGGTAACAACATTTGATTTGTGTGAGCAGAATGTGAATTGGAAACTGACTGAGATCATTCTAGCAAGTCATATAGTACCTGGTATTTAATATTCAAATGTTATATTATGGCCTCTAGGACTTTGTGGACCTATAAAAAGGGGATTATAAAAATAATTTTATAGATATTGAAAAAGAAAGTTCAATAGAAAAATAAAGTAAAATATGGACTATCTGTTGTGTAATGGTGGGCAGGGACTGTGTTGATGATTGCAGTCAACCGATAGCTGTCAGCTTCTTGGTCTGTCAAATCTTTTCCCAGAGCTGCGAAGCAGCAAAATTGGCTGGTTTAAATTTCACTTCCTTTTATTGCTCCCACGGAGATGCTAATGAATAATAGACAAGGAGAGGCAGAGAACCCAGGTAATTAGTCTGTTGTGGATGTTTAGAGTTGGAAGAGACCTTTGCGACTCCTCTGATCTAGTTGCCTCATTGCAGAGTTTAGGAAACTGAGGCTTAGAAGTGCTAAATGTCCTCATGACACGTGACTGGTGAGTATCAGAGTGGAAACAAAGTCTTGAGGCTTTGGCTTCCGGTCCTGCACTTTGTAGCTTTTCCTGTTTTTCGCTCAAGCTTCCCCTCTTCTCTCTTCTCCTCTCCTCTCCATATTTTCAATTCTTTTTTTTTTGAGACGGAGTCTCGCTCTGTCGCCCAGGCTAGAGTGTGCGGTGGCGCGATCTCGGCTCAGTGCAAGCTCCGCCTCCCGGGTTCACGCCATTCTCCCGCCTCAGCCTCCCGAGTAGCTGGGACTACACATATTTTCAATTCTTAATCATCTGGGGCCTATGCACAAGTAACTAAGTGAAATTAAGATTTCTTTTTTAATATTGTGGTCAGTGAACGAAGGACCAGAAAGGAGCCAGGATTTTCCTTTAGCCAGAGACTAGGAAATCCAGCCTCTGTGCATGTGCTTAGGCAACTGACTCCTCCTGGAGTGCCCAGTGCCCACTTTATTCTCACCCACCTCTTTCCCCACATAAGGAAAGCCTGTTCATTCTCATAGTCTGACTGTGATGCCATGAAGTCTTCTCTGACCACCTGGCTGAGCTATTATGATTTCTTTCTCCTTCTATCTTGTATTACAGCCCTACATAGTTGCCTCTATTCTAAATTGTAAGCTCCTTTAGGGTAGACAGGCATTACAGCAGATGGGATAATGTAGTAGCAGCCATGACTACACCAATCTGTATGTGATATGATATGTATTGCATGTTCTTCCTAGTTTGGTAAGAAGTTTTCAACATGTCCCTCTCAGCACTTTGTAGTTAGCCACCTGTATGTTATGGTCATATTTTCAGAGTGCTAGTAGCAAGAGTAATGAGGTAATAGAGGAAAGTACTTTTTATCACACAATTACTAATATGCAGTTAGCATATTAAATGATTGAATTTGTTCACTTTATAAACACTTATATCACTAAGTAAAAGAAAGCATGTTAGGTGTTGTTTTAAATAAAAAGTGGAATAGTGGAATAAAATTACAGTCTTTTCTACTAGTGAATAATAACACGTCCAAATCTTATTTTCTATAATGCTTTTTCTATCCCTTCCCATAAGGAGATGGAAGTCGAAATAGGAGTTGGAGAGGTAGGTTGTTGTAGTTTTATTTCCCTTTACAGCCGCTCATTGGAAACAAATATAGAGAAGCAGCTGTGCTTGTGTAACTTGTAACATATGTAGCCAGGATTAAGAACCGAGCAGTCAATTCTTTAGGGTTATCTTTTCTTTTTCTTGCCACCTTGGGCATCAGAACCTTGATTTCCATCATAATTTGTGTCCACCTAGCTCAGATAGCTAGCTGAAACAATATTTGAAAGGGCTATAAAATTGCACAATTATAAAGAGAGTTGAAAACCTTAATTGAATAAAATAGACCCTACACAAGACACAAGAATGTGTGTGTGTGTGTGTGCGTGTGTGCGTGTATTCTGAATATTTGAGATTAATTTAATTTTTCTCCACTAGGAACTAGTAAACTAGTAGAAGGTAGTTTAGAGAATTTTTTTTCTTTTCTTAGATGCTCTAAAGTTATCTTCTTTTTTGCCCAGCTGTATTAATTAGGTTACTCGAAGAGTCAAATACACAATCATTTCAATAAAATGTGGTAACTTCTACAACTGAGATGTATATAAAGATCACAGGGAAGGAATCCTGAATTTGGCCTGTGGGAACCAGAGAAATTTCTTCACAGAGTAAACTTTCAGTGGAGCGCTGAGGATGAGAAGGTGTTTTCTACATGTGCAAGTGGGAGTGGGGAATCTTAAACTGAGTGAATGGCATTGATTCAATTACTTACCCACTGAACAGGCATTTATTGACCATCTTCTGCATGCCAGAAACTTCTACATGTGGTGGATGCTGTGGGTACAAAAATGAAGATATAGTCCCAGATATCAAGAACTTGCTTGGGGAGAAAGACACAAGTAGATGATTATAAAATAAGATTGTGGGCCGGGCGCAGGGGCTCACGCCTGTAATCCCAGCACTTTGGGAGGCTGAGGCGGGCGGATCATGACATCAGGAGTTCAAGATCAGCCTGACCAACATGGTGAAACCCCATCTCTACTAAAAATACAAAAAATTAGCCGAGTGTGGCGGTGCCTGCCTGTAATCCCATCTACTCGGGAGGCTGAGGCAGGAGAATTGCTTGAACCTAGGAGGCGGAGCTTGCAGTGAGCTGAGGTCATGTCTCTGCACTCCAGCCTGGGCGACAGGCAAGACTTCGTCTTAAAAAAAGATTGTGCATGGATGCTGGGTCAGTGGCTCATGCCTGTAATTCCAATGCTTTGGGAGGCTGAGAAAGGGGGATTGCTTGAGACCAGTGTTCAAGACCAGCTTAGGTGACATAATGAGACCCCATTTCTACAAAAAAAAAATTAAAAATTAGTTGAGCATGGTGGTGTGTACCTGTAATCCCAGATACTCAGGAGGCTGAGGTATGAGGATTGCTTGAGCCCAGGAGGTCAAGTCTGCAGTGAGCTATGATTGCACCATTGCACTCCTGCCTTGGTGACAGAGCAAGACCTTGTCTCAAAACCAAAACTCAAAAAACAAAAAAATGTATGTTCAGAGAATCAGAAGTATAATGGAAAAATAAAAAATGCGGTGAAGGTAGGTGAAAGCCAGCTTGGTTTGGTATGAATATATAAATTTATGAGGAAATTTGAATGCACTTAAGAGATAGTGGATTTTATAGTGTCTTTGATGGGAAACTCTTGAGAAATTTATGCAGTTAGGTTTGCTTTCATTTAATATAACAATATCACTTCCAACAATGTGAAGGGGACACATAAGATATGAGATGACTGTAGTAATTCAGGCAAGAAATAACGTACACCATGACTGGCAGAAGCAGTGAAGATGGAGAGAATAAAATATTTTATTCACTGATTTGATATAAGGTTAAAGGAGAAAAATACTTATAGAATAAATATAAATAAACACCAGGTTTCAGGTTTTGCAATGGATGGGAGACAGAACATGTAGACCAAATACAGTTTTGAAAGGAAGATGATGATTCAGTATCCTTTGGCATTTTCAGATGAATATAATCTGAGAAATTAGAGTTAAGAGTCTGAAGATCAGAATAGTGCTATGATCAATTTAAGTTGGAGAGGTAGAAGAGAGCTGGTGGTAGATGATAACACTGCTTGATAAGTGTATGTAGGATGAGAAGAAAAGAGAGACAAGGATAGAATTTGGAGAAGCTTCAGAACTTAAAAGGAGGGTAGGAGATGCTGAGCTTAAAAGGATGCTAGAGAGCAATAGCCATAGAGAGAGAGGAAGAGAAAAAAGAGGGTTTCATGTTAGAAACCATGAGAGGACAGTGTTTCAGTGAAGGATTTAGCAACAATATTAGACTCCAGAGAGATCAAGTAAGGTAAAAGCTAAAACTATGGGATATTCTTTTTTTTTTTTCCGCATCAGCAAGTGCTCAGGCTTTATTTACAATGCCGACACTGCAGGGAATGAACAGCCTCCATCTGGGCCTCTCTGGTCAAAACCACCTTTTTGAGTCAGAGGCCCAGGCCCAGGCCTCCCAGATCATCGTCCTCTGCCCCGAAGCCTGAGAAGCTGATGGGCTGGCAGGCCAGGCTGGGCAGGTTCACGAGGCAGGCGGTCTGCATGGCACTTAAGTCAGGGATGGTCACCAACAGCCAAAGCTGGGGATGCTGCCACAAAAGTAGACATGCGGGCACTCCGGGAAGAAGAATGGGTCGGTTTTGCAGAAGGGGTAACAACCTAGGGTGTCAGGGGTTGTGGGACTGATGTGACGGACCCGCAGTGTCCACTCCAGGATCTCCAAGTGATCCTCCATGCTGCTGTATCGGAAAATGTCACTCATGTTCTGTCCTGATGTCTCCAGGAATCTGACTCCATCAATGGTGGCCTGGTAAGGTTTGATGACTAGCTGGAGTGTGGAGTTAGGCAGTGGCCAGCAGGAACATGCAGGGGTGGAGGGGCTGCTGGGGGAGTGTGTAGTTGGTGGGATCAAACTCGCCTGGCATCACGTCCACGGGCACTGAGGAGCTCAGCTGCAGGAGGATCTCATCCAGCATCTTCACGGCCTCCACGCTGGCTGCCTGGGTTTTCTTGGTGAGGTACTTGGCCTTATTGATAGAATCTCTGCTCTGGGTGCTGTGGCTGAGGAGGTTGCCTTCAAGGACAACTCGGGAGACATGGGCCGCGCTGAACTGCTCCCCTTCGTCCCTAAGCTGCCCCGTCACCACGCCCACCAGCAGCTGGGTGCCCAGCAGGCTCTCGCCTCCACCTCCCCCCAGGCCCAGGCCAGACACCAGCAGCAGGAACCTATCTGTGTCAAGCAGGGGTGCGGGCTTGTTGGTGTGAGGTCAGCAAAGCAGTGGTCTTCCACCAGAAACTTCCCGTCGTCCCTCACGGAGCCAAACACGGCCAGGATGATCCCTGTAACCAACTTTGACACGTCAATGGTGCCTTTTAGTTTCATACGCTGCAGTTCATCTTCCAAGACCAGCACGTCATCTGGGTGGATGTATTTGCTCCGAGCAGGCTGCGGGAGCAGGTTGTGCTCCTCACTGATCTCCTGCAGGATGGAGGGCTGCAGCGGCATGGACTTGAACAAAGTGCCCACCACACAGCGCTTCTCCCCGGGCTGCAGCTCGCGCAGCTTCTTCACTACCGCTCCACTGCCCCAGTGCTGCTGGGCCCGGTTCTCCAGGTAGGATCTCATTTGGATGAGGCGGGTGGCATACATATGGGCGTTCTGCGGGCTAAAGCTCTGTTCTCCGCGCGGCGCGCCACATCCCCAGCTATCAGATATTCTAAATGGATCATTGATGGACATGACAGAAGTTCCTTTCTGCAGAATTCTGTGCACTTCTCTTTATTCCTCGACCCATTGTGACTTTCTGTGTGTTATAGTGGGTCAAGGAATAAACAGATATGCAAAGTTGAGATTTTGAAAGTGAATTTCCTTTCAAGTTATAGAAACCTGTAGGCAAACAGAAGAGCATATTTAGGGTAGTGCCTATGGGGTGTTTGCATGATTAAAGAAGACTCTTTTTTTTTTATTATACTTTAAGTTTTAGGGTACATGTGCACATTGTGCAGGTTAGTTACATATGTATACATGTGCCATGCTGGTGTGCTGCACCCACTAACTCGTCATCTAGCATTAGGTATATCTCCCGATGCTATCCCTCCCCCCTCCCCCCACCCCACAACGGTCCCCAGAGTGTGATGTTCCCCTTCCTGTGTCCATGTGTTCTCATTGTTCAATTCCCACCTATGAGTGAGAATATGCGGTGTTTGGGTTTTTGTTCTTGCGATAGTTTACTGAGAATGATGATTTCCAATTTCATCCATGTCCCTACAAAGGACATGAACTCATCATTTTTTATGGCTGCATAGTATTCCATGGTGTATATGTGCCACATTTTCTTAATCCAGTCTATCACTGATGGACATTTGGGTTGGTTCCAAGTCTTTGCTATTGTGAATAATGCCGCAATAAACATACGTGTGCATGTGTCTTTATAGCAGCATGATTTATAGTCCTTTGGGTATATACCCAGTAATGGGATGGCTGGGTCAAATGGCATTTCCAGTTCTAGATCACTGAGGAATCGCCACACTGACTTCCACAATGGTTGAACTAGTTTACAGTCCCACCAACAGTGTAAAAGTGTTCCTATTTCTCCACATCCTCTCCAGCACCTGTTGTTTCCTGACTTTTTAATGATTGCCATTCTAACTGGTGTGAGATGGTATCTCATTGTGGTTTTGATTTGCATTTCTCTGATGGCCAGTGATGATGAGCATTTTTTCATGTGTTTTTTGGCTGCATAAATGTCTTCTTTTGAGAAGTGTCTGTTCATGTCCTTTGCCCACTTTTTGATGGGGTTGTTTGTTTTTTTCTTGTAAATTAGTTTGAGTTCATTGTAGATTCTGGATATTAGCCTTTTGTCAGATGAGTAGGTTGCGAAAATTTTCTCCCATTTTGTAGGTTGCCTGTTCACTCTGATGGTAGTTTCTTTTGCTGTGCAGAAGCTCTTTAGTTTAATTAGATCCCATTTGTCAATTTTGTCTTTTGTTGCCATTGCTTTTGGTGTTTTAGACATGAAGTCCTTGCCCATGCCTATGTCCTGAATGGTAATGCCTAGGTTTTCTTCTAGGGTTTTTATGGTTTGAGGTCTAACGTTTAAGTCTTTAATCCATCTTGAATTGATTTTTGTATAAGGTGTAAGGAAGGGATCCAGTTTCAGCTTTCTACATATGGCTAGCCAGTTTTCCCAGCACCATTTATTAAATAGGGAATCCTTTCCCCATTGCTTGTTTTTCTCAGGTTTGTCAAAGATCAGATAGTTGTAGATATGCGGCGTTATTTCTGAGGGCTCTGTTCTGTTCCATTGATCTATATCTCTGTTTTGGTACCAGTGCCATGCTGTTTTGGTTACTGTAGCCTTGTGGTATAGTTTGAAGTCAGGTAGTGTGATGCCTCCAGCTTTGTTCTTTTGGCTTAGGATTGACTTGGCGACGCGGGCTCCTTTTTGGTTCCATATGAACTTTAAAGTAGTTTTTTCCAATTCTGTGAAGAAAGTCATTGGTAGCTTGATGGGGATGGCATTGAATCTGTAAATTACCTTGGGCAGTATGGCCATTTTCACGATATTGATTCTTCCTACCCATGAACATGGAATGTTCTTCCATTTGTTTGTATCCTCTTTTATTTCCTTGAGCAGTGGTTTGTAGTTCTCCTTGAAGAGGTCCTTCACATCCCTTGTAAGTTGGATTCCTAGGTATTTTATTCTCTTTGAAGCAATTGTGAATGGGAGTTCACTCATGATTTGGCTCTCTGTTCGTCTGTTGGTGGTGTATAAGAATGCTTGTGATTTTTGTACATTGATTTTGTATCCTGAGACTTTGCTGAAGTTGCTTATCAGCTTAAGGAGATTGTGGGCTGAGACAATGGGGTTTTCTAGATATACAATCATGTCATCTGCAAACAGGGACAATTTGACTTCCTCTTTTTCTAATTGAATACCTTTATTTCCTTCTCCTGCCTAATTGCCCTGGCCAGAACTTCCAACACTATGTTGAATAGGAGTGGTGAGAGAGGGCATCCCTGTCTTGTGCCCGTTTCCAAAGGGAATGCTTCCAGTTTTTGCCCATTCAGTATGATATTGGCTGTGGATTTGTCATAGATAGCACTTATTATTTTGAGATACATCCCATCAATACCTAATTTATTGAGAGTTTTTAGCATGAAGTGTTGTTGAATTTTGTCAAAGGCTTTTTCTGCATCTATTGAGATAATCATGTGGTTTTTGTCTTTGGCTCTGTTTATATGCTGGATTACATGTATTGATTTGCGTATATTGAACCAGCCTTGCATCCCAGGGATGAAGCCCACTTGATCATGGTGGATAAGCTTTTTGATGTGCTGCTGGATTCGGTTTGCCAGTATTTTATTGAGGATTTTTGCATCAATGTTCATCAAGGATATTGGTCTAAAATTCTCTTTTTTTGTTGTGTCTCTGCCTGGCTTTGGTATCAGAATGATGCTGGCCTCATAAAATGAGTTAGGGAGGATTCCCTCTTTTTCTAGTGATTGGAATAGTTTCAGAAGGAATGGTACCAGTTCCTCCTTGTACCTCTGGTAGAATTCGGCTGTGAATCCATCTGGTCCTGGACTCTTTTTGGTTGGTAAGCTATTGATTATTGCCACAATTTCAGCTCCTGTTATTGGTCTATTTAGAGATTCAACTTCTTCCTGGTTTAGTCTTGGGAGAGTGTATGTGTCCAGGAATTTATCCATTTCTTCTAGATTTTCTAGTTTATTTGCGTAGAGGTGTTTGTAGTATTCTCTGATGGTAGTTTGTATTTCTGTGGGATCGGTGGTGACATCCCCTTTATCATTTTTTATTGCGTCTATTTGATTCATCTCTCTTTTTTTCTTTATTAGTCTTGCTAGCGGTCTATCAATTTTGTTGATCCTTTCAAAAAACCAGCTCCTGGATTCATGAATTTTTTGAAGGGTTTTTTGTGTCTCTATTTCCTTCAGTTCTGCTCTGATTTTAGTTATTTCTTGCCTTCTGCTAGCTTTTGAATGTGTTTGCTCTTGCTTTTCTAGTTCTTTTAATTGTGATGTTAGGGTGTCAATTTTGGATCTTTCCTGCTTTCTCTTGTGGGCATTTAGTGCTACAAATTTCCCTCTACACACTGCTTTGAGTGCGTCCCAGAGATTCTGGTATGTTGTGTCTTTGTTCTCGTTGGTTTCAAAGAACATCTTTATTTCTGCCTTCATTTCGTTATGTACCCAGTAGTCATTCAGGAGCAGGTTGTTCAGTTTCCATGTAGTTGAGCGGTTTTGAGTGAGTTTCTTAATCCTGAGTTCTAGTTTGATTGCACTGTGGTCTGAGAGATACTTTGTTATAATTTGTGTTCTTTTACATTTGCTGAGGATAGCTTTACTTCCCAGTATGTGGTCAATTTTGGAATAGGTGTGGTGTGGTGCTGAAAAAAATGTATATTCTTTTGATTTTGGGTGGAGAGTTCTGTAGATGTCTATTAGGTCTGCTTGGTGCAGAGCTGAGTTCAATTCCTGGGTATCCTTGTTGACTTTCTGTCTCGTTGGTCTGTCTAATGTTGACAGTGGGGTGTTAAAGTCTCCCATTATTAATGTGTGGGAGTCTAAGTCTCTTTGTAGGTCACTCAGGACTTGCTTTATGAATCTTGGTGCTCCTGTATTGGGTGCATATATATTTAGGATAGTTAGCTCTTCTTGTTGAATTGATCCCTTTACCATTATGTAATGGCCTTCTTTGTCTCTTTTGATCTTTGTTGGTTTAAAGTCTGTTTTATCAGAGACTAGGATTGCAACCCCTGCCTTTTTTTGTTTTCCATTGGCTTGGTAGATCTTCCTCCATCCTTTTATTTTGAGCCTGTGTGTGTCTCTGCACGTGAGATGGGTTTTCTGAATACAGCACACTGATGGGTCTTGACTCTTTATCCAATTTGCCAGTCTGTGTCTTTTAATTGGAGCTTTTAGTCCATTTACATTTAAAGTTAATATTGTTATGTGTGAATTTGATCCTGTCATTATGATGTTAGCTGGTGATGTTGCTCGTTAGTTGATCCAGTTTCTTCCTAGTCTCGATGGTCTTTACATTTTGGCATGATTTTGCAGCGGCTGGTACCGGTTGTTCCTTTCCATGTTTAGTGCTTCCTTCAGGAGCTCTTGTAAGGCAGGCCTGGTGGTGACAAAATCTCTCAGCATTTGCTTGTCTGCAAAGTATTTTATTTCTCCTTCACTTATGAAGCTTAGTTTGGCTGGATATGAAATTCTGGGTTGAAAATTCTTTTCTTTAAGAATGTTGAATATTGGCCCCCACTCTCTTCTGGCTTGTAGGGTTTCTGCCGAGAGATCCGCTGTTAGTCTGATGGGCTTCCCTTTGAGGGTAACCCGACCTTTCTCTCTGGCTGCCCTTAACATTTTTTCCTTCATTTCAACTTTGGTGAATCTGACAATTATGTGTCTTGGAGTTGCTCTTCTCGAGGAGTACCTTTGTGGCGTTCTCTGTATTTCCTGAATCTGAACGTTGGCCTGCCTTGCTAGATTGGGGAAGTTCTCCTGGATAATATCCTGCAGAGTGTTTTCCAACTTGGTTCCATTCTCCCCATCACTTTCAGGTACACCAATCAGACGTAGATTTGGTCTTTTCACATAGTCCCATATTTCTTGGAGGCTTTGCTCATTTGTTTTTATTCTTTTTTCTCTAAACTTCCCTTCTCGCTTCATTTCATTCATTTCATCTTCCATTGCTGATACCCTTTCTTCCAGTTGATCGCATCGGCTCCTGAGGCTTCTGCATTCTTCACGTAGTTCTCGAGCCTTGGTTTTCAGCTCCATCAGCTCCTTTAAGCACTTCTCTGTATTGGTTATTCTAGTTATACATTCTTCTAAATTTTTTTCAAAGTTTTCAACTTCTTTGCCTTTGGTTTGAATGTCCTCCCATAGCTCAGAGTAATTTGATCGTCTGAAGCCTTCTTCTCTCAGCTCGTCAAAGTCATTCTCCATCCAGCTTTGTTCCCTTGCTGGTGAGGAACTGCGTTCCTTTGGAGGAGGAGAGGCACTCTGCTTTTTAGAGTTTCCAGTTTTTCTGTTCTGTTTTTTCCCCATCTTTGTGGTTTTATCTACTTTTGGTCTTTGATGATGGTGATGTACAGATGGGTTTTTGGTGTGGATGTCCTTTCTGTTTGTTAGTTTTCCTTCTAACAGAGAGGACCCTCAGCTGCAGGTCTGTTGGAATACCCTGCCGTGTGAGGTGTCAGTGTGCCCCTGCTGAGGGGGTGCCTCCCAGTGAGGCTGCTCGGGGGTCAGGGGTCAGGGACCCACTTGAAGAGGCAGTCTGCCCGTTCTCAGATCTCCAGCTGCGTGCTGGGAGAACCACTGCTCTCTTCAAAGCTTTCAGACAGGGATATTTAAGTCTGCAGAGGTTACTGCTGTCTTTTTGTTTGTCTGTGCCCTGCCCCCAGAGGTGGAGCCTACAGAGGCAGGCAGGCCTCCTTGAGCTGTGGTGGGCTCCACCCAGTTCGAGCTTCCGGGCTGCTTTGTTTACCTCAGCAAGCCTGGGCAATGGCGGGCGCCCCTCCCCCAGCCTCGCTGCCGCCTTGCAGTTTGATCTCAGACTGCTGTGCTAGCAATCAGCGAGACTCCGTGGGCGTAGGACCCTCCGAGTCAGGTGCGGGTTATAATCTCGTGGTGCGCCGTTTCTTAAGCCTGTCGGAAAAGCGCAGTATTCGGGTGGGAGTGACCCGATTTTCCAGGTGCCGTCTGTCACCCCTTTCTTTGACTCAGAAAGGGAACTCCCTGACCCCTTGCGCTTCCCAAGTGAGGGAATGCCTCGCCCTGCTTCGGCTCGCGCACGGTGCGCGCACCCACTGACCTGCGCTCACTGTCTGGCACTGCCTAGTGAGATGAACCCGGTACCTCAGATGGAAATGCAGAAATCACCGGTCTTCTGCGTCCCTCACGCTGGGAGCTGTAGACCGGAGCTGTTCCTATTCGGCCATCTTGGCTCCTCCTCCTAGTTCATTTTCTTTTTTTTTTTTAAAATTATACATTTTTTATTATATTTTAAGTTCTAGGGTACATGTGCACAACGTTCAGGTTTGTTAAATATGTATACATGTGCCATGTTGGTGTGCTGCACCCATTAACTCATCATTTACATTAGGTATATCTCCTAATGCTATCCCTCCCCCATCCCCCAACCCCATGACAGGCACCAGTGTGTGATGTTTCCCCTTCCTGTGTCCAAGCGTTCTCATTGTTCAATTCTCACCTATGAGTGAGAACATGCGATGTTTGTTTTTTTGTCCTACGGTGATAATGTTCATAGGTTTGCATAGTGAGGGAGAAGGAACCATGGAGAAGGGAGGCTGAAGGGTGAATAAAGAAGTGGGGATAATTGAGTGAACAATAGCTCAGAGAGGCAGAGGGATAGAGAATGAAGTTGCTGATTCGTTTTTGCTTGTCCCATGCTGTTCTTGTCCCATAACACACTGAACTGGGCAGGACGCCTCTTTGTAAAACCTGAATATTAACTTGGTTTCTATATTTATCTCTGCAGTGTTGAATTGAAAGAAACACAGTCTAGCCACCAAAAAAGTAAGTATATTTTTTATTGGTGTCCCTCTAAAAATACCCAGGGCAGGGATAGTACCATCCTAACTTTGAGCATCTCTTTCCCTTAACAATTTTTTTTTCACTTATTACAGCTGCATTTACTACATTTTTCCATAGTGTATTATTGGACAACAAAACAGACTACCCTTCCTTTTTCAACCTTTGTCTCTCTTCCCAAAGTCACATGCTTTTGAATCGGGCGTAAAAATGTCTCCTGCTCCCTCTCTACTTTCCAAAAGAAGTTTGCCCTGTTAGGGTGAGGACTTGATGATGGGATGGAAGAGAGCAGAGAGGCACATGGAAATAAGAGGAATTAAAGCCAAAAAACTGACCCACTAGTTGTCAAACTTGAACATTCATCAAAAACACCTGGACAGCTTGTTAAAGCACCTGTTACTGAACTGTACCCCCAGAGTTTCTGATTCACTAAATCTGGGGCGGGGCCTAAGAATTTGCATTTCTTTAAGTTTCCATGTGTTGCTGATGCTTTGGGGGACCCACTTTGAAAAAATCACTCAACTAGTTCACTTAATAGGCAGCAAACCAGAGCAGACTTGGGAGCAATGGAATAAGATTACTAACATGAAGTATGAGACACAGTCTTTATTACAAACAAAAGGGCAAGTCTGCTTATTAGAAGACCTGAAAAAAGATCTGCTTGATGCTGAGCTCCTGACTGGCCCAGGGTCATTTACGCCTTGCAGGGCTTCACTGGGTCCACGGTTTGAGAAAACTATAGGAGTGGTAGCTGGCTGAGCCAGGTGTTAGGACTGGAGGGATTCAAAGATGGACAGGGAGGCAGACTTTTACAAATTATTTTTACAAAGGACAAGCAACTGAGGCAAGTGAGGTAAAAATTAGTATTTCAATATTTTCCCCAGAGAGTCTCAAGAAGTTCTGTGACACATTCGAATGTAGTTTTGCAGCCAGACATAATTTTCTGACCCTTTAAATGATTTTTTTCACCTACAATGTATCTATTTACAAGGTATCTATTTACAAGCAATTATGTAGTTTATGAGTCTAATGTCTATGTTAGCTTTACCAATATTGAGAAGTAATAAATTCCCAAATGCATGTCTTAATCTATGTAATTATATATAACTTTAGTGAAATTGAAGCCATACATTTCTAGTTCAAGTTAAACAATCAAATTTCCATATTGTTGAATAGCTAAACAGATTTTATGCTTATGATATCCCTTAAGAACTTGTTAATGTACATTTTACAATGTTGTGTTCCACAGAAAACATTGACTTATGTCCAGGTAAACAGATGCCAGAGCAGGGAAGAATATTATGGGAATGAGTCTTTATTTTCATAAATTCTCATATAATTTTAACACAGGTGAAAAAACATGTCTCATTTCTCTTAAGATTTATCTTTTCTAAGTAAGTAGTATTTAGAATTCCACATCATGTTGCTGTATCTATTGCTATGCAGTTGAGCAAGTTAGATTGTAAGGAAATAACTGCATTGGAGAGAAGAGAAAAACAACAGACACATAATCACCTAAACTTTGGACAAATCTCTGAAATGGAAGCCAATCTAGCAATGAAATCACAATGAAATTATAAATTTATGGAGGAAAAGCTGGGAGGTTAATTTTACCCTTTAAAACCTCAATGAAGCACAAAATCAGGGGAAAAACTAATAATTATGACTAAGAGTTGTAAGATTTGGAACATCAACTCAGCAAATGAAGACATTACCACATGGCAGACATTAGCCAATAAAAGGCATCCAATCACTCTAAAATGAGCTCGTAACACAAAATGTGAGCACTGTGGATTTCCAGAGAGGTGGTGCATTTATTAAAAAAAATCCATTTATTACTTTCTACAACTGAACTCATCCAATGCACATTTACTGAGCATAGACAATGCGTGAAGAGCACAGACAATGGGCTTGCACTTTGTGTGAAGTGCTTAGGAGGATTAAAGAATGTGTTAGATACAGGTCCTGACCTTAAGGAGCTTACAGTTTTTTTAGAATGTGTGACTGAACGGAAAAGAGATGAATAAATAACCATAAGATAAGGTGAGACACCAAAGATAAAAAACAACTCTTATAAGAAGGCAGAAAAAGATGAGTGTGAGAAACTGGGGAGGAGGCGAAATTTAGGATGACCTTCAGGGAGGAGAAGAAACTGAACTGAGCTTTATGGCATGCATAATACTCTTTGATTTTTTTATTTTTAAAATTTCTTAAAGCATATGCTATATCACTACACTGAAAGTGCCACAAAATACACTTACAAGTGGCAATTTGATGTAAAACCAACACAGTTTAACATGTGAATCAAAGCATATTATATAGGAGTATAAAAAATTGGTGGATATGGGTGGTATAGCAGACAGAAAGTAAGTTAGTTTATGTACCAGCAACAAACCTCTCCTGTATCTCAGTGGCTTAACATCTTTACAGTTTATTTATTATTTATACAAAGTTGGCTGCAAGTCTGCTCACTCTTTAGCAACGGTTTGCCATGCAGTGTCTCAGGGACCTTCTCTCTGGTATTATCATAGAGCCTCCTCTGTGATTGCTGTATCAGGAAAGACAGTGCTAGTGGATTCATCTTGACCCTTAAATACTCTGGCCTGAAAGTGATATATGTGGCAATGAGTCACAGGACATTGGCCAAAATTAGTCACATAGCCGTGAGTGTCTTCAAGTGTTCAGAGAAGTGTAGTCCTCCTGCATCTTCAGATGGGGTTGGACGCAGGTGGGATGTGGCAGAAGATGAGGTTGGAATGTCAGGATTAAATCAGATTCTGAAAGACCTAATGTGGTTTGATAAGAAGTTTCACCTTGGTTTTATATGTAGTGGAAAAACAAAGGTTTTGAATAGGGAAGATACAATAGGCACTGTGTAGAAAAATGACTTTGGTAAAAAGCACAGAGTTGTTTGGTGGTAGGCAGAATCTTTAGAAGACTCATGAAGAAGCTGGAGCAAGTAATAGTGTTCAAACCAACACAGTATTAAATAGCAGTATGCCTGGAAAGGATGAAATGGATTCAAGAAATTTTCACAGGTAGGTTTAATTGGAACTACTTGATACAATGACTGAAGGAGAAGGAAATGTTAAATGTAATTCACCTTTCTTTCTTGGTTTACTGAGTGGGTGGTGATGTTAACTGATGAGATAGCCATTTACCCAGAAGCAGCAGAAGGCTTGGGGTAAACTTGATTGTGATCCTTGCAAGAAAATCACCTGGAGATACTGACCAAGCAGTCACAAATACATTTTTGAATCAAAGAAGAGAGGCTAGAGCTAGACATGGAGATATGGAAATACAGTAGTACCCCCTTATTCTTGGGGGATATGTTTCAAGACCTCTGGTGGATGCCTGAAACAAAAGACAGTACTGAACTCTATACGTACTATGTTTTTTTCCCTATACATATATGTCTGTGATAAAGTTTAATTTATAAATTGGGCACAATAAGACATTAACAATAATAATGAATAATAGAACAATTATAACAACATACTGTAATAAAAGTTCTGTGAATGTTTGCTCTCTCTCTCTCTCAAAATATCTTAATATTTCCAGGCCATGGTTGGCCATGGGTAACTGAAACCCTAGAAACCAAAACTGCATATAAGGAGGGGCTACTGCACTTGGCCTCAAGATGACAATGGAGGCTGTGGGGTTTCCCGGGGAGAAGAGGCTGAGGATGAAACTCTGGGAAACCTTCACTGTGTGAAAAGGTGGATGCAAAGCCCAGGTCTGTTCATTTCTAGAACAGAAGCTTTGTATTAGACTAGGGCTGCTGTAATGGAGTACCACAAATGGGGTGGCTTAAACCACAGACACTGTCTCACAGTTCTGGAGGATAGAAGTCTGAGATTAAGGTGTTGGCAGAGTTGGTTCCTCCTGAGGGCTGTGAGGGAGAATCTGTTCCATGCCTCTTTCCTGGCTTCTGGTGATTTGCTGGTGATCTTTGGTGTTCTTTGGCTTGTAGCTAAATCACTCTGATCTCTGACTTAATCTCCTTGTGGTGCCCTCCCTGGATGCATGTTTGTGTCTGCATTCACATTTCCCCTATTTATAAGGGCACCAGTCAGATTGGATTAAGGCCCGCTCTAATGACCTCAGTTATCTTGATCATCTGCAGACACTATTATTAAATGAAGTCACATTCACAGGTCCTGGGGTTAGAACTTCAACATATGAATTTTGGGGTAACAAATTCTATCCATAAAAGGCTTCTTCTACCCCTACTTCTAGCATGATTTGGAGTAGGGAGAAAGAAGCCAGACTGCAATAGGCTGATAATTAATAGGAGATTTAAAAAAAGCCAAGGCTGGGAATGTAAACTATTTATTTGGAACTATATCCATTACAAGTCAAATGATGAGGGCAGGGGCTCCATGGTTGATACAATTTCCAGAACAAACTACTTTACAGTTTGCCAAAGAATCATTCAAAGTCTATGGTATATTAAGAGTGCTTGCTTGCTGCAAGATTCTTTCTTCAAACTAAAACACATGGGCTTGCTTGTTTGGCAAAGAATGCATATATCCCTAGAATATGAGCTAGTAATCATTTGCTTTGCATTTAGTGTAATGTGCTCTTTTCTGATGAAACTTGGAAGTTTGAGTTTGAAAAATGATGTGTCTAAGAGAGTATGGACTAAGCAATTTTAGATATGGCAGAGCAATAAAAAACATTCTTGCCATAGATTCATTGGAGGTGCAAGGACAGAGATTAACCTTGGGAGGTATATTATAGCATTTATTTTTTCAAAAGAATGGAAAGACTTGGTATTTAAATTCTTGCTTTCATTTGAGGAAGGAAAAATATAAATCTTGGGATGTCTGAAAAATATTAAAATGTTCACAGAATTAACCATCAGTGATAATATCAAGTGTCACATTTCTACTCCATCACGTATTGGGAAAAACTAATGTAACCAAATGGTGGCATATCAGGATTTTTCCCTAAGCATTATGGTGTGTTAATTTTCTACCAAAAATTTTGGGTATTAATACGGGTATACAATTTTGTTTTGGGTCTTAGATGAGGTGGTTTTGTGATTTGCAGTTGGATTTAACATAAAAAACAAAGGAACTGAAGTATTTTTGTAACAGAATTTTAGTAGTATCTATCTTTCAATGACATTTGTTTACCCTCTTTTTTTTGTTTTAAAAATGAAACATGTTGAGAGAGAAACAATTGAATACATTTTTCCTAAACATTATACATTAAAATCAGTGATGCTTCTACAGCAATCATATTCTGAAAGAGCACTTTCATATCTTATGGGTTCTTTTATACAGTTCATATGAGTGGAATATACTGTTCTTGGGAAAAAATAATGATAATGTAGACAGATATTGAACTTATCTCTACTCTGATGAAAGTTCAGTGCTTGTAGCTGATTATGTATGATACGTTTTCCATAAACAGGCACAGAGTGACCCCATTGGAAATTGAGCTTGCAGGGTAATTGTGCTCAGTATTGTTTCCCTATCATGCATGCCTGATTATTCTTCCTCCAGTTGGTCTTGGAGACTTCACTGTTGCTTCTGAACCTGGTACTAGGTACCGAGACCTTTCTTTTTGGTTTGCCTTGTTTCGACAAGTGTAACAGCATCTCTCCTTATTTCACCCACACTTCTACATTATTCTGAAGGCAAAAGGATTAAAACTTGTTTTATGAGAAAACACTAAAAATGTTAACTCAGAAGAAGGTCTGTGAAAATAACACTGGACTTGGGATCAGAAAACTTAGAATCATTTAGGTGTTATTTAGCCTTGTTAGTCTACTTATGCGCTGCATTCTTGGACAAGATATTTGACTCCTTAGTAA
Source organism: Homo sapiens (assembly GCF_000001405.40). Lineage (NCBI taxonomy): Eukaryota > Metazoa > Chordata > Mammalia > Primates > Hominidae > Homo > Homo sapiens. The sequence continues at coordinate 93,254,613 of NC_000005.10, read as the reverse complement.
TTCATTAATTCAGTAAGCCATTAACTCATTCATCTACTCCTTTTCACCAAGCATTTATTGAATGTTCCCTGTGTATTAAGCACTGCGTTAAACACAGGATGGTAAGATACAAATCAGGCATTCCTTTAAAGGCGTTCACAGATAAATTAGGAGGATTTAAAAAATTATGATAGGAATGATATGTTATAATAGAGATAATCATTAGTAGAATGGAATGATTTCTATTGCTCTTTTTACTTTTATAAGTTTATGGGTCTAATTCTATAAAAGTTCTAAAAGTTATTCACATACCTTTTGACTTTGGGAAAAAAACAAACCTAGAGATACAAAGATAAAAAAGTAAACCTGTTCCTGTACTTAATGGGCTACTGGTTTAGAAGGAAAATGGATGGGTAACTGAATGCCTGTGTGTGCGCATGTGTGTGTGTATACCTCATTTGTGTCTTTGGAGTCCTTGGCCTACAGCATTCCTCCATTACTGCAGGCATCCTAGCTTGCTGGACTTTAATTCATTCAAAGTAAGGAATTTGAAGTAAGTGAGTGGCAGCATGTGTGGTGCTAGGTGGAGTAGGGAAAGAGAGACAAAACTTTGTAATTCTCATTTCCACATGTGGGTCAAAATGGCAAGGGAAGTCAGAAGGGCCAGAAAGCAATGAGACTCCAGAAAATTACTTGGTATTCCTTCCTTAACACAAAGAAAATTTATAAAAAGTGTAGGCAGTCCACGCCTTACAGAAATTTATGGCCAAAAAATGAGTCATAATAATGAATGTTTCTTGTTTTCTAAATGGCTATAGATGCCATTTAGGCCCTAGTAGAGTAATTACCTTATAAGACTGAAAATTCTCTTTAGACAGTCTTGATGGTTAATACATACTACTCTAGAAGTCTTCTTCAAATACTTTTCAACCATGGTTTTAACAAAAAGGAACTAATAATATTTCTACAGGTAGACTTTTAAAAAATGTAATAGAGATCATATGATTGACATATTTCCTGTGTTTAATCACACAAACATAATCCAACTGAGGAATTTCAGAGTTAATACAGTGAATTAGTTTCAAAGTATTGGAAGGGCTGGGGCACTGATTGAGTAAGTTTATCTAGAAAGTAGTACCTATATTAAGGCACTACTACCCATAGGCCTAGAAATCCAAAGGAGAAAGTAGTGTTACCTAGACTCCATATGCAGGTGAGATTGCCGAAGTTGAAATTGGGTTACCTGAGTAGAACTTGGAGCCACATATACCTATCATTGTTACGGCTGCTGAAACTGCCATTAGAAGCTGGGAATAAAATGGCCTCTTTCTTTCTTCAGTTTTCTTCCAGTGCCTGCCTTCCACTGGCAAAATCTAACAGAAAGTCAAGGGAACTTGGGAAATACAGCTTTGCTGGCTCCCTTTCCCTGAGGTACAAAAAAGGCAGAGAAGAACAAAGGAGGAGCCGGGAGATAACACCCCCTCCAGATCACATCTCATTGTCTCTTCTGTCTTTAATAATCTGTTAATTTTCCTGAAACTCTCCATCACTATGATGCAGTGAAGGGAAGAGTGAGTTACACTAAGGGAAGGAGCAAGATGTAACATAGCGACAGCTCCTGAAAGAAGAGAAAGGAAATTAGTCAGAAGGGTCTGAGAAGAGGGAAAACAGAAAAGGCATATGAATGGCAAGGGGTCAGATAAGAGTTTCGTCAAATGTATGCTTAATAGGGCTCAAACCCTTTGGGTTGGAGTAAAATGAAGGCTAACAGAAAAATCTAGTTAAAATTGTGGGGTTCATAGATGAGCGGAGGGGTTAGGTTAAGCTTGATACTTGCTTCAGTTTCTATCTTGAGAACTTTTCAAATTCCTTGAAGAAGTCCCATGTTTATCATGGTACAACACCAATATGGCAGCACATGATTGGTCAATTAGAAATGCTGAAGGAAGCATTAGTCAAGTGGATTAAATAATGCCCCTGGCTGCCCATGGCCCATGAGGTTATCTAGGGATTTCATAATTTCTGGAGTCTCCTATTATTAAGGGAATCAGTGCAATGCAAGAAGCCTGGGGTTGGGACATGGATGCCACAGAGTACAGGGAATGTGATATAGGAGGTTACCGCAGGATCTAAGGACTTTGGGAATAGTTGCTACCATGACCCCCACTTCCCCCTTTCCACATCCCCAACGCACCAGGCAGTACAAAGCACAAAATACTGGACACTAGAACAGGGTGCTCGATAACCTGATACAGAGGGGAACAGACCAGCAGAGGCCAGCAAAGACCCAGATGCTAGTATGTAAGTCAGAGGCCCTTTCACCATCACCATGAGAACACAGGATTATCCTTTTATACCCAGAGAGGATCTTGGGAAAGAGAGAAGGAGGTAAGATCACCTGAGAGGGAGAGAATCAGCTTTCGTACAGAGTTTTAATCAACCTTTTTATTTAAAAAAAGAAGAAATTGAAGTTCAAACTGGAAGATTAAAACATGGGTACACAAAGCAAGATAAGGTGAGTTACATGGCAGTGGGGGGATTTCATACTGTAGAAGCTTATTCTTTGTTATGTCATGTTTCTGATATTATGAAAGATGTACTACTTATAAGTACATAATTGGTTATAATGAAAGTCAACAACATTTTTCCAATTGAACCCTTTTTAGAATAGAAAGTTTAAGATTTCAGGCTGGGTGCAGTGGTGCCAGCCTGTAGTCTCAGCTACTCAGGAGGCTGAAGTGGGAGGATCATTTGAAGCCAGGAGTTCAAGGCTGTAGTGTGTGATGATTGTGCCTGTGAATAGCCACTGCACTCTAGCCTGGGCAACATAGCAAGACCCAGTCTCTAAAAATAAACAAATAAAAGATTTCAAACGGTCTGTGATATATAAAGTAGAATAGTCTCAGAAAATTAATTACTTTCAAATTATTGTTATTTATTATTTCCTGTGATATAACATAGTTAAAGCTAATTTTCAGGAGGAAAGTTTCATTTTGTAATTATTCATTATTTACACTCTGATGGGGATGGGATTTGGTATTCTTAAGACTCTACAGAAAACATGACCTTTTGTTCCGAGAAGCTCATAATTGAAAGTGATTCATTTATTTGCAAACATAGGATTATTGTAGGAACAAAAGGATAGTCTTTATTAAAGTTTATAAGCCAAAGGATATGAGATTATTTCCATCCATCCCCATCTTTCCATAATGCTTTTGTAATGGGAACGAATATTAAAATGATCCATTCTTGTCTAAAAAGGTTATATTCAGATTTGGACAACTTAATAAATAATACAGAACTCCTAGATAACCCACCAGCCATGGGGTCTTGACCCCAGAGGTGTCAAGCCACTTTGAAGTAATCCAAAAGCGCATCAATTGTATTTTTATATATTTTATTTATGTTAGTGTGAACTACCATATTAAACTGCATTAAATAACTACTTAAATAAGTAAAACAATAATTTAGAAGTAAAACCATTTTATGTTTGGGCTTAGACTCCTCTAAGCAATCAATACAGAGTAATTATTTGTGTCCATAAATGCATGATGATCTCAAAATGAATTCATTTATCGTTTTATGCATTAACTTCTCAGGCTGCTTGGGTATCATTCTCTGCTGGCTATTATATTATTGGGTCACCATTGTGCTAAACTGTAGGACATGTTAGCTGATAATTCCTGAAAAGTGCTTACTTTTGAAATAAAAAGCAAAGCAAAAAAAAAAATCAAGCCACAATGCTGACTGAAAAAAATATTCATATTTATATTAAAGCCCTTAGCTAGATTCTCAGACACATCACTGCTTAAAATGCAGTCACCTGACAAAAACAGTTCTAATTATTACCCCCTTGGGCAAACATTTTTCAGAGTGACTGGCTAAAATGCACTGCAGCTCATAATTTCTGTCTCTGACAGTGGAAGACATAACCTAGTTTCCTCTAATGCAAAAGTCTCTAATCTAGAGGGCAAGACCCTGCTCAGTATAACACTGAAGGGAGAAAATGCAATTTGAGCACAAGGAAATTGCACACATAGTTGGATAGTTCTACCACTCTCAGATTTTTTTTTCCTCCTCGGGTTTAAATGTCTTGTTTTATTTTATACTAAATTATGACCTGGCTGAAATTGCTATGTTTTTTTGGTCATATTCTGAAAACCTCTTACTATAAAAGTGAAGGTTATGCGATAGTTCCATACTTTCATTTTTTAAGGGGGTGGGAATGTTCACATTTTGACAGTTCAGCAGTGAAAATATTAAAAGTTACTGTGCTTGCTACAGCAATATTTTTTTCCTTTGAATAATAGCTCTTTTGTCTTGGCAAATGGGGCATATATACTGCATTAGAAAAAGGTAATTAAATCTTTTTGCAATGACAAAAGTGCAGATTTTTTGATCTGGACTAATCAGTAACAATTTCATTGTTGAACCTCTGAACGAACAAACTTTTATGATTGTTGGGAGAGGTGAATTAACCTCAAATTGTTCTGGTTCACTTCACAGGCGGTGGCTGAGTAATACATCGCCCTGAAACAACTGATAAGCCAGAACGAAAGAAGTTTCAGGGAAGTCAGTCAGAAGTCTTGGAAGGAATACAGCTATGGGAGGGCATAACTGGGAATTTTCATGAACAATTTTATTTCTGTGAATTGGAGAGTCATTGCCCCTTTCCCATCTCTTTCTGCTGACAGCTGCTGCTTACCTCCTTCCTTCCAGCTGGGAGGGCAGCCGCATGGCTGCGTATGCCGCTGACGCCAGGATGGCTCCTTAGCGAGCAACCAGGGCATCAGTTTCCTCCTGGAGACTGCACATGTCACCTTCACGTCTCATGCATCTTCCATCATTTATGTGAATATATCAAGAGGCTCTGGTAGAAGGCACTAGGCTATGAAAGTGCAGTCTAACTGGTGACTGAGAACAAAGGCTGCCTTCAGCTAGGAATGATTCGCTACTGTGGTAAAAAATACTTTCTTTTTTCCTCCAAAATGACTTTGAATCATAAAGATTTAATAAATAGCCTTCCTTATTCAGGAAATAAAAGTGAAAGGATAGCATAGAGAAAGGGTTATTTAAAGAAACTGATTTTGATAAACATTTATAAAATAATGGTATACAAAGGCTTGACAATATCACAGTATGAACTTGTAATTTCAGGAGGAAGATCTGTCCCCAACAATTCTCAAGCATGTCATCATAACTTATTGCTCCTGAATTCCTCAGCTTCCATCAGACAATAACACAATCTGATCAATCTTATCACTAAATACTGGGTGCCAGTTTGAACAAAATTAGGGTGAATTATTTAAAAGGTGATGTGACTATAATCTAACAGGTATCTTAAAATACCCTGTGTGGCTCATCAACCTGCTTATTCCAGTGAGTTAATAAAGAAATTTTATAGTACATCTCTAGAAAACAGAAACATCTATCTTAATTTTTCAATTATTAAATTATAAACATCAAACTTTTTTCTAAAAGATTTGTTTTCCTAACACTCTATATTGTTTATGTCCTTGGGAAGCAAATAAGAATTAGAAACAGGATTGGAAAGTAATTTGTGCTGAACTAACCCAGAGATGGTAGTGAAACACCCCCACCTCTCCCTTCCTCTGGCCTATCTAGGAAATTGGCCTGGTATCTACCAAGGTAGCACTGAAAATGTAGATAAATAACCCAGAAGCCCAGAATGGTTATTCTTGGTGCCAATTCACTGAAGCTCTGTTGGACAAAATTTTAAAGAAATTCAATTGTTAGACTGTGGACACATTTAGCCGTTCCTTCTAGATACGAAGAGTATTCTATTTTAAGAATACTCTTAAAAAAGAATATCTAATATATTTAATACTGTATTTTAAAATTAAGTTGTCACTAAAGAATACGTTTTTTGAATGCAAGAAAATAATTCATAGTGAAGAATAATTATATACTGAATACAATGCTCTGAAACTATTTGAATATTAAGCTTATCATTATTAATATTATTTAGAGTCCATAGGAATTTGTCACAATCTATTCTTTGTTCTATTTTAACCTCACAATGTTTTCCCTAGAAGAATTTTAGAAATAGCATATCAACAGGCTTGCTTTTAAGTGGTTTAGTCAGACTTGTCTTTCATAAACTTAATAGTTTCTAAATATTTCCAGGTTTGGCTGTCTGAATAGACATAATATTGTCAGCATAATTATGAATACTTTTAGAAATACTGTGTCAACAAGGTCTTGGATATTTTTTAACATGCCTCTATTAACTGCTTTAAAACACATAAAATTCTAAAAAGAATTTAAAAATTAACTAAAATTAATGGCCAATCCGTCTAGTACTAGTTTTATACCTACCATTTATTGAGGGCTTACTATATGCCAGGCACTTTTTCAGTATTATATGTGTATTATTTGGTTTAATCCTCAACATAATCCAATGAGAAAGTTAGCATTATTAGATTCATTTCTCTAGAAGAGGAAACAGAGCTGGAGACAGGATATGTAACTTGTGCAAAGGCATGTAACTGGTAAGTAGAAGTAAGTATAAAAACCTAGGTAGCCTGATACTGTGTTCTTTGCACTTTTATTCTGTTTACTTCTCCTTGTTAATATTGACTCAAAGGTATGTTAATATATGAAACTTTTTGAAAAAAATGTAGGAGTAAAACTCAGTGATAGGAAAAATAAAAATGGCTTTGTAATCCAATGATCATGGTTTAAATTTGAAGCTTAAATTTGAAGCTTGGTAACAGTGTGGGAATACATTGCACCTTCCTAAACAGAGCCACAGAATATGCCATTTTCGTGCGGGAATGCTAAGTAAGAGACACAGAAGTAAGCGACTCAACAGTTCCATAGACAATGGGAACGTTATATTTTTTCTCCTGCATATTAATGAGATTTCTATGTTAGAACAAAATAACATAATACATTTAATTAAAATCCTGACATACTGATACCAAAGCTAATATTATATACTGAAATTATTTTTTAAAATAGATTTTTTTTTTGAGAAATGAAAACATGGCTTTTTTGGAAAAATACTTATTGGAGTTTCACTTTTTGATTAAACTAATAAATAAATTCCATGATGAAAATTACTTTGATAAAACTGACCTAAGATGTAATTTGAAGAATTAAAAACTGTATGAATTATGAGTTTTCCAATAAGAATTTTATTTTGACCTAAATGATATCCAATAGATCAAGTTAAACCTTGGTACGTTTTTAACATAACAGAAGCACCTTGGCCTCTCAGCTGGTGTCAGACAAGAAATACTTTGTGAGGAGCCTTTATCTAACAGAGTTAGGCTACTGCAGTTGCCTGAGGTCTCCTTGGTCTACTCGTGACTCTCTACTACTGGCAAAGATAAAAGCACAAAAAGTGGAAGTTTCTTCTGAACAGACTATTTTCATTTGTAGACTTCATAAATGTCAGGAAGTAAGAGCAGAGGCAACTCATATCCCTGATTCTTTTTTAGTAATAACATGCAGCAACTAAAATCCTGCTAAAATTTTTGTCAAAAATGAGAAAACATGTATCGTTTCTCACATTTGTTCTTGGGGAAAAGCAATTATTATTTTGTTATTAGAACCTGTAAAATAAAATATCGGTGAAATCCATGTATACAAATCGGTGCAAAACAACACAAAATTTGCATAAATGTCCCATCAACGGGAACAAACTTCTCACAATTTCAAATTCACTTTCTTCAGTGAATTTTATCTTTCCTATCAGATCTAAATGGTCATGCTTGGGAGAATTTATTTTACACATATATGCACACATACATACAACAGAGAGTGGTTTGGGATTTTAATTAATAAAATGACCAAGGCCAGCAATTACTATTTTATTTAGCATTTTACTTCAATCAAGTACTATTTGTGTTTTCTACTCACTTCTGTATAGACCACAGTAAACATGTGGAAGGCATTTTGCATGGCAAGTTTGTGTACTGCAATTTTTGAGCAATGCAAACATCCCCCTTAAATAAACGAAAACAGATCCCAGAAAGGGTATGCTTCCAACACATTCCCCAAAGATCTGAGTGCCGCTGTGCATTCTTGCTCAATTTAAACAAACTAAACTTCAGTTAGTCTCCCCTCCCCTAATGGGCACCCCCACTGGGAACATTGTTAGGTTACCACCATGGACAAGGCCTCAGTACAGCTGGATATGTAAACAAGACCATAATCCGCATGAAAGAACTCTCAGAGTTTTGGCAGCACTCACAGTGTTGTTAACATATTGTGCCAAAGCAATAACAAAGCCATCATTTTTAAGTTTGTTCACGGATTTGTATTAATCAAGAAATTTTCCAGAAATTACTTCTAAATGAGGAAACTTCCAGAAAGTTACCATTTGGCAAGAAGGCTTCCAGATGCCTTTTTTTGCTTATCTGCAACATATTTTTCCAAATAAATTACAAGTTTGTGGACGTTCAGTTGAGACAGAAAACACATTGCTGCTGTGTTGGCGGAAGGAGGCTCTCTTCAGTTCATTCCCTGCCTCATCAAAGCCTGGCTAGTGCTTAGATCATTTTTTCTTGTTAAGGAGGAGGTGGCCAGGCCATCTAACTTAGTATTCTGGCAGTAAATATTAAGTATTGATATTTGAATCAGAAAAGCATTGATTAGATTACAGTTAGAACTGCAAACTAAGCACTTAGGAAAAGACCAAGAGAAGGCTGCCGGACCTTTGTTAAAATTTAGTTTTTGGTTTTTATTCGCATATTAGGTGACTGATCTCTCAAATCCAGTGTTTTTCAATGTAAACTCTATTTTCAAAAATTGTGCAGAAGCAAGGCTTCTGTGAACAACTGTGACTGCTCTGTAGGAAAAAAGAGGCAGGGATAACAGTACAATTAAAGATGGCTAGTAGGACAAACCTAAAAGTTTCATTCTTCAACACTGTATCCTTCTTTAAATATTTACAGTAGTTTTTAAATGTGGTTTTTAAAATCCTGGGCAAAATAAACTTTTAAAGTGTGCTTAATATTTAAAATACATGTGCCTTACAGAGGGCACATGTGTGGCTCCAGTGATGGTTGCTGTATGTGGGCTCACAGACTTTGTGTTGAGAGTTGAAGATTCATGAGTGGGTTTTTCACCAGTGGTCTTGGAAATTATGGGTCACTTCAGGAGATCCAGGTCAGTCCACCAAAAGCTAATCCAAGCTCGAATGGCCAAAGTGGCCCACGCAACTGGGCAAGCATGTCTGGCTTAGCTTCAAGTCTGCCCAGGAGTCTTCAGGATCCAAGCCAAAAGAAGTCGCTTGCCTCAGGTTTTGATTGTATTTAATCATTTATTCATGCTTATGATACCCTCTGGATGACACTTTTATCATAACAAAGGAAACTCTTCAAAATAATAACTAATAGTAAATAAGCTCTTTCTCCAGCTGAAGACCACCCCTAACTCCCAAACTAATCTGAACTAAATACATCTTTGTTTCTTTTCATGGTGCATTGTTTTAAGCCCCAATATAGTATGTTTATATTCTGCCTTGTTTTAAAGTTACTTGTGTTCACTTCTTACCTTTCCTTTGACAAATGTACTGTTCCTGGCTGTCTCCCCAAGTATCAAATATGGGGCTTTGCACATAGTGGACTTTGTATGGATGCTTATTTAACTGGTTTGAGAGTATTTGCTGTTTCTGAAAACAAAACTCCTTCTCCAAACACACAGCACTTGGAAGATACTTTAACTTATTGAGACTACCAATGTTCTACTGGGTCAATTTCTGCTTCATTTGGGTTCGTGATACCCCAGCACCCTCCTAGAAAACTATTTTACTTACTTACGGAGGGATCTTCTAGTATATGATGAGTAACAGGAATTGTAAAGATATGAAACAATAACAGAATCATAGCTTCAATTTCAAAGTTTATAATTGTTATTCAAGAAACAAAAAGGCTAGGTGAAGTCTTCATGAGCTTTTTGAGAATTAGCATTCTTTTCACAAAAGACATAGACTTGACTTTTTCTGGGTATCTGACTGTGCATTAGCTTGGTTTATCTCTGACGTGTTGATGCTGATTATTTTTTCTGTGTATGCAGTTGCTTCTCTAAGCAATATTTACTTAGTCTCTACCTTTGAATTAACTCCTCTTTGAGGGGTCCATTGCTATATGAAATTGAACTCACACACCTAATTCCACAAGACAGCCTTCACATGAGAAAAATACTCTTGTTTCTGCTATTTCTGAACCTGTGATGCGGTGGCTTTTTCTATTTATTTACTTACTTATTTCGCTTTTCTTTCCTATTACCAGCCAAATCACTTTACTCATGTGGCTGTATGGGCTTAAATCACCCAGAATCAGTTTTTCCAAATATTTCAAAAATTTGACTGAAGGCGAAGTAAATCAGTAATCTGGAAGTTACTCTCTCTTTTGTATTAACAGAGACTTAGCTTCAGCACCAAAGCCAATGATAAATAAATTAAAATATTATTTCCGGCAATAGGAGTTATCTTTAAAAAGGGATTTCTTTAATTACATCCTTGAAAGGAATCATATTTAATTTCTACCAGAAGCTACATCAAGGTGCATTCCAAGGGTGAATTCAAGAAACATACTGGAAAGAAAAATAGCTGGACACACATAGCAAATATGATCTAAATTCTACTAGCTGAATATTCTCAAAGCTGTGTGGATCAGGGGGCCCTTGTTGAAGATCCAGAGGAAGGATTCCCTGTCAGTGGGGAAGGCTAGTGTGATGGCAGCTTGTCATTTAAGGTTTGAATCACAAAGCCTTTAGGGTTGCCTCAGCCATTTTTAGGTAAGATCTATTATTTACTAGAAAGAGAGATAAGAAAATAAATAAGCATTGCTCACAGTCAACCAATGTTAAAGAAGTTCTTCCCAGTAAACAACAGTTTGCAAAAGGTGTGAAGGTCTCTAGTTGTTTTTCATGTATTCAAAAAGCAAAAATGAGTCCTGAAAAGCTGAAAACTTTGACACAGTGATGTCAATTAGCAGAGGAAATGGCAACTTCCCATCTTAGTTATTTTTACACTCCTGGCATCCAGTATCCCTTCACAATTTCTACTTAAAAAATGCTTCCTGGAGTTTTGCTTTAAAAGTGATAACGCAATGAAACAAATATTTGTCTACTTACTCTATCCACAATTTCAGGATAAATGTAAAAGATGGCCACTTTCTATAATATGTTACTGATTACACTGTTTGATGAAAGTTCTAAGGGGATTCAAGATTCTAATAGAAATGTCAAATTATAGAGGGAAATTAAAGTGGCAATTGTGGACAGTAAGTAGGAATAGTGGCAGGGATTGCAAACAGAAAAAGGGGGCTGCTCTAGGTGACAAAGTAAAAGTGTTGTGATGAGAAAACACACACACAATACCACACACACAATACCACATACACACTATGAAAACTATCAGTCCCTTAATCTCGCCAAAGGAAGATGAAATTTCTGTAGGCCAGGGAGGGAGGAGTCACTGAAGGAATGGATATTTAACAGAACTAACAAAACGGCAGGTTATCTTTTGTTGGGGGAAGGAAAGGCATTTAACTAGAAATTTGGAAGAAAGTTAGATTGATTTGTTGTTTATGTTATGTATTTTTTAATCAGTATGATAACTTGCAGAGTGATCTGGAAACACAAGTTCCTAATAAAGTATTTCTGTGATCACTCTCTTAGCTTAATAGCGTGCTCATTTTAATTAATTAACTGATTATTCAGTTAATACCTGCTATGTGTTCGGTACTATATTTGGGCAATAATTGGTCAAAACAGAGAAGGTCTCTGCTTTTATGGAATCTATATTCTGTTGGGGAGTAAATAATAAATAAGAAAATTCTATTTAATTATAAATTATAATAAGTGCTAGTTTCATAACCTCTGATCTAACTCTCATAAGCTATAAACCAAGTAGTGCTTAATCTTGTGTGTGCCAAGTTCTTTTCCTCATTTATTGTTATTTAACATTTATTCAGCATTCATGAGCACTGTGTTAAAATGCTTTGTGCATTATTTAATTCTCACAATTAATTTAAGGGATATGTACTATTGTATATACAATATATAGTACAGTTAAATAATGTTCCCAAGGATATACTGCTAATTGGAATAGGGACTGGATTCAAATCTAGGACTATTAGTCTGTAGAGCTTTTGCTCTTAATAGCTTTGCTGTACCATCTCTCCGATAGGAGGATAAGAGCTAGAATTCAATATGTTAATATTTCTAATGAGTTGACACTTCGTCATATATATTTAAATCTATGAACAAGCACAAGGAATTAGTCAAGGGAAGAGAATTTCTCCACCCAGGGTCATCCTTACTGTATTATTTCTCTTGTCATACAGCTGGGCTGTTGAATGTTGCTATTGAAAATCACAAAACTGTTCCGACTGGGATCCGTACAGAGTCATGCTTTCTAATTTTGTGGCTGCTCACAATTCTTTTGCTGACACCCTATCACATTTCCTACAGCAGCATTTCCACCCCATCCTCCATCTCAGCAAAAGCCTTTACTTCCGATTTGACTGAGATTAGTGTTTGTAAATGCACACTGTTGGGGGAACCCTCTTCCTAGTCCTTGTTTCCATGTTTCCCAGGAATGAACACTAGTGGAGCAGCACTTCCCATTTCCCCCCACTCTTTACTCTTATCCCCCATAAGAGTAACCCTTACTCTAATATCGTGCTATTTTAACTCATTAAAATGAGTTTAGTTAGTGATTTTAAAATGAGTGATTTAGCTACTTGTTGGTACTGGGAAAATCTGACGTCCATAGGTCCACATTCTTTTATAGGGCAGGTTGGATGTTTCAATTCACTGTTCCCTTTGGTTGCAACTTCCTCTATGTCTTCCAGAGTAGCCTGTTCTCAGAGTAAATGTATTATCTTCTTGCCTGCACATGACAACTTACTGGGGCAGGCACAGCACCACAAAACATCTGTTTATTCAGCGTGTATCAGCACTGGCAAAATACATCCATGCAACATTTACTCTCTGGCACTTACTGAGCAAGGCTCCGAGACGTGTACAGAAATGTCTAGGACCATTCTGGCCCTCAAAGATTTTACATACTGATTGGCAAATTAAGGCAAATAACTATAAAATAAAGCCTATAAAAAATAAAATGTGCATGTTTCTAAAAGTAGTGTAAACTACAATATGTGTAATTCTAGAGAAATATAAATAAGAGATGATCAAAAGGAGAGGTCACTTTCAATGGGATGATCAGAAAAATATTCCAAGTTCCATAATCTGAACTTTACAAACATCTTTGATTTTATACATCACCACTCCTTTATGAGAACAGGAAATAGTGTCTTCTATGTTTCAATTAATTCTCACAATAATGCTATGAGGAGGTATGTTTATGTCAATTTTATAAACACAAGGCCACCTAAGAAATTAAATTTTGAGAAGTTAAATGAGTTACTGAAAATCACATGGTTAGTAACTGGTAGAAAAGGAAAGCCCAAGTTTACCTATTTCGATGTCCATATTCTTTTCTTAAAACCAGACCACTTTCCAAACTGTCTGGTGTAGGATAAGAACACTGGGTAAGATTGAGAAGGCCAGGGTTTGAGTCCTGGGCCCACTGTGTCCTAGATGTGTGATCTTGGACACTTCATCTCTCTTTAGTTTCTTTATTTTCATCTTCAGTTTCTTTATTTGTGAGAGACAGAGACAAAAATCCCTGCTGACTCCAAGAACTTTGGAAAAGTTAAGATAAGATAGGGCACCTGTTTGCTAGTATTTTGAACCAGAACTTTTTTTTAGCTAGGAACTGTGTAGGTAACTATACCCTTCTTTCAAAAGCATGAAAGTAGATTGGGATCCTTGGAACCAGACTGTGAGATGGGAAGTTGCATGCACAAGCTGAAGTTTTATTGGAGAGTGGTTTTGGAAGATAACTTAAAAAGAAGTAATCAGTGAAGTACTGGATAGAGTGAGAAGCTGAAGTGTGGCTGCAAGTGAGGTCTCCATAGATCTTAGCAGGAGCTCTGAGGTTAAATGGGCCTTCAGAGTTGACTCAAATTGAAACAAAGGCGCCTGGGCCTCTATTTCCCTGAATAAACTAATCATTGCCTGTGGGTTTCCCCTTGGGAGGGGCTGTAATCCTGTGCAGCTGCAGGCAATCACCCATGAGGGGTATAGAAGTTGATATTGATAGTCCCAGCAGCTTGAAATGGGTGCATTAGTCCCGAAGAGGCTGGGTGGGTCACTGTAGGAACCACTACAACAACGTAAAACACTTAGAGCCGCATCACTTTCATCATGCTCTCTCTCAGTGCTTGTGCCTGCATCTGAGGCCTTCTAACATTATAGTACACACCATTCATTTGGCAATTTTTTCCCCACCTAAACTGTGGTTACAGGGTCCGATCTTACATCTTTGAGTTTTCAGGGTCAAGGAGAGTACTGACTATAGGTAGAAGCAGTTCAGTTGATGTTTGTTATTGGTGGTGTTAATGGTGATGATAATATGCCAACTACACTGCTGAGTACTGAGGGATCTGGAAAAGAAGATTAAGGCATGATCCGTTTTATTTGACAAATATATTAATCATAGATCAAAACTAAGTGATATGAAAGAAGTACTACAATAAACAAAGTAACTGACACTCAAATAAGACCTCAAGATATTTGCGTAGAGCAGATGAATGAATGAATTGGATAAGAGGACAATCAGGAACAACAATGACTGCAGGCTGGGAAGTGAAGGATTGTTGAAGATGGTAGTCTTGAGCTTGGCCTTGAAGTATGGGTGGCATGGAAATTAGAGGAAGGTTGAAAGAGAATGCAGTGGGGTTGATAGGGGAATATTTTCAGGCAGGAAAATCTCAGACATGAGAGCAGATTTGGGTAATCACAGGGGCATGTGAGGACACTTACTTGCTTGGGGTGAAGTGTATGGGGGTGTGAACTGCAGGAAGCAAGACTCAATAGGGAGATTGGAATAGATTGGGAAGGGCTAGAGGAGTTGACGACACTGAATCATGATGGAGCCCTGAGTTGGGGAGTGAAAATAGAAAAATGTATTTTAAGAAGTGCAGTGCTCAGAAAGGAGTGGAGGAAAAATCAATTAGAGGCAGAGAGACCAGAAAGGAGGTTGCAGCAGCATTTAAATATAAGTGATGAAAGCCAGAACAAGGGTGGTTGAAGTTGAAATGAAGAATAAAGGTAGAGTTTATCTCCAGGAAGGAAAGATAGGACTTAATAACACACTGATGTTTATCACTTCTTTATTCCTCAAATCCAAGGATGTTGCTAAAGATCAGTCAAAAAGAAACTTTGAGTTTCTGAAGTATTTATTATCTTAAAAAATACCATTATCCACAATGTCTATGATCCTAAAAACATTAAGACGTACCTATATAACACAATCTGAATGACTACTTTGACTGGACTGACCAGGTTAGTTAACTCCTAACCCAATCACTTCACTCAAACAATGAGCCAATTAGTATCTGCCGTCTGTATAACATTTCTCAGCGTAATTTAAAATGTGAACACACTTGGCAAAGTGGTCAGTTAATAATGACTCAATTTCACAGAAACATTTAAGCCGATTGTTTAGCATTTGTATATATGTAAATGTTACACACACACACACACACACACACACACACACGACCAAAGTTAGGTCACTAATTTCCTGATTTAATTTTGCAGTGACTTCCTGGTACCATATGACCTGGGTTAAAAGAGCATATTCTTTGTAAATGCAGAAACGGATATATGATGTATATATACATCATGGCATGTATCATGAGTATGAAAATTTTGGCACTATTTTAGACGTCCAAAGTATATTAGACTAAATTCATTTTTGCCTTGTCTTTCATTTTTCCTGGATATGGTTTGGATCTGTGTCCCTGCTCAAATCTCATGTTTAATTGTATTCTTCAGTGTTGGAGGTGGGGCCGTGTGAGAGGTGATTGGCTCATGGAGTTGGTTTCTAATGGTTTAACACCATCCCACTGGGTGCTGTTCTCATGATATTGAGTGAGTGCTCATGAGATCTGGTTGTTTATAAGTGTATGGCACCTTCCTCCATTCTCCCTTCTGCTCCAGCCACATAAGACGTGCCTGCTTCTCCTTCACCTACCACCATAATTGAAAGTTTCCTGAGGCCTGCCCAGAAGTCATCATGCTTCCTGTACAGCTTGTGGAACTGCAAGCCAATTAAACCTCTGTTCTTTACAAATTACCCAGTTTAAGATATTTCTTTATAACAGTGCGAGAACAGACCAATACATTCCTATTTTAAATTGCTGCATAATTTAATGGAAACAAAGCATATGAGTCTACTTAAACAGTGACTATTCTGAATGAACCCTTAATTTGGAGCAATGTAAAATTCAAAATCCATTCTTTTTATATTTTTACACATTTTAAATGTAAATGTCTGCACACATTAATTTATTCTTTACTTTTTATATTACTGATTTATTACATCACTATGTATATAAAAATAACATATTTAAAATTTATTATATGTGTGGAAAAATACAACCTTTGAGATTAGTTTTTGCTCATGTATATTGCTTCTTTTAATGCTTTCAATTCACTTCCCATTTTATACTGTTAGGCAGACATTTTGGAAACAAGATGCCTAGTTTTCATTCTTTACGATTTTTGATGTCTCTGTGTTTTATTTTTTGTAAAAGATACCAGCCATTATGTTGGGCTACATATTAAAGTTAAGTTTTTGTTGGGCATGGTGGCTCACATCTATAATCCTAGCACTTTGGGAGGTCGAGGTGGGCAGATTGCTTGAGCCCAGGAGTTTGAGACCAGCCTGGGAAACATGGTGAGACCCCATCTCTACAAAAAATACAAAAATTATCTGGGCACAGTTGCATATGCCTGTGGTCTCAGCTACTCAGGAGGCTGAGGCAAGAGGATGGCTTGAGCCCAGGAGTTCGAGGCTACAGTGAGCCGTGATGGTGTTACTGCACTGTAGCCTGGGTGACAGAGTGAGACCCTGTCTCCACTAAAATAAAAATAAAATAAAATAAAATAAAATAAAATAAAATAAAATAAAATAAAGCTTTTTATTTTGAGATAACTGTAAGATTCACATGCAACTGTGAGAAATAATATAGAGAGTTCTTGCCTACTTTTTACCCATTTCTCTCAATAATATCTTGCAAAGCTATAACATATAATATCACAACCAGGGCATTGACATTGATATACAATAGTCCTTCCTTTATCCTTGGCTTTGCTTTCCACAGTTTCAGTTACCTGTGGCTAACCATGGTCTGAAAATATTAAATGGAAAATTTCAGAAATAAACAATTTATAAGTTTTAAATTTTGCACCGTTTTGAGTAGCGTGATGAAATCTCTTGCTATTCCATTCCAACCTGCCCAGGACATGAATCATCCCTTTGTATATGCTATCTACCTTAGTCACTTAGTAGCTATCTTGGTCATCACATCAACTGTAGTGGTATCACAGTGCTCGCATTCAAATAACCCTTATTTTACTTACTAATGGCCCCAAGGCACAAGAGTAGTGAGGCTGGCATATTGTAATTGTTCTATTTTATTATGTTATTGTTAACTTCTTACTGTGTCTAATTTAGAAATTAAACTTTACCCTAGCTGTGTATGTTTTGAACTATCCATGGTGTCAGACATCCACTAGGTGTCTTGGAATGCATTCCCCGAGCACAAGAAGGGACTACTGTAGTCAAGGTATAGAACATTTTCATGACCACAAGGATCCCTCATTTGGCTCTTTTGTAGCCACACTAACTTCTCTTCTGCTTCCTCCCCTCTTCTCTTTTCCCCCAAAATGGCTAGTGATGTTGAACATTTTCTCATGTGCTTATCTGCCATCTGTATATTATCTTTGGTGAAAGCGCTCTTCATGTCTTTCACCCCTTTTTGAATTAGATTGCTTGGATTTTTACTATTGAGTTTTAAGGGCTTTTAAAATATATTCTGAACATGATTTGTTTGTTGGATATGTAGTTTTTAAATATTTTCTCCCATTCTGTAACTTGTATCTTAATAGAATCTCTTGCACAGTAAAACTTTTTAATTTTCATAGTATCCAGTTTACCAATTTTTCCTTTTATGGATCATATTTTTAGTGTCAAGTCTGAGAACTCCTTAGTGAATCCTAGATCCCAAAGATTTCCTTCTGTATTTTTCTAAAAGTTTTATAGCTAAGAATTTTGCATATAAGTCTATAATACAGGTCAGATTAGTTTTTCTGTAAGATGTGAAGTTTATGTCACAGTTTTTTTGCCTCTGGTGGTCCAACTGCTCTACCACCTATTGAAAAGTCTGGCTTTTCTACACTGAATATCTTTTGGCTTTTTATCAAAAATCAGTTGAGCATTTATATGTGGGCTATTTCTGAGTTCTCCATTCTGTTGCATTGATCTCTGTGTTTATCTCTTTAGCAATACCACACCATAGCTGTGTGGTAAAACTTAGTATTCAGCAGAATCATGTCTCCCACTTTATTATTCTTTGTCAAGATTGTCTTAGCAATTCCAGTTTCTATTTTTCCCATAAACATTTTAGAATTATCAGTGTATACATCTATAAAACATTCTTGCTGAGATATTAGTAGGAACCAATTTGGGGAGAACTGATACATTTACTATTTGGTCTTCTAATCCGTGAACATGGAATGTCTCTCCATTTATTTAGACATTGTTTGATTAGTGTTGTGTCATTTTGAGTATACAAGTCCTGTAAATATTTTGTAGATTTATATCTATTTCATTTTTGAGCAATTGCAAATAGTATCATATTTCTAACTGCAGTGGTCACACATTGATTTCTGGCATATAGAAATACAATTTATTTTTCTGTATTTATTTTGTGTCCCATGACCTTGATGAACTCATTTATTACTTTTAGGAGTTTCTTTCTTTCCTCCTCCTCCTCCTCCTCCTCCTCCTCTTCTTCCTTCTCCTCCTTCTCTTTCTTCTTCTTCTCCTTCTCCTTCTCCTCCTCCTCCTCCTCCTCCCCCTTCTTCTTCTTCTTCTTCTTCTAAGATTCTTTGGTATTGTTTATGTAGACAAGCATGTCATCTGCAAATAAAGGCATTTTAATTTCCTTCTTTAGACTCTATAAGTATTCTATTTCCTTTTCTACCTTAATGCATTGGTTAGAATCTCCAGCATTATGTTGAATAACAGCGGTAAAAAGAGCCATGCTTGGCTTGTTCCCAATATTAAGGAACATTAGTCAGTCTTTTACCATTAAGTATGTTCTTGTAGGTGTCTTATAGGTGCTTTTTATCAAGTTCAGAAATTTCCCTGTGATCCCTATTTTTCTGTCAGTTCTTATTGTGAATTGGTGTTAAATTTTGTCAAATTCTTTTTGTGCATTGATTGATATGATCATATGAATTTTTCTTTAGCTTGTTAATGTAATGGATTACATTGGATTTTTTTCAAATTTTGGACTTTGCATCTTCAGCATAAACCCCACTTGGTCATGCTGTGTAATTTGTTTCATATATTGCTAAACTCTATTTGCTAATATTTGGTGAAGGATTTAATATGTATAGTCATGAAGCATATTGGTCCATCATTTTCTTTGTTTAGTACCTCTTTGGTTTTGGTATTAGGGTATTCTAGCTTAATATAAAGAATCAAGAAATGTTTAATCTTCTTTTGTTTTCTAGAATAGATTGTGTAGATTGTAGTTAATTCTTTTTTCCCCTAGTCATTTAAAAAATGTCTTATTAAAAAATTCATTGCAGTAAGAACACTTAACATGGAATCAACCTTATAACAAATTTTAAATATATAATACAGTATTGTTTACTATAGATACAGCAGATCTCTAGAACTTATTCATCTTTCTTAACTGAAACTTTATGCCTGTTGATTGGTAACTCCCCTTTTATTCCTCCCCCATCCCTTGGCAACCACCATGTTACCCTTTAATTCTATGAATTTCACTTTTTAGATTTCAGATGACTATTCTCATATAACTAGGATTCCAGTTATATACTTCCAATGCAATATTTGTCCTTCTGTGACTGTCTTATTTTATTTATCGTTGTGTTCCCCTGGTTCATCCATGTTGCTGAAATTGACAGAATTTCCTTCTTTTTAAAGGCTGAATAATATCCATTGCATGTATGTATCTCATTTTCTTTATCCAATAATCTGTTCATAATCATCTTGGCTTTTGTAAATAGTGCTGCAGTAAACATGGAACTGCTGATATCTCTTTAATGACAAGATTTCAATTCTTTTTGATAAATATTTGACAGTGGGATTTTGGGATCATATGGTAGTTCTGTTTTTAAGTTTTCTAGGAACTTTGATACTGTTTTCCACAGTGGCTGCATTATTTTGGATTCCCACAAGCCAAATACAAGGATTCTAATTTCCCTACCTCCTCACCAACACTTTCTCTCTCTTTTTTTTTTTATAGTAACCATCTTGACAGGTATGAGGTGATATCTCATTTGTAGTTTTGTGCATTTTGCTGATGATTGGTGATGTTGAATACCTTTTCATATGTCTGTTGGCCATTGGTATGCCTTCCTTGGAGAAATGTGTATATGCCTATTCAAATCCTTTACCTAGTTTTTAGGACTTTGTTTTTGTTTGTTTGTTTTTTGTTATTGGGTTGTAGGAGTATTCCTTATATATTTTAGAAATTAACCCCTTATCTGATATATGGCTTGCAAATATTTTCTCCCATTCTGTAGGTTGCCTGTTTATTCTGTTGATTGTTTCCATTTCCGCACAGAGCTTTTTAGTGTGATGTAATTCCACTTGTCTACTTTTAGTGTTCTAACCATAAATTCATTGCCAAGAACAATGTTATGAAGATTTCCCCTGTTTTCTTCTAGGAGTTTTATATTTTCTGGGATTACATTTAAGTCTTTAATCCATTTAAGTTGATTTTTATATATGGT
The DNA here is from genome assembly GCF_000001405.40 of Homo sapiens. Taxonomy (NCBI): domain Eukaryota; kingdom Metazoa; phylum Chordata; class Mammalia; order Primates; family Hominidae; genus Homo; species Homo sapiens. Next base: position 93,233,748 of record NC_000005.10, on the reverse strand, counting down.
ATAAGATAAGGGTCCAGTTTCGTTCTTTGTATGTGGATATCCAGTTTTCCCAATACCATTTATTGAAGAGGCTATCTGTTCCCTATCGTGTATTCTTGGCACCTTTTCAAAGATCAGTTGACCACATCTGTGTGGATTTATTTCTCAGCTCTATCCTGTTCTATTGGAGTATATGTTGTTCTTTATGCTAGTACTATACTGTTTTAATTACTATCACTTTGTAATACATTTTGAAATCAGGAAATGTGATTTTCCAGCTTTGTTTTTCTTAAGATTTGTTGGGCTATTTGGGGTCTTATGTGGCTCCATATCAACTTTAGATTATTTTTCCATTTCTGTAAAAAGTGCCATTGGGATTCTGACAGAGTTTGTATTGAATTTGTAGATTTCTTTGGGTAGTGTAGAAATTTTAACAGTATTACATCTTCCAATTTATGAAGTGGGTATGTATTTCCATTTGCTTGTGTCTGTTTAATTTCTTTCATCAGTATTTTGTGTTTTCAGTGTACAAATCTTTCATCTCCTTGATTAAATTTATTACTAAGTATTTTTTTTTGGTACTATTGAAAGTGAGATTGTTTTCCTAATTTTCTTTTCAGATAGTTCATTGTTATTGCATAAAAATGTAACTGATTTTTGTATGTTGATTTTGTATTCTGCAATTTTACTAAATTTATTAGTTCTAACAGTTTCTTAATTGAGTCTTTATGATATTCTCTATATAAAATCATAGCATTGGCAAACAAGGACAATTTTACTTCTTCCTTTCTGATTTGGATACCTTTTATTTCTTTTTCTTGCCTAATTACTCTGCTAGGACTTCCAGTGCCTGTTAACTAGAAGTGGTGAGAATGGGCATCTTTGCCTTGTTCCTGATCTGAGAGGAAAACTTGTCAGGTTTTCTACTTTGAGTATAATATTAGCTGTGGTACTTATTATGTTGAGATACTTTCCTTCTGTTTCTAGTTTGTCCCATTTCCTTCTGTGGATTTGGGAAGTATTCATCCATTATTTTTTTGAATAAGCTTTTTGATACTTTCTCATTTCCTTCATTTCCTTCTATAAGGTGTGTATTGGTCCACTTGATGGTCTCCATAAGCCCCTTAAGCTTTCTTTACTTTTTCCTTCTCTGATTGAAGAATTTCCAATGACTTGCCTTTGAGTTCACCAATCCTTTCTTCTGCTTTATCTAGTATGTTGTGGAACTCCTGTAGTGAATTTTTCAGTCCAGTTATTGTATTCCTCAGTTCTATGATTTGTTTGACACTTTTTAATGTTTACTATGGCTTTGTTGAAATTCTCACTTTGTTCATGCATGACCTCGTTTTCCCAACCTTGGTGAGCATCTTTACGATGGTTAGTTTGAAATATTTGTCAGGAATTTGGAACATATTTGCCTATTTCTTCATTTTCTTTGACTCTCTATGCTAGCGTTTATGCATTAGACAAAGTGATCTCTTCTCTCAGATTTCATGAATTGGCCTTGTGCAGGAAAAGACCCTCACCAATCAGCCTGGTCAGGGACTCTGTGGGCCCCCAAGCCTTCATTTTGGTCCAACTTGCTTTCTATGTTCTTTTCAGTACCAGGGTGTCTAGGGTATGCCTTGTCCTGTCAGTCACTGGAACAGGTAAGATAGAGGCCAGTTCTTTTGGCAGCCCTTGAAAAAGTTGAGGCATTAGATACACAGACCAATTATTTCCCTTTCCAGGGAGGATGTTAGTGGCTGTTTTTTGCTTTTTGTTTTGTTTTGTTTTTTGTCTGTTTGCTCTGTGCTGAGCTGGGGAAGGCTATGGTTACTACTAGCCCAAGTTGCAGTCTCTGTTCTCCCCCATTGTAGCTAGCTTATGCTGGACCTGTGAGTGATCTGAGACAGGCAAGACAGAATCCAGTTCCTTGTATAGCTTCTGCAGAAATTAGGATATTGAACATGCAGACCAACTCTTTCCTTCCCTTCAGAGAAGCTGGAAACTTGTGCATCACTTATGAATTTAAGGTGCTCTGCCAGGGATAGGAATTCTGGTGACAGGGTACCCAAATATCTGTACTAGCTTTGATAAGTCTAGTTTCATGTTCATCTGGGGTGCAGGAGCCTTACAATTAGTCTCTGGATTTCTCACAATATGAATTTGTCCAGAAATGGTTGCTGAATTGGTATATTCATTAGGTGAAGGAGGATTCAGGGCTTCCTGTTCTACCATCTTACTGACATCAGCTCTCTATTAATTCTTCTTTAGAAGTTTGGTAGGATTCTCCAGTGAAACCATATGAACTGCAAGAACTGGTGGTAGGGGACAGTCTTTAGATTACAGATTAATAGTTATAGGACTATTCAAATGGTCTGTTTCATATTGGATAAGCTGTAGTAGTTTGTGGTTTTTAAGAAATTGAATTATTTTATCTAAGTTGTCAAATTTATGTGTGTAGAGTTGTTCATAGTATTTCCTTAACCTTTTGATGTTTCCAGAGTTTTTAGTGATATCCTTTGCTTAATTTCTGATACTGGTAATTTTTCTCTTTTTCTTTTTCTCTCTTTATTAGAGGCTAGTCAGTTTTATTAAAGTTTTATAAGAAATAGCTCTTTGTTTCATTGGTTGTCTCTATTTTTTTTCTGCTTTTCATTTTCATTCATCTGCTCTTATTTTGAAGATGTACTTCCTTCTGCCTGATTTGTTTATTTTGCACTTCTTTCTCTAGGTTCCTGAGGTAGTAGTTTAGATTGTTTGAGACTTACTCTTTTCTAATATAACAATTTCGTGCTATAACATTTTCTTTTAGCCTTGCTTTAGCTGTACTCACAAATTTTGATATGTGTATTTTCATTGTCATTCAGGTCAGTGTATTTTTTGACTTCCCCGAGAATTCCTCTTTGACCCATGGGTTATTAGAAATTATGTTGTTTAGTTTCAAAGTGTTTGAAGATTTTCCTGTCTTCTTTCTGTTATTTATATCTACTTTGAGTCCATTATGGTGGGAAAATACACTCTATTTTTTCGATTTGTTGAAGTCTGTTTTACAGTCCAGAGTATGGTCTATCCTGGTATATAATCCACAGTCACTTGAAAAGAATGAGTGTTCAGCTGTTATTGGACGAAGTGTCCAGAAAATGTGAATTAGATCCTTTTGACTGATGATGTTGTTCAGTCTTTCTATATCCTTGTTGATGTTCTGTCTACTTCTGTCAGTCATTCTACAGGGACGTTGAGGTATCCAGCCTTATTTGGATTTGTCTATTACTCTTTTCAGTTTTACCAGTTTTTGCTCCACATATTTTGTAGCTCTGTTATTTGGTACATACACATTTAGGATTGCTATATATTTTATGTGGATTTACCTTTTTTATCATTAGATAATATTCCTCATAGTCTCTGGTCATTTTCTTTGCTCTGAAGTTGACTTTGTCTGATATTAAGTAGCTACTCCTGCTTTCCTTTGGTTAATGTTGGCATATCTATCTTTTTTGATCTTTTACTTTTAACTTACTTGTATCATTATATTTACAGTGAGTTGCTTTTAGACAACATATAGTTTGCTTATGTTTTTCAATCAACTCTTCCAATCTCTGTCTTTTCACAGGTATATTTAGAAAATTTATACTTAATGTAATTATTGATATATTTGGGCTTAAGTCTGCTATTTTAGTTTTTGTTTTGTTTGGTCTCTCAGGTTTCATTTTACTTTTTTCTTTTTCTTGTTGTCCTGTGGATTACTTGAGTGTTTTTTATAATTCCATTTTGATTTATCTGTAGTGTTTTTGAATGTATAAATTTTTTTAATGATTGCTTTTGTTATTATATTATATGCACATAATTTATTATAGTCTATTAGTTTCACAATTTTACCAGTTAAATGAAGTATAGAAATCTCATCTTTCTTTAAATCCCTTCCTCCTCCTTTTATTATATAATTGTCTTAAGTATTTCTTCTATATACATTTAGAACCGCATCAGAAAGTGTTATAATTTTTGCTTCAACTGTCAACCATAATTTAGAAAAAGCAACAGATGATGCATATTTTTTTCTTCTTTAGATTTCATACTTGTTTCTCCTTCCACCATAGACTACTCTTTATTTAAGTTACTATTCTAAATTTCTTTTCAAGATCTGTAAGCCTTACTGCTTTCCCTTGCTACAAGCCACTACTTATCAGATGAACTTATTTCAAAGCAAGTTATATCAAAACTCTACTCCATTTGCTTCTGGAAGAAAACGAAATTTAATTATCATATTTCATACATACGTAATAGAGATAATAAAATCATGAAATGTAAAAAGAAGATGTAAAAATGAACATTCACAATAAATTCAAAGAGGTTTAAGACACACATTTGATGTGTACACTGATCTACAGTGAGATCTTGAAATTGTCACGTAATATCAGTATTGCAAAATAAATGAAGACAGTGTTTTCATCTTACACTAATTTTTAACAAAAGATAGGCCCAAATAAAAGCCAACTGAACCTATGCCAGTCCCCAGGCATGTGTACAAGGAATTGCACTGCATGAAAAAACAAAACCACAGTAAATAACATGGTTGAAACATACAGATGCTTCAGATGAGTGCGGTTTTTATTTTGAATAAAAAGCTAATGATACTTTCATTAATATGACTTCACACCTCATATTTTTGCCAAATCTACATTCTCCAAATATGATTTTTGTTATGATTTTTAATTTTTAATTATTTCTTATTTTACTGCCTATTTTGCTGTGAACCTCAATACAAATTATAAATCTTATTGTTTTAAAGCACTCTAGTTTTATACAATAAAGGCAAGTTTTAAAAATTGGCTTAGACTTTGTATCCTCAAAGTTGTGTGGGATAATAATCATTTGATTGTAGAGTTTGATTAGAGAACCTCTGGGAGTTGTTCCTTCCTTTCTGGCCTTTGATGTGGTAGACTTTGTCTCTTTGGAAGCACTTTTTACATTACATCTTAATTTATTGACATGCCTCTTTCTCTCATGAGAATGCAAGCTTCTGGAAGGTAGGGATTAAACTTAAATGCTTGTTAGCTGAAATAATTTATTCCTAGAAGGGATGATTTTTTATTGCAAAGTTCATAACTTTTTTATAAATATTATAAACAACTTTTTAAATAGATGACCAATGTTTTTATAAATTAATATGGTAATTTCAGAGAAAATGAATCTGTTGTAGCTAGTGGCAGAAATATTACTGTATTATAATTTATAAAGTAGAAATGAAATATAATATTTATCTATTTAGTAACTGGTGTGTATTTGACATCTTCTTCAGGTCCTGAAGTTTACTGGTCTCTGTGGGAATGGGAAGATAGTATAAAGGCTAATTCTTTCCTCTAAGGAGTCCCTACTCTAGTTAGGAAGATAAGAACAATATATAAAACAATTTGACTAAATCTAAGCTTGTATAAAATGTGGGCCTAAAACAAGGTGGTACAGAATATATACATGAGAGTTTCAAAGTTGGCATAGATCACACAGGGCTGGAGCATCAGGGATTTTCTGCAACAGGTGAAACTTGAGTAGGGTCCTGAACTATGGGGTATGGTTTGAGTAGATGAAGGGAAAGCACCACTGGTTTTGGTAGAATGAGAAATTTCTGGAAGAAGGAGATTTTAAATAGGAAATACATTTTTAAATTACAGAGCGGAAAGACAAGGTCTAAAGAACCAATAAATCTTGAGATTTGTGCTTCTTCTCTGTCATGTGGTGAAGACAAACAAGATGTCTCAGAGGAATGATGGGTGACATAAATAATGAAAGAGATATCTTAGGCAGTGAGTGGTCTGGATAATGGCTGTCCCAGCCTGATGAGCCATCTTCCGAAATCTCAGTAGTTAGTAGAAACTCAATGACTGAAGACTAAAGCTTGTAAATATGATAGGATATCCAGGGGCTTCTGGGAGAAAGGAAGATCAGTAGGTGGAGCCTTAGGCCTGGGTTCCTAATTAGGCCAAGGTGCCCAACTAGACATAAGGGCGGTGGCCCAAACCTTTAACCACTGAACTCATTAAGAAAAAAACTGGCCTGGCGTGGTGGTTCATTCCTGTAATACCAGCACTTTGGGAGGCTGAGGTGGGTGGATCACCTGAGGTCAGAAGTTCAAGACCAGCCTGGCCAACATGGTGAAACCCTGTCTCTACTAAAATTACAAAAATTAGCTGGATGTGATGGTGCACACCTGTAATATCCCAGCTACTCAGGAGCCTGAGTCAGTAGAATCACTTGAACCCAGGAGGCGAAGGTTATAGTGAGCTGAGATCATGCTATTGCACTCCAGCCTGGATGACAGAGTGAGACTCTGTCTCAAAAACAAAAAAAACAAAGAAACAAAAAAACAAACAAACAAAAAAAACGGAAAAACAACTTTGGGTTAAAGATTTATTTTTTTTTCTCAACCATTGCTGAATACATGGACCCTGGCATAGGCAAATATCTCTAAATTGGAAAGATTATACCCTTATGTAAGTTTAATATGTAGAGATTTAATTACATAAGTCATATACTTTTGGTATTTTTTTGAATATATGATTTATACAATGTTGGCTCAGAAAATTAGCATATATATATATATGAAAGTTAAAAATTTGTATCAACATAAATTGTATACAAAATATACATCTTATATACACTGGTAGTGCTGTCACTCTTTCAAACACATTTAAAGGGGGAAATCCATTTCTACATTGTAGGCTCAGAAATAAGTTAAAAAAAATACCCATAGAACACAATTCTTTAGGTTTCCCTGGAAAATGTTCTCTCCGCTCCATATGTGCCTTGAGTTTATAATTAAAGTCATGCCTGGACCAAGTCATCAGAATTTTAAAGGTTATATACATGGGATGTCAAAACAGCCATTTAAAACACATTGGTAGAGTGAAGGATTGGCCGAGATGATTTCAAGTTTCTACCACGATCAACATTAACTAATTCTGTGAATGAGAAGCATTTTGTCTACTGTAAGTGCTTTGGTTTACACTCTGCTAAATGATCAGGTTTACTGGCTTTCTTGACTGGGTAACCAGATTCTCTGAGGATGCAGACACAACCTCATGTGAAGCAGCAACCTTCTATAATCACAAGTTCTGGTAATTGTGGTAGCAGAGTAACAAGAGAGGCAGCTGTCCCACTGCCATTTGTCTGTTCAACACATGTTTGCATAAAACATTATAAAATACTTTACACTTGGAACTTGTTTTGTCTGTAACTTTTTGAAAACAAGAGAACTTTTATCACCAAGTTTACAATGGTCTTGAATTTTATGGCTTCTTCGATTTGTATCCAAATTTATGTCAGCTGGATTTCACTTTGGTCCTGCTGGCAACACATGACTTTCTGGTTCTGAGACAGAGTAATGAGAAGGTGCATAGTCATCAAATTGCTAAACCACACATTTTAGGGAGCTAAGTGTAAACAAATCAAAATCATATGAACTAAATTTACTGAAAAATACATGTAAATTTAAAAATTAATGGAAAAAAATCAATGCCAAAATGACCAGTGTCTTTTCCCAAAACCAGAAACACTTAAAACATTATTTACTGAACTTAAAACTGTAGCTGGGCTTGTTATTTCCTATTTGAATGAAAAGAAGGTCAAGATGGCAAAGCACTGGACAGAAAAGTATTCTAATTAACAAAGAAAAAACTATTTTAGACGACCTGTACATTTCTTATTATGAAAGCCATCTGTATTACCTAAAGATGTAGAATTTTGCACCTGGAATCAGATGATGTAGTCTCCAGGCTGGAAAGGCCTTGAAAATTGTTCAGTCATGGCACCATATCCTGGGCTTGAATCCCTGCCATGTGACTGGTGGCTTGTGCTTGGACCATCTCTGTGGCAAACAAAGCTCTATTTCTTCAGGCAGCCCATTACACATTTAATGGACTATTAGAAAGAAACCAGTCTCTCTGAAGCTTCCACCAATTGGTGTTTAGCCCTCAAGACTATACAAAACTGGTTTAATTCATTTTTTTTCTTAGAACAGTTTGTTTTAGTTATTTTTGTTTTGCAAGAGCAGAAACTCACAAATGTTACCTTAAGAAAAAGAGTGTTTATTATTAGGATCCACATGGAATGGAATCAAAAGAGAGAGGTTAGCAGGAACACAGCCAGCTTCCTAGGACCTCATTCTGTCTCTCCCCTTTTCCGGGCTCTCTCTTTCTCCCTTGTTCTTGTCCCTCACTCCTTCTGAGCACCTTGGCTGCCTTCTGAAGTTTGCTCTGTTTTCTTTTCTCTGCTCCAGAATGTTCTCTGCTTATAAAGAGTTTTGCTCCCTCATCATTTTAGTGTACATGTGGCCTCTGTTTGCTGTGGGCTAATTCTTATCTGTTGGCTTCTCTTTAGTGTTTGCCTCAATTACTAACTGGTTTAGTCTTTCTGTGTTTTCTAAACCAAATTCCCTTTTAGTGAGAGTCAGGTCCAGTTGACCCCTTTTTTTTTTTCTCCCCGAGACGGAGTTTCATTCTTGTTGCCCAGGCTGGAGTGCAATGGCACGATCTCGGCTCACTGCAAGCTCCACCTCCTGGGTTCACGCCATTCTCCTGCCTCAGCCTCCTGAGTAGCTGGGACTATAGGCGCCCACCACCACACCTGGCTAATTTTTTGCATTTTTTTTTTTTTAGTAGAGACAGGGTTTCACCGTGTTAGTCAGGATGGTCTTGATCTCCTGACCTCGTGATCCGCCGGCCTCAGCCTCCCAAAGTGCTGGGATTACAGGCGTGAGCCACCGTGCCAGGCTTTTTTTTTTTTTTTTTTTTTTTTTGTATTTTTAGTTGAGATGGGGTTTCATCCTGTTGGTTGGGCTGGTCTTGAACTCCTGACCTCAGGCACTCCATCCACCTGGGCCTCCCAAAGTGCTGGGATTACAGCCGTGAGCCACCATGCCCGGCCTAGCTGACCTTTTTACTCCAGATGCTGGCATAGGTGCTGGCTTACTCACTGCCTGTCAACTACTGGTTTAGCCACGTGCAACTGGAGTGCTGCTGAGTTATACAGGCTGTGTAAAGCATAGCGGTTGCATGGGTCTCTAGGGGGCAGGACTGTGGTAGAGGCACTATCTCTTCCAAGTGGAGAGGGTGGGTGGGCAGTAGGTGATACTCCAGTATATGTCTTCTAATTATTTGAAGTGTGTACTTTTATATCTTCTAACCCTTTTATTCTCCAGGTTAAATATTCCCTAGTTTTTCAATTGCTGCTCTTTGGACATGGTTTTGAGTGTCTTCACCACTTCATCTCTCTTCTGTACATAAGTGATGGCTGGAAGTTCAAAAATTGTTCCAAATTAATGCAACCAGTGACCTTTAGGATCGGAATATCATCTACTATGTTTAATATTTTGCTTCAACTATGCTGCCCAAGATTCAATTGGCTTTTTCTTATAGTCACCTCATCTTGTTGACTCATAGAACTTGTTGTTGACTAAAACCTTAAAGTCCTTTCTGTACATGCTTCTAAGAAAGCCTTTCTCCCATTTTATGTACTGTTGGCTCTTTGTACCAAGGTTCAAGACCCTTCATTTACATTGCTTGAATTTAATTTTTGTTAAAAAGAAAAATTTAATTTTTGTAGATAAACAAAACATGCTCCCCGCCCTTTAGGAACTTACCTTCTTCACTGATCATGTTTGTCATATAAAGGTCTTTAATAAATATTTCTTTAATAACTAAATGTGGAAAACTCATTTTGTTAGGGTTTTCCTTTGCAACCACCTATCAAATCTTTTCAGATTTATCTTTAATCTATTATCCAACATTTTTTACTCTCAAATTCGTATAGTAGTCATTTGATCACTTGCCCTTAGATCCAGTTTTTTTTCTCTTTTGCTCTACTCTGTTTTGTAGCATAGAGGATTTATCCCTGATAACTATGTTTTCCAGGTTCCACTGCTAATTGGCTTCTAGCTAGGTTCAGATAACAGTGGTACCTAAGGGGGATTGGAAGTCAAGAGAATGGGAGAAACCAGGATGTTTCTCCCCATCTTTCTTGATTTGATCATCAGTCTCCAAGGCAGTGTCTGCTGCCTTTGTAGGACAGCATCTCAGTCCATGCTGTCAACAACTCCTTGGCTCTTGGTCTCAGTAATACCACCTCCTGTCTTTGCTATTTTAGTCCTAGAGGTAGTGGTAGCTTTCTGAGTCTGGCTAATTCTCTGGGTTGCCTCAAAGTCACCTGTTGGGCCTTTAAGTTTTTCTTATCCCTTTGTAAATGGCTCCCATATTGAATTTCCTTGGGTGAATTACCTGAAGGGAACACCATTTTCCTAACTGGACCATAACATTGGAGGCTGTTAATCATAACTCTATATATTCTCTCCTTCTCATTTATAAATAACAAAAAGAAGATTTATTGAAAAGATACCCCATTAGCAGGTCACTCAGAGCAGTATAATGGAGCAGTGATTAACAGCATGAGCTCTGGAGCCAGATTTTCCTGTCTTCAAATCCTAGATCCATCACTTACTAGATGTATCACCTTGAGCAATGTGTTTATGTGTTTATACTCTTTTATCTTAGTTTTCCCTTTGTAAGTTCAGAACACTAAAAGTGTACTGTAGAGAATTGTGAGACTTATGGGAAATACTTTCTGTATTTGAAATATTTTGCATCAGATGAGTTTTGGAATTTGGAACTTTTTGGATTTTAGAAAGGCAATATGGCACAAGTACCTCATATTTACCATAAAAATTACCATATATTATATACAATTAATTTATATTTATGTAATATACCATACCTTATGTAATACCCCAATGGAATCTAGGGCACCAATCAGTAACCAAACATTAATACTTTCTACAGCTAAACATCAGAACAGATTTTGCATCCAAATGAGTTTGGCCAAGTTTTGCTGCCAACCAAGTTACAAAAATAATTGGTTTCAAAGGTTTTTGGATTTTAGAATTACCAGTAAGGGACTATGGGCCTGTACTGCAAAACATTTAGAAGAATGTCTGCCTCATAGGAAGCACTGGATAACTGTTACTGAAAACTTCTTCCAGTTTGGCACTGATTCATTACCTTCTATCCTACTTGATTAAAAAGTCCATTCCAGAGGAAGGGTCCCAGGCCTTTCCCAGATTAAATAGCTCCAAAATCATGGTATAAACCAACCTCCAATTTTTAAAGTTCAGAAATGCCAAATGTCTTTTGCACTAATTATTTTGACTCAATAAGAAATACCAATAAACATGGGAATTTCACAAGTCATCCACTGAGTAGGTAGAAATCTTGTTCTATTTTGTCAGGAAAAAATGTCTAATATGATGAAGGCTGAGAACTTATCACATGTAAGAACCAAAAAATTAGGAAAATATTGGTGTGAATTTTCATTTTATCCTGGGTTTGACTCACTCAATGACAATGACTTATTCCCCAGAAAATCTGAAATCTTCTTCAGGCTGGCTGACTTCTCAGCCAAACCAATCAGTCTGAAGTAGCAATCTTAAAGATCAGCAATTCTGTGAGTTTCCTCATCTTTGAAAGATTCAGTAGGTTACATTTGTCTTAGAAATTTAAGTTCTAGGATAAAAACAGAATTGATATTTTTGTTATCAAACTTTAAGATAATTTTTTTTAAAAAAACCTCTAAAAGATAGTGTAAGAAAAATCCTTCATATATTTAAAAATTGAGACTGTATCTGCCCCTGTTAAAGTTACATAAGTTAGTACATCATGAAATTCCTTAATTCCTTTCCAACCTTTCCTTGCTTGGACCATCGCTTTTCTTGCTGACTAATTTTATTAAAGGTTTTGGAAGAGCTGACAGCACTTACTTAAAAATTTCACCACTTAAGTATTATAACAGCAAAATTAAAATTCTTTGAATGAAAGCCCTATTTTGTTCTCTGCAAATTTTTCTGTCATTATTTTCCATGGCTCTGTAGAAATATTTCTTTTGGTGCTATTCATGGAGACCTGTTCTCTGTCTTTTCTGACACTGGTAATTATTCCAGAAGGTACCAGTACCTCCCAAGTGAGCCATTTAACTCACCAGGAAACTCCATAGACTGAAGCCAAGCTTGCTAAGAGCTCAGGGCTCTTGGTCTTTTTTTTTTTCTTAAATATTTTATTTTATATTTTGAGACAGGGTCTCTCTCTGTCACCCAGGCTGGAGTGCAGTGGTGCAATTTTGGCTCACTGCAACCTCCGCCTCCTGGTTCAAGCGATTTTCCTGCCTCAGCTTCCCTAGTAGCTGGAATTATAGCCATGCGCCACCATGCCCAGCTAATTTTTGTATTTTTAGTAGAGATGGGGTTTCCCCATGTTGGCTTGGCTGGTCTCGAACTCCTGGCCTCGTGATCCGCCTGCCTCGGCCTCCCAAAGTGATGGGATTACAGGTGTGAGCCACTGCACCTGGCCACAGGGCCTTTGGTTCTGCTCTCCCGCAACAATCAAGCGCTCCAGTGGCAGAGAAGCCACAGTTAGGAGCACGAAAAACCAAGTTGTCAGAAGCAGACTTGGATCTTCTTCCTCCTGAACAGTAAGCACACAGGGGCCGGTCTCCTCCAACCGCAACAAAAACCGTTCCTCTGTTTCTTGTTACCTTACACAAATTCAGAGTGGGGGCTTTCAGCAAAGGGCCTTACCCTCCTCTCCACCACCTGTGCCATCCTCTTGTGGCCACTATCAATGGCTCTTTGGGCAGTTTCCTTTTCTACCACCTCTGTCGAGCTTAAATCTGAGGTTGACTGTCTGCTTTATATCAGAGCCTGACCCAAAACTTGGGAAAATTCTTGTTTTTTTGTTTTTTTAAAAAATTTCTGTTGCTAAAATGCCTTCAGGTGTTGGATCATCATTCCCAGGCTTCTGGCCTCTTAGGTATTTATTTAATTATTTATTCAATACAATGTTTCTTTTTCACTATCTGGTGTGTTGTGTGTGTCTCTTTATATTATGTATTATATTATATGTCTATGTATATTAATCTGTTTTGGTCAGCTCAGGCTGCCATAACAAAATGCCATAGACTAGGTGGCTTAAACAACAGACTTTATTTTCTCATAGTTCGCAAGCTTCAAGTCCACGATCAAGATGCCAGCAAGGTTGAGTTCTGGTGAAAGCTCTCTTCCTGGCCTGTTCCTGGCTGCCATCTCACTGTGTGCTCACGTGGCCTGGCCTCTTCTTTGTGTGCATTCTTTTGAGAAGAGAGAAAGTGAGCTCAAGCTCTCTAGTGTCTCTTCTTATAAAGGAACTAATCCCATGATGTCACACTCATGACCCCATCCAAACCTAATTACCTCCCAAAGCCCATGTTCAAATAACATCACATTGGGGGTTAAAGCTTTAACATATGAGTTTTTGGGGGTAACACAAGCATTCAGTCCATATGTGTGTGTGTGTGTGTGTGTGTGTGTGTGTGTGGCATATACATATATATGTCTCTGTGTCCGAGAGTGTGTATGATTAAATGCCGCCAAGCCTGTGATATTCCATCTAAATTGAGGGCAAAGCTATCAATATTTGTGACAAGATGGTAATCATTTTGTCCTTTAAAAAATTCTGGTAGAAATTAAATATGTTTTAAGAAAGTATCAATCTCTTCCTAAGTAAACAGAAAAAGTTCAAATACAAATTTAAAACCATTAGAGGAAAGGCAATATATAATAATAATGAAGCCAGAGGTAAACACAGAAACTCAGAAGTACCAAATATTACTTTGAACCAGTTTCTGTTTCCAATAGTTCCCATAGGAAATGCCCTAATGAGACAATACATATGTGAAACAGTTTTGTAAAGGCACAGTTTTTAAAATACATTTGTGTTATTTGCATTGCTGACTTCTGCTATTTTGTTGCTACATATCTTGGCCCAGATTCTCATCCCTCAGGGCCAGGAGACCAGATTAACAACAGTCTCCAGAGAAAAGACCTCCGGGTATTCTGCCTGTGTGGAGGGGTGGGGGTGGGGAGCGGGGAGGAGGTTCCCTCCAATTCCCAGAGCCCATGGACAGGAAATCTGATCACAGGCCACTTGGTCACTCTAATCACTCTTTCTGTGGTCTGAGAGAGAGGCAACTAGCAGAAGAGGGCTTGGGAGAAGAGGAGAGGAGGAGAGGAGAGCCTGCAACAAAGGTGTAAGCCAACCAAACATCCTCAGCCTTTTCAGTTATCTATTATTAAAAAGTGAACAGAAACTTACAGGTTGAGGGATGTTTATTCTCTCATTGAATTTCATTTGGTTTTACCTGATGCCTGACAACCTTTCTGTATTGTCATATATATTTATATAACACTGTAATTAAGAGTATAGGGTTGTGGAGCTAGCAGACCTGGATTGAGTCTTGACTCTGCCCCTTACTAGCTGTGTGACTTTGGGCACATTGTTAAACCTACCTCTCTGTGCTTCAGTTTCCTCATCTAAAAAAATAGTGATAATATTATTACCCATCTCATAAAATTATTATGAGGATTAAATAAACTGATATGTATATAAAGTTCATGGAAGAGTGTCTAGCATGCAGTGCCATATATGTATGTTAAATAAAAAACACTATTATCGTCACGCTAATCAAATTAAAGAGAAATTCTTCTTTTCTTTGCCCACAAAATCCAAAATCATATTCTAATGAGATAATGTTTTTCTTTTTTTCTTTTTTTTATTATACTTTAAGTTTTAGGGTACATGTGCACATTGTGCAGGTTAGTTACATATGTATACATGTGCCATGCTGGTGCGCTGCACCCACTATCTCGTCATCTAGCATTAGGTATATCTCCCAATGCTATTCCTCCCCCATCCCCCCACCCCACAACAGTCCCCAGAGTGTGATATTCCCCTTCCTGTGTCCATGTGATCTCACTGTTCAATTCCCACCTATGAGTGAGAATATGTGGTGTTTGGTTTTTTGTTCTTGCCATAGTTTACTGAGAATGATGATTTCCAATTTCATCCATGTCCCTACAAAGGACATGAACTCATCATTTTTTATGGCTGCATAGTATTCCATGGTGTATATGTGCCACATTTTTCTTAATCCAGTCTATCACTGATGGACATTTGGGTTGGTTCCAAGTCTTTGCTATTGTGAATAATGCTGCAATAAACATACGTGTGCATGTGTCTTTATAGCAGCATGATTCATAGTCCTTTGGGTATATACCCAGTAATGGGATGGCTGGGTCAAATGGCATTTCCAGTTCTAGATCACTGAGGAATCGCCACACTGACTTCCACAATGGTTGAACTAGTTTACAGTCCCACCAACAGTGTAAAAGTGTTCCTACTTCCCCACATCCTCTCCAGCACCTGTTGTTTCCTGACTTTTTAATGATAGCCATTCTAACGGGTGTGAGATGGTATCTCATTGTGGTTTTGATTTGCATTTCTCTGATGGCCAGTGATGATGAGCATTTTTTCATGTGTTTTTTGGCTGCATAAATGTCTTCTTTTGAGAAGTGTCTGTTCATGTCCTTTGCCCACTTTTTGATGGGGTTGTTTGTTTTTTTCTTGTAAATTAGTTTGAGTTCATTGTAGATTCTGGATATTAGCCCTTTGTCAGATGAGTAGGTTGCGAAAATTTTCTCCCATTTTGTAGGTTGCCTGTTCACTCTGATGGTAGTTTCTTTTGCTGTGCAGAAGCTCTTTAGTTTAATTAGATCCCATTTGTCAATTTTGTCTTTTGTTGCCATTGCTTTTGGTGTTTTAGACATGAAGTCCTTGCCCATGCCTATGTCCTGAATGGTAATGCCTAGGTTTTCTTCTAGGGTTTTTATGGTTTGAGGTCTAACGTTTAAGTCTTTAATCCATCTTGAATTGATTTTTGTATAAGGTGTAAGGAAGGGATCCAGTTTCAGCTTTCTACATATGGCTAGCCAGTTTTCCCAGCACCATTTATTAAATAGGGAATCCTTTCCCCATTGCTTGTTTTTCTCAGGTTTGTCAAAGATCAGATAGTTGTAGATATGCGGCGTTATTTCTGAGGGCTCTGTTCTGTTCCATTGGTCTATATCTCTGTTTTGGTAACAGTACCATGCTGTTTTGGTTACTGTAGCCTTGCAGTATAGTTTGAAGTGAGGTAGTGTGATGCCTCCAGCTTTGTTCTTTTGGCTTAGGATTGACTTGGCGATGCGGGCTCTTTTTTGGTTCCATATGAACTTTAAAGTAGTTTTTTCCAATTCTGTGAAGAAAGTCATTGGTAGCTTGATGGGGATGGCATTGAATCTGTAAATTACCTTGGGCAGTATGGCCATTTTCACGATATTGATTCTTCCTACCCATGAGCATGGAATGTTCTTCCATTTGTTTGTATCCTCTTTTATTTCCTTGAGCAGTGGTTTGTAGTTCTCCTTGAAGAGGTCCTTCACATCCCTTGTAAATTGGATTCCTAGGTATTTTATTCTCTTTGAAGCAATTGTGAATGGGAGTTCACTCATGATTTGGCTCTCTGTTTGTCTGTTGGTGGTGTATAAGAATGCTTGTGATTTTTGTACATTGATTTTGTATCCTGAGACTTTGCTGAAGTTGCTTATCAGCTTAAGGAGATTGTGGGCTGAGACAATGGGGTTTTCTAGATATACAATCATGTCATCTGCAAACAGGGACAATTTGACTTCCTCTTTTCCTAATTGAATACCCTTTATTTCCTTCTCCTGCCTAATTGCCCTGGCCAGAACTTCCAACACTATGTTGAATAGGAGTGGTGAGAGAGGGCATCCCTGTCTTGTGCCCGTTTTCAAAGGGAATGCTTCCAGTTTTTTCTCATTCAGTATGATATTGGCTGTGGATTTGTCATAGATAGCTCTTATTATTTTGAAATACGTCCCATCAATACCTAATTTATTGAGAGTTTTTAGCATGAAGGGTTGTTGAATTTTGTCAAAGGCTTTTTCTGCATCTATTGAGATAATCATGTGGTTTTTGTCTTTGGCTCTGTTTATATGCTGGATTACATGTATTGATTTGCGTATATTGAACCAGCCTTGCATCCCAGGGATGAAGCCCACTTGATCATGGTGGATAAACTTTTTGATGTGCTGCTGGATTCGGTTTGCCAGTATTTTATTGAGGATTTTTGCATCAATGTTCATCAAGGATATTGGTCTAAAATTCTCTTTTTTTGTTGTGTCTCTGCCTGGCTTTGGTATCAGAATGATGCTGGCCTCATAAAATGAGTTAGGGAGGATTCCCTCTTTTTCTAGTGATTGGAATAGTTTCAGAAGGAATGGTACCAGTTCCTCCTTGTACCTCTGGTAGAATTCGGCTGTGAATCCATCTGGTCCTGGACTCTTTTTGGTTGGTAAGCTATTGATTATTGCCACAATTTCAGCTCCTGTTATTGGTCTATTCAGAGATTCAACTTTTTCCTAGTTTAGTCTTGGGAGAGTGTATGTGTCCAGGAATTTATCCATTTCTTCTAGATTTTCTAGTTTATTTGCGTAGAGGTGTTTGTAGTATTCTCTGATGGTAGTTTGTATTTCTGTGGGATCGGTGGTGACATCCCCTTTATCATTTTTTATTGCGTCTATTTGATTCATCTCTCTTTTTTTCTTTATTAGTCTTGCTAGCGGTCTATCAATTTTGTTGATCCTTTCAAAAAACCAGCTCCTGGATTCATGAATTTTTTGAAGGGTTTTTTGTGTCTCTATTTCCTTCAGTTCTGCTCTGATTTTAGTTATTTCTTGCCTTCTGCTAGCTTTTGAATGTGTTTGCTCTTGCTTTTCTAGTTCTTTTAATTGTGATGTTAGGGTGTCAATTTTGGATCTTTCCTGCTTTCTCTTGTGGGCATTTAGTGCTACAAATTTCCCTCTACACACTGCTTTGAATGCGTCCCAGAGATTCTGGTATGTTGTGTCTTTGTTCTCGTTGGTTTCAAAGAACATCTTTATTTCTGCCTTCATTTCGTTATGTACCCAGTAGTCATTCAGGAGCAGGTTGTTCAGTTTCCATGTAGTTGAGCGGTTTTGAGTGAGTTTCTTAATCCTGAGTTCTAGTTTGATTGCACTGTGGTCTGAGAGATAGTTTGTTATAATTTGTGTTCTTTTACATTTGCTGAGGATAGCTTTACTTCCCAGTATGTGGTCAATTTTGGAATAGGTGTGGTGTGGTGCTGAAAAAAATGTATATTCTTTTGATTTTGGGTGGAGAGTTCTGTAGATGTCTATTAGGTCTGCTTGGTGCAGAGCTGAGTTCAATTCCTGGGTATCCTTGTTGACTTTCTGTCTCGTTGGTCTGTCTAATGTTGACAGTGGGGTGTTAAAGTCTCCCATTATTAATGTGTGGGAGTCTAAGTCTCTTTGTAGGTCACTCAGGACTTGCTTTATGAATCTTGGTGCTCCTGTATTGGGTGCATATATATTTAGGATAGTTAGCTCTTCTTGTTGAATTGATCCCTTTACCATTATGTAATGGCCTTCTTTGTCTCTTTTGATCTTTGTTGGTTTAAAGTCTGTTTTATCAGAGACTAGGATTGCAACCCCTGCCTTTTTTTGTTTTCCATTGGCTCGGTAGATCTTCCTCCATCCTTTTATTTTGAGCCTGTGTGTGTCTCTGCACATGAGATGGATTTCCTGAATACAGCACACTGATGGGTCTTGACTCTTTATCCAATTTGCCAGTCTGTGTCTTTTAATTGGAGCTTTTAGTCCATTTACATTTAAAGTTAATATTGTTATGTGTGAATTTGATCCTGTCATTATGATGTTAGCTGGTGATTTTGCTCGTTAGTTGATCCAGTTTCTTCCTAGTCTCGATGGTCTTTACATTTTGGCATGATTTTGCAGCGGCTGGTACCGGTTGTTCCTTTCCATGTTTAGTGCTTCCTTCAGGAGCTCTTGTAAGGCAGGCCTGGTGGTGACAAAATCTCTCAGCATTTGCTTGTCTGCAAAGTATTTTATTTCTCCTTCACTTATGAAGCTTAGTTTGGCTGGATATGAAATTCTGGGTTGAAAATTCTTTTCTTTAAGAATGTTGAATATTGGCCCCCACTCTCTTCTGGCTTGTAGGGTTTCTGCCGAGAGATCCGCTGTTAGTCTGATGGGCTTCCCTTTGAGGGTAACCCGACCTTTCTCTCTGGCTGCCCTTAACATTTTTTCCTTCATTTCAACTTTGGTGAATCTGACAATTATGTGTCTTGGAGTTGCTCTTCTTGAGGAGTATCTTTGTGGCGTTCTCTGTATTTCCTGAATCTGAACGTTGGCCTGCCTTGCTAGATTGGGGAAGTTCTCCTGGATAATATCCTGCAGAGTGTTTTCCAACTTGGTTCCATTCTCCCCATCACTTTCAGGTACACCAATCAGACGTAGATTTGGTCTTTTCACATAGTCCCATATTTCTTGGAGGCTTTGCTCATTTGTTTTTATTCTTTTTTCTCTAAACTTCCCTTCTCGCTTCATTTCATTCATGTCATCTTCCATTGCTGATACCCTTTCTTCCAGTTGATCGCATCGGCTCCTGAGGCTTCTGCATTCTTCACGTAGTTCTCGAGCCTTGGTTTTCAGCTCCATCAGCTCCTTTAAGCACTTCTCTGTATTGGTTATTCTAGTTATACATTCTTCTAAATTTTTTTCAAAGTTTTCAACTTCTTTGCCTTTGGTTTGAATGTCCTCCCATAGCTCAGAGTAATTTGATCGTCTGAAGCCTTCTTCTCTCAGCTCGTCAAAGTCATTCTCCATCCAGCTTTGTTCCGTTGCTGGTGAGGAACTGCGTTCCTTTGGAGGAGGAGAGGCGCTCTGCTTTTTAGAGTTTCCAGTTTTTCTGTTCTGTTTTTTCCCCATCTTTGTGGTTTTATCTACTTTTGGTCTTTGATGATGGTGATGTACAGATGGGTTTTTGGTGTGGATGTCCTTTCTGTTTGTTAGTTTTCCTTCTAACAGAGAGGACCCTCAGCTGCAGGTCTGTTGGAGTACCCTGCCGTGTGAGGTGTCAGTGTGCCCCTGCTGGGGGGTACCTCCCAGTTAGGCTGCTTGGGGGTCAGGGGTCAGGGACCCACTTGAAGAGGCAGTCTGCCCGTTCTCAGATCTCCAGCTGCGTGCTGGGAGAACCACTGCTCTCTTCAAAGCTGTCAGACAGGGACACTTAAGTCTGCAGAGGTTACTGCTGTCTTTTTGTTTGTCTGTGCCCTGCCCCCAGAGGTGGAGCCTGCAGAGGCAGGCAGGCCTCCTTGAGCTGTGGTGGGCTCCACCCAGTTTGAGCTTCCGGGCTGCTTTGTTTACCTAAGCAAGCCTGGGCAATGGCGGGCGCCCCTCCCCAGCCTCGCTGCCGCCTTGCAGTTTGATCTCAGACTGCTGTACTAGCAATCAGCGAGACTCTGTGGGCCTAGGACCCTCGGAGCCAGGTGCAGGATATAATCTGGTGGGGCGCCATTTTTTAAGCCCATCGGAAAAGCGCAGTATTCGGGTGGGAGTGACCCGATTTTCCAGGTGCCGTCGGTCACCCCTTTCTTTGACTCAGAAAGGGAACTCCCTGACCCCTTGCGCTTCCCAAGTGAGGCAATGCCTCGCCCTGCTTTGGCTCGCGCACGGTGCGCACACCCACTGACCTGCGCTCACTGTCTGGCACTGCCTAGTGAGATGAACCCGGTACCTCAGATGGAAATGCAGAAATCACCGGTCTTCTGCGTCCCTCACGCTGGGAGCTGTAGACCGGAGCTGTTCTTATTCGGCCATCTTGGCTCCTCCCGAGATAATATTTTTCAAGGTAATGGAAACATCTAGTTAACTGTATTTCAATTATTAATAAAAACAGGAAAGATTACCTTAAATATCTTGGAATAACTTTATTAATGAAACAACCTCAATTTTTAACACATAAAAATATTGCATTTAATTCACAGAAATTATATTTTATCAATGTTAACCTATGTTTTATTTTTATTTTTATTTTTTTAAAAACATTTTACATACGTAATTTATTTTATCTACTCATTTTGGCTGCTATGGAGCATTCCATTTAATGGATAAAATGTTTTTATTTATTGGTTTTTTTAATTATACTTTAAGTTCTAGGGTACATGTGCCCAACGTGCAGGTTTGTTACATATATACACGTGCTGTGTTGGTGTGCTGCACCCATTAACTCGTCATTTACATTAGGTATATCTCCTAATGCTATCCCTCCATCCTCACCCCACCCCACAACAGGGCCTGGTGTGTGATGTTCCCCGCCCTGTGTCTAAGTGTTCTCATTGTTCAATTCCCACCTATGAGTGAGAATATGCGGTGTTTGGGTTTTTGTCCTTGCAATAGTTTGCTGAGAATGATGGTTTCAAGCTTCATCCATGTCCCTGCAAAGGACATGAACTCATCTTTCATGGCTGCATAGTATTCCATGGTGTATATGTGCCACATTTTCTTAATCCAGTCTGTCATTCATGGACATTTGGGTTGGTTCCAAGTCTTCACTATTGTGAATAGTGCTGCTGTAAACATACATGTGCATGTGTCTTTATAGCAGCATGATTTATAATCCTTTGGGTATACACCCAGTAATGGGATGACTGGGTTAAATGGTATTTCTACTTCTAGATCCTTGAGGAATCGCCACACTGACTTCCACAATGGTTGAACTAGTGTACAGTCCCACCAACAGTGTAAAAGTGTTCCTATTTCTCCACATCCTCTCCAGCACCTGTTGTTTCCTGACTTTTTAGTGATCGCCATTCTAACTAGTGTGAGATGGTATCTCATTGTGGTTTTGATTTGCATTTCTCTGATGGCCAGTGGTGATGAGCATTTTTTCATGTGTCTGTTGGCTGCATAAATGTCTTCTTTTGAGAAGTATCTGTTCATATCCTTCGCCCACTTGTTGATGGGGTTGTTTGTTTTTTTCTTGTAAATTAGTTTGAGTTCATTGTAGATTCTGGATATTAGCCCTTTGTCAGATGAGTAGGTTGTCAAAAATTTTCTCCCATTCTGTAGGTTGCCTGTTCACTCTGATGGTAATTTCTTTTGCTGTGCAGAAGCTCTGTAGTTTAATTAGATCCCATTTGTCAATTTTGTCTTTTGTTGCCATTGCTTTTGGTGTTTTAGACATGAAGTCCTTGCCCATGCCTATGTCCTGAATGGTATTGCCTAGGTTTTCTTCTAGGGTTTTTATGGTTTTAGGTCTAATATTTAAGTCTTTAATCCATTGTGAATTAATTTTTGTATAAGGTGTAAGGAAAGGATCCAGTTTCAGCTTTCTACATATGGCTAGCCAGTTTTCCCAGCACCATTTATTAAATAGGGAATCCTTTCCCCATTTCTTGTTTTTGTCAGATTTGTCAAAGATCAGATGGTTTAACTTATGTTTTAAAATGTCCACTGTATAAAGCTTATAGGCAAACCTCGAGGCAATCAAAAGATTTGCCTCAGCAAAATCTAAAAATAATAATAAAAAAGGATATTGGATTGGGAGAACGGACTAGATATGCTGGAAACTGAATTATGTAAATTGACAGTCAAGCTTCAGGAGGTAAAGCCACAATATTCACAGATTAAAAACTCCGTTCTTTACCTTCCTGAAGAAAATGTGGAGCGTAGGTTAATGGAGGGCCTCTAGCTCCCTCCATGACCAGATGAGGAGAGGCTAGCTGCTGGGATGTGGTTAGGGCGGGTGCTGAGGTATTATTACTGAAGAGGGCTTCTTAATCTTTCTTTGGATCACACATTCTTTGAGGATCTCATATAATCTGTGGACCATCTCCACTGAACAAGACACCATTTTTTTTCATCCTTTTTACAAAGAGATTCAAAGACGTCACAGACCCCAAGATGAGAACTTCTGGTTACACATCTTAAAGAAGGCCTAGGTTCCACACCTTGGAAGGTGTTCAGAGTCTGGAATCAGGAGATTGGGCTCTTCAGGGATCTCTGGAACTTTTTTGTGTCCCTGGGAAAGTGTGACAAGTCACTCTTGACTGGTGACATCCAAGCTTCCTTGATGGAGGACAGGCAGGTCTCTGGCAACTCTGTGTGTTTACCTAAGCATATATGTAGTGGGATAGGGAACTAACACCATCAATTCTGTGTGCTTGCTATGAACTAAGTTATATCATTTTTGTCCTTGTAACCCTTTGAGATAGAAATTCCTTTCCCTACGCTGGCTTACAGAGAAAAAGGTTGAGACTCAAACAGGCAGGAAGCATATCCAAAGTTACATAGGCAGTACCTGTGGATCTGGAGTGTGAACTCCAGGGTTGTGTGGCCTCCAGGCCTTACTGTTCTTCCCATTCAGGAGAAAGGACAATTCTTCTCTCTGTTCCTAAAAAGATCCTTTGAAGATCTCCATCCAGGTGAAAAAAGAACTTTCTCATAAAAAGAATTAATATGTATATACATTTATATTTAAAGAAATTATATATTTTATATTTGCCTTTAATAAAATCACTTTGGGGGTGATTATTTTCTTCTTTTTTTGTAAGTAAAATTTTATTCGTGCAACCTTTTATTATCCTGCTGAGAAATAACAATCCCAAGTTGCATTTATTTGATAATGTTATTTTAAGAAACTCAGCGAATATAACTCCTGACAATTCTAAAATTTTTTAGTAACTTGAAATTATCTTGAGAATGTTAAAGTCAGTTCATTTCCCAAAGGGTTTTCTTTTGACTTTTTCTATTGAAGAAAGTTTTATTTCATTTATATGAAACCAATTAGTCTATTGATCAAAGAACATTTAGTGAACACCTAGTATATGCCAGATAATTATGTTAATGAATTTGTTGGACTTATTTTTAAGAAAATTCCAATTCTATCTTTTAATCAAGATTTGGATTAGTTTGCATTTTTATAAACAGCAAGAGTCTGAATACAGGGTATGCAGGAATAATAGAAATTGGGCTAATAGCTAACCTTTGAGGGCCACTATGCTGGCTGTTCTGAGTTTTCCCTCTAGATCTCTTCTCTGCCCTTCTTTGCCCTGTCCTGTTCTTTGGGGAGTGTGTGGCGATGGGGTGGTGAGAGTGCTGCTGTCTACATGTTGATTCTCCTGGCATCTTTTCCTTTTTGTGTTCTGGCTGTATTTGGTTGACCAGCAGGAAAGCAGGGGGTGGGAGGCGAGAGAATCCGTTGTATTTATTTCTGCTCTCTCCCTCCCTTGTCGTGGTCTGGCAGGGATGAGTTCCTCTGCTGCTTTGAATCTGTCAGGGGTGCCTCTTTCCCAGTTCCAGCTCTCTCCTGGCTCTGTAACATTGTTTTGACTACTTGCCCTGTCAGACCTAGGGCTGATACTGCCTTCCCACTGCTCCTAGTCCCTGGATGCCTCGCCATTCCCTATTGGTTGCTTTAGCTTTGCCCACACCCCTGTAAATAGTCCTTTATTTTGAATGTGCCATCTGTTTCCTTTAGCATCCTGACTGATACTGCCAATTAGTCTGTGCCAAGTACTATGCTATGACTTCTACATGGATTATCTCATATAATACATACCCACCCTATCTGTTAGGCTCTAATATTATTCTTATTTTTTATAAAAACTGATCAAAAGAAGATTTAGAGACAGTAGTTTGACCAAGGGAACACAGCTTGAAAGTGGCAAGGCCAGGATTAACACCCAGGCAGTTGGATTCTAGAGCCCCTCTCTTACACATGACACTGTATGTCTCTGGTCAGGTTCTCTGGGAGGTGGACTGTGAGAGGAAGGTTTGCAGGCAGGCGGCATCTTTGTGGGTAGAGCTCTCAGGATCAATGCCTCTGAGAGAATGAAGGCAACAGAATTGGGTAGAAGGGGAAGGCCAACTACAATGCAGTGGCAATGCAAGCCTATGATGACCACATGAGGAGTTCTGGAGCTGGGATAACTCTCAAACTAAGGTAGGGGAACCAGGGTTTTACACCCCAGTATTGACCAGTCGCTCAATGCAGGGCTTCAACCTGTGGCTCTCTTCAGCCGAAGCAAGTCCCGAGGAGAAACTGTTGAGAGTGGTGACTGCCAACACTTCCAGCAGCTGGGGGATGAGGGTCTAGTCCTGGAGGGCAGATCTGGGCAACACACCATGGCATCATTACATGGTTTGAAACACATATGGGTGTCAGAAGTTAGCAGCTGGCTCAAATTATGGGCCATCTTGGAACATTTTTATTAGACTCATGTATATAGTTGGTTTCTCTAGCTTGAGTGAGTGTGTGAGTGTGTGTGTGTGACGATAATGATTATAGTGTAATTATTCAGCATTGCTGAGAAAACACTGAAGTAAGAGTTAAGATATTTGGATTCTAGTTCTTGGTCTGCTGCCGACTATATATGTGCTTTTGTTCAATCTACTTGATGTTTTTGGATCCTGGTTTCCTTATTCATAAATTGAGAAGCTTTGATTAGATGGTCTCTAAGACTGCTTTCAGCTGTAAAGTTCTATGTTTCTCTTAATTTATTAGCTTTCTAAAAGCCAGAAATAGCAAAAGTAAACATGTTGGAATGCTTTTTAAGTAATGCTGGAGATTATTTCTTGCAACCCCCAGTTAGTGACTTTCTCAAGCTTTCTCAATAAATCATGATGAACCTCATGAAAATTCACAGAGCCTCAGTATCACCCAGTGTTCTCTGAAGAGCAGAGATGATCCTTTTCTCCCTAGGATGTCTTTATTTGGCATATATGAGATTTTGGAATGCTAGACACTTCTCATTTTTTCTGAGCATAGCTCATACAGATGTTTTATTTTAAGAATTGTTTTGAAATAATTGCTTTCACAGGGTCATTGTTATAGTTTGTACAGACATGGTTTTAATTTGGGTAGATATATCTTGATCAAAGCAAGAAGGAATGGAAAATGCCCTTAGCTTGGGTTGGTGAACTAAAACTGATTTTCAGAGTATAGAAAGGCTAGAGAAACAAACACACAAACAGATAAACAAACAGAAAGTAGATAACAAAAAAGGGAATTAAGCTAGTGATAGAATTCTGAAAAAAAAAATTGAATAAGTACTCAACATTGTGAACTTTAATTAAAACTAACATAAATATATTTTAACAACAGAGAAAAAGCTTAAATACTGACCCAAGTAAATATAGAAATCTCTCAAGATTGATTTTTCTGAGCTGTGGCAAACAATTCAATGAAAATGGGAAGTAACTATTATTGTCAGTCATGTATGGCCCTGCCTGTATGATTTCCCAATGTAAACCTTATGGTTGAAACGGCCTGAACCATAAATAAATAAATAGACGTACCTTCACTCTGACTTCCTTACCTGACTCTCGTTAAACCCTATCAGTGACTGTAGAGGGCCAAAGAAGCAATTTCAATAAATATTTCATTACGTGGGAGCCCATTTGCTGGTATTTCAAATAAGCAAGTACATTTTCTCACTGGGTAGACAATAGAAGGGAAAACTCTCCAGTTTCCATTTTCAGACTTTCTTTTACTTTCTGAGGAGGTCAGTCATTTTCGTTTTCCAGTGTACAACTCGATTATTTATTGGAGGAAAATGTTTTAAACCAGGAAAATGAAAAAAAAAATCCAACCAAATAATTTATGGAAGACTGTCTCCTGGCAGATTAATCCCTACCACTTGGCCAGGGCTCATTCCAGAGTGATCAGACTGGCCAAGCTTAAATTGTACATCCACAAGAAGTTGCATAAATAACCCCAAATACTGTGAACCTCTTTGCACTCGGTCATCTCCACGACCTTCAAAGCAAATGTCAGAAAGGTAGTAAGAAAAAATATAGCCTGAGATGCTCTAGTTATGGTATTTTCTAATAAATAACAACCTTTTTGGCTCCTTTCATCTAAACACATTTATCAGTTAAGACACATATGCTTCTTCTAGGTAAGGGCGTAGAAATATGGCCCTTTTCCTTGTGGGTAACCTGGAACTACAATTAAAAGTATTCTAAGCCATGCTTAGGAGCTGTCTTCTGAGGCTGAGTTAACTCTTCAGTAATATCCTTATTTTATTTTCTTAATTTTATTAATCTGAAAATTGCCACGAACTATGGTTTGTTTTAATTACCTTCTTTACAAAGAGACTGGGTGGATGTGAGATGGATTGAAGAGGCTATTTTCTGAAAAGTTCCAGCTTCCATACTGCTGATCCAAAGGATGGGCCTTGATTTACAGCTACAGAGAGACAAGAGCTGTCCTGGTTAGAGACTTTGCCTGGTCACTTTTTGCTCAGCAATTTCATTCCAAAACTGAAGTCATATTCTTGCCCAAGCTCTTTTCTATCCTCAAGTTTTCAATTTTGGCTGGAGATATTATAAGTATTCCAGTTTCCCAGACCAGAAATCATAAAGTTATCTTAATCCTTCTTTCTAATTCTCTTCAATATGTTATGTGCTGTTGAGTCTTTCTCAATAGACTCCCTTTTTGGTGAAGAAAGTGATAGATTTAGAAAAGGGAACCTGGAATTCTAGTATCCCAACTCTGCCACTTACTAATTATGAGAGCTGGCAAGTTACTAAGTTTTAGTGTCTTCACCTATAGAATGAGGAATAGCAATGTACGTTTTGCTGACGTCACAGAGATGCTTTCATTATGAAATGAGTTAGTATAAATTGTTGATTATCCCAATCTATGTAATAGAAAGAAGCAAGGGCAACATAATAAGATTGCCTTTCTTTGGGCGCCAGGGCATGAAACTTCTGTTCTCTGCACACCATCAACTCCCATCCATACCTTTGCCAAATTAGATGGCTAGCTTGCTGTCACCTACTGCTGATACCCATCTCTGATCATCATGAGGATTAAACCCTCTAGAAGTTGCTCATCACATTGCTTACCCATGTGGACCAAGAGAAGAGGCACACAACACATCACCCCATACCATTACTACTGAAAGGCCCGTCTAAGCTGCAGCTGAATCTAGTTATGCCAAAGCATCCACAATCCTTTCAGAGGCTACAGAGACTAAATCCACTCTTCTTTACATTCATGTTTCCTCAACTGCCTACTGGACATCTCCTTTGGGACATCCCATAGGAAGATCATAATTGAAAGGCCTAAAATTGGAGTTAATATTTACTTTTCCCACACTGTTTCTTTCCAGTGGCCCCCATCTCAATGAATAGCACTCCCATTCACTCACTTGCCCAAGGGAGCAATCTGGGGTTACCCTCTCTCTAGTCAATATCTAATTAAACACCAAAGCCTTTGTGTCTGTCTCCTAAACACTTAATTCTATTTAATTTTCTTCATCTTCATTGCCACCTACCCTGTTTCAGGACATCATCATTCCTTACCTGAATTACAGCCACACCTTCATAAATTGTCAACTGGTCTCTACTCATTCCCCTACCTCCCTCAATTCTGTCTCCACATTCGAGCCAGAGTTATCATTGTGAAAAGCAAATCTAACCGTGT
Organism: Homo sapiens; assembly: GCF_000001405.40. Taxonomy (NCBI): domain Eukaryota; kingdom Metazoa; phylum Chordata; class Mammalia; order Primates; family Hominidae; genus Homo; species Homo sapiens. The sequence goes on along the minus strand of NC_000005.10, from coordinate 93,205,543 downwards.
CAGCACCCTGCCTAAAATTTTTTCGATGGCTTCCAATGGTCTTTAAGATACTGGCCAAATCCCATGAATCCTTTAAAATTAAATTTCTCCTATTGCCTCCAGCTTTCCTCTCCCCATTCATACTATGTATGAACAGCTTATAAATTTGAGTGGTTGATTACTTTCAGTTTCAAGAATGTGCCATGACTTTGCAATGCTAGTCCTTCTTACTTGGATTACTTTCTTCCCCCTCTTTGTCTTGCTAATTCCCAGTCATTTTTTGGATTTCAGTTTAGATGTTGCATCTTGTAGAAGGCTTTTCCTAATTCCGCAAGCTCTAAGAACACCCTGTACTTCTGCTGTACAACACTGATGGCATTGTTTGGTCCTTGTCTTTTTACCCACCTCTGTCCCTCACTAACACTCCACAGAGGCAGGGATTATGTCTGGCTGGTTTCCCCCTGTAGTTTAAGTATTCGTCACAGTACCTGAAACATAGAAAACTCTCCAGTATTTGTTGAATAAAAAAAGAAAACAAATGATATCTTTGTTCATTTTCCTGGGGAAACAGAATGATATGGTTAAAAAAATCTACCAGGCGTCAGTGGTCCCATATTAAAGTCTGACTTCCCAATTGTGTGATTGGGAATCACACAAACTTCTCTATAGAATGGAAGAGCAATATCTGTTTCAGACTACTTCAAGAGTTGTTTTAATGGCCGGGCGCGGTGGCTCCCAGCACTTTGGGAGGCCGAGGTGGGCGGATCACGGGGTCAGGAGATCGAGACCATCCTGGCTAACACGGTGAAACCCCGTCTCTACTAAAAACACACAAAAAAATTAGCCGGGCGTGGTCGCGGGCGCCTGTAGTCCCAGCTACTCGGGAGGCTGAGGCAGGAGAATGGCGTGAACCCGGGAGGCGGAGCTTGCTGTGAGCCAAGATCGCGCCACTGCACTCCTGCCTGGGCGACAGAGCGAAACTCCGTCTCAAAAAAAAAAAAAAAAAAAAAAAGAAGAGTTGTTTTAATAATAGTGAGATTATTTACATGAAAGTTCACTGTGCTGGGCATAGTGGCTCATACCTGTAATCCCAGCACTTTGGGAGGCTGAGGTGGATGGATTGCTTGAGCCCAGGAGTTTGAGAGCAGCCTGGGCAACATGACAAAATCCCGTCTTTACAAAAAATATAAAAATTAGCTGGGCGTAGTGGTGAGTGCCTGTGGTCCCAGCTACTCAGCAGGCTGGGGTGGAAGGATCACCTGAGCCTGGGGAGGTCAAGGCTGTGGTGAGCCATGATCACAGCACTGCACTCCAGCCTGGGTGACAGAGTGAGACTCTGTTAAAAAAAAAAAAAAAAGAAAAGAGAAAAGGAAGCAAGCTCACTGTAAACTGTAATATTTCCTGCAAAGACATGTCATTTTTACAATGGTCATTTATACCTTCATTGGCATATTCATGTATATATTAACTATTGTAGACCAACTATTTAAATTCAGCTACTTAAAAATTTTATACGGTGTGTATGTATGTATTGTGGCATAATAATCTTCTTCAAAAACTTAATGGCTTAAAATAGCAACTGTTTATGTAGCCCATGATTCTGTGGGTTGGCAATTTAGGCTGGGTTCAACTGGGTGGTTGGTTTTGGCTGGCTTTCTAGCCAATTATTAGGTCGGCTGGAAGTTGGCTGGTCTGGGGTGGTTTTGGCTCAAGAGCTTGGCCCTGCCTTATCCTCCAGCAGGTGAACATGGGCTTGTTCACTTAGTGGAGGCAGGGTTCCATGACAGTAAATGGAAGAACATAGGGTCCCTTGACTTTTTGGCTTGGAAATGGCACAATATAACTTTGTTGCACTTTAGTAGACAACACAAATCCAAAGTCAGCCTATTTTAAATAAGTAGGGAAGTATTTTCCACCTCTTGATAGGAAAACTCCCAAAAGCATATTATAAAGAGATGTGGATACAGGGAGGGAGTAATTGTGGCCATTTTGCAAATAATCCACCACATGCTGTCATCATCTTCTTTTAATTATTCACCATGTCACAAATCTGACCATGTTACCTCCTCATCTGCACTATTAAGTGACACTTCATTGCCTATAAAATAAAATCCAAGTTCATAACAAAGGTCTCCATGAACTTTTCATATTGGCATCATCTACCTGGTCCTTTATGCTTTAAGAATAGGACATTTCTTATAATCAAAGGCAAAAAAAAAAAACACTTGTACAGTTTCTATCCTCTGCAGTTCATGCTGCTCCCTCTGCCTGGAGAGCTCCTCCCACCTTTCCATGTCTGGATGAGCTTACCCAGTCTAATAATAAAAACAATACCACTTATTATATGCCAGGCATTGACTGTTCTGAATACTTCACATGTGTGTAGATTATCCCTATGAAGGAGGTACTATTTTTTAATCTCCTTCTTACAGATAAGGAAACTAGGGCACTGGGAAGTTAAGTAATTTGTCCAAAGTCACTCAGCTAGAAGTCTGCTTCCAGAACCGCGATTTGGAGTTTGTGCATTTAACCTCCAGGACCCTGTACCTCTTAAGACTTAGTATGATCTGATCCCACATGTATCTTAACATGTTCCATGTTCAATTATCTATTTGTGTCTGATGCTTCTTTGAGTTACAAGCTCCTTCACGCACCCAGAACATGTCTTACCTTTAACCATCAAATCGAGTACAGAATCTGTGTTGCCCTCTCCACACTTATCAAGATGCGCCTTTTGCACCATTAAAAGTCTCTGCTTCTTCTTGGAAGAAAAAATCAGAGTGAAGACTATTAATCCTCACAGCATCTCCAAGAAAGAAATGACGAGTGGGAAGCTCTATCTCATTTTGCAAACAGGAAATTTAGGCGTGTGGAGATGATATCACCCAGCGCTGTGCCAGGTTTCTTTTTTGGGTTTTCCGATTCCTAGTTTTGTGTTCTATCTACCAAAAAGTGGTATTTGTCTATGAAGTGCAGCTGATGGTTGCTTAATTTTCCCCAGAACAAAGTTAAAAAACATAACAATTAAATTAAATCACCCAAGAGGGATGCTGCCTTCCATTGCAAAGTTTTGAGGGAACAAACTTTTAGGGAAACTTTTTGTCCCTGGGGTATAGTGCTTTCTTCTCTTTCAGCAGAATATATTGTGTCTGATGGAGCAAAAAATTGTTTTTAAGAAACCCTGCACCAATCTGTCTGCCCCAGCTCAGACACATGCTCACACAGAAAATTAAATTCACAGAAATGAGAAAAAATCAAGAAAACCAAAGGAGCATGTCTTCTGTTTCCCAGAATCATTCTCTAGTGTATTTAGTGGCCTGTTGGGTGACAGGGTGATGAGGGGAAAGGGTTGGTTGAATGCAACTAATTTTTCATGTCTTTTTGCTTATTTCCTCAAAGCACCACAAAAAAAGCAAGCATTATGCACATTCCACCTACCTGGTTTTAATCTGTAAGACCCTTTATTAGAACTTAGTTTAAACAGTTTTTTTTTTTATTGTTTCTAGCTTGAGTTTCATGACTGCCATTTGCTTCATTAACAGCAGTAACTTCTTGGGTGTAAAGCTTGCTTGAAATGGGAAGTACTAAGAGAAAGTAGGCAGGGAAGGAGAAATAAAGAAGAGGCTTAAATAATAGTGCTATTCAAATACATTCATGGGAAAGAGAAGCCTCTGGATGATCTCTCTAGCCATTTAACATGTTTCTTCTCCTAAAGGTTTTTGGCATTGGGCTTAAATTCTATTATTTCCTAAACCGTAATCTTTAAATATTCTTCTAATCAGATGTTACACACATATTATTTAGATCGTACCTTAGTTAGATCTTTTATTCATATGCAATTTGTTTTGTGCTGTTTTTGCTGCATAGCGACTTCCCAATTTTATAGCCTTCCTTGGGCTTAAATCTCCCTAAACTTCATTTGTCCATATAACCACGCACCTGAGTACTGGCGTATAATCTTTGTAAGATAGGAACTTTGGCATGTCTTGCAAACCATGCACTTAATAAACGCTGGATGAGGATAATGGAGATGACGCTGCAGATGCTGACCTTTCCTAGTAATCTATTTGCCTTGAAATAATTGTATTTGTCTCAGTGACTCAAAACATTCCTTTTTCCCCCTATTTTTAGCAGGATGAAACACCTTCCAGATTTTGTTATTTTTTACTCCTGACTTAAGAGTTTGAGAAACTGGAAGCCAAGTTCCTCCGGTCATTGTGCACAATCATGAAGCTGCATATGAACTGGCAATTAAAACTCGCCAGCTCCTCAACACTGTCTCAGATTCTTCCACCCGATCTCTTCTCACCTCTATTCTCAGAATGGCTGGTTTGTTATGAAACTAATTCTTTTCTAGGCCAAGTTTCCTTTGAGCAGGGTGCAAAGGCATATGATCCTGTGGATTAGAAGTGGGTTGTCATCAAAATGATATAGCTCTGTTCTTCTCTGTTCCTTTCTTGGAATGGCTGAGAACAGACTTGCGAAGAGAAAAACTTGTTGGCGTTTGGGAGCTGCCAGGTTTTAGAGAGCCCAATTATGTCTTTTTGGAACTAGCATTTCTTTAATAGAGTTTAATTTTAAAGTGTTTTTTCATTTTTGACATTTCTTGCAGTTTTTAATTCGAAAAGAAGAGGGTATGTTTACTCATCGGGAAAATAAAAACAGACTGTGTATGAGTAAGCAGGGTCAGCTGTCCATTTGTGATAATATTTGAGTGGCCATCAGATAACCCCTGTGCTCCAAAAAGGGCCCTTTTTATTATCTCAGTCCCTGAAATGCCCTCATTGCAGTGCCTTTGCTTTAAATCACTGTAGTTTGACTGGATCACTAGTCTAGTTTGCGGCTCAGCCTCTATTACCTCTACTTCTTAATACAAGTACCCAAAAGTTCCCTATGAAAATAAAACAATCCCTCCTCCATTGTGGAAGAGCTGATTCCACCTGAGTTACAAGTCTGTGCCAATAAGCCTAGTCCAGTCTCCTGGCAAGGAGAATTGGTTCAGGTATGGGCACATAGCCTGATAGAAGAGAGGCAAAGATGATTTTTCTAGATGATTTTTTTTTAAAGCTAAGTGTTTTGTTTTTCACAGGAACTACTAGACATTTGATCTCTTTTTTTCCACTGGAGTTGTTGGTGGGAGGATGTGATGTATGTAATCACAGTCTTCATTTTCTATCACATAAGTTTGGAATGGAGGGGACCACTGAGTGGAGCCTAAGCTTGAAGTTGAACATATGGAAAGTGGGACAGTGAGACAGCAAGAAGCTGCACCCTTTACGACATCCTTTGAACATTGAATCAAGCCTCACCTGAACTAATTGCCACCTAGTATGCATGTCATAAATAGTAGTCACATGATTATCATTTATTTGGTTTAATTCTAAATATCACTGCCTTTCTCATCCCAGAGAGTCCCATGGGGCTGGCTGAAGCTTCCACGTCTGTATCACAGCTTTATTTCTCTCTCTACCAAATACTGCTTTCTTTCTTCTATAAGGGTTGATCCCAAGAGCACTCCCTAATAAACATCCTGCACAGGAAACTCCGTCTCAGAATCTTCTCCCTGGAGCACCCAATGTATGACAGATGTAGCTTCTTTTAGGCAGACTGATTTTCCATGGGCTCACCCCCAATCAAAACAAAACAAAACAATTTTTATTGTATCTCATTTTTGCAAAGTTTTGGAAATCCATCTATAAGCTTTTGCTTTGAGATCCAACAGTTAATCAATGAGGGGTTGAGTTATCCCAGTAAGGTGTAGGAGGGAGAGGAAATCAGGTTAGACCACAGACTTCTAGAATCTCTAGTCAAATTTATGTTTTATTTATTATTTTTGATGTATCTATATACCCATGAAACCATCAACATAATCAAGATACTTTTGTAGTGCCTCCCTCCCACTTCTTTCCCCATCCCCATGCAACCACAGATCTGCTTTTTGTCACTATAGATTCCTTTGCATTTTAAAGAATTTTATGTAAATGGAATCATACAGTATGCACTTTTTTGGTTTGCCTTATTTCACTCAGCATAATTATTTTGAGATTCGTCCACGTTGCATGTATCAATTCTTCATTCCTTTTTACTGATGAATAGCTTCCCATTGTATGCATATATAACAATGCATTTATTCATTCACTTGTTAATAGACACTTAGGTTGTTCCCAGCTTTTGGATATTATAAATAAAGCTACTATGAGCAATTAGGTACAAGTCTTCATACAGACATATGCTTTCATTTTTCTTGGCCAGTTTAACTTTTTAAGAAACTGCCAAACTATTTTCCAAAGTGGTTGCATCATTTTACATCCTTACCAGTGGTGTATGAGAGTTCCAGTTTCTCCATATGCTCACTGATTCTTGGTATGGTCTTTCCTTTTACTCTGTAGGTAAGTGGTGGCATCTCATTGGTTTTAATTTGTCTTTCCCTAATGACTAACAATGTTGAGCATTTTTTCATACAATTACTTGCCACTCATATACATCTGTGGTGAAATGTCTGTTCAGATATTTTGCTCATCATTTAATTTTTTTATCATTATGTTTTAAGAGCTTTTAAAAAATGATGTATTCTGCATACAAATATGTTACCTTTTATGTGCTTTGAAAATACTTTCTCCTAGTCTATGGCTTGTCTTTTCAATCTCTTCTCTTAAAAATATCTTTCAAACAGCAGAAATTTTTGCTTTTAATTAAATCCAATTTATCGATTTTTTAATTTTATGGATTGTGCTTTTGGTGTTGTAGCTAAGAAATCTTTGCATAACCCAAAGTCACAAAGATTTTCTTCTATGGTTTCTTCTAGAAGTTTTATAGTTTTAGGTTTTACATTTGGGTCTATGATCCATTTATTTTTAATTTTTTATATGATCCATTTTGAGTTAATTTTTGTATATGGTGCAAGATATGGATTGAAATTCATTTTATTTTTTTGCATATGGATATCCAAGTGTTCCAGCACCATGTGTTGAAATCGCTCATCTAATTTTAAAATATGGAACACATAATTCCAGTGTGGTCCATAGACTATCTCAGCATAATCACTCCTAGTGCTTGTTAAAAATGCAAATTCCTAGGTCTCACACTAGCCCTTCAAATTAAAATCTTATGACAAATATCCTAGATGATTCTTGTGGATACCAAACTTTGAGAGCAACTGCCATAATAAGATTACTATTCACTAACCCTTTACTTCAAGTCAACACTGTCTCCATCAAATCTCAGAAAAGACATAATTTAGAAAAAGCCCAGCAAAAACTCACCTGCCTAGGGAAAAACTTACAAGCTTAAAACACAATTCCTACTTAAAAACCAAAAGTAGGAAAAATAGAATGAGCAACTGCAAAAATAAAAAAATTAAAGATCAATATATTTGTTAACACACATATAAAAAACTTCAAAGTATCAACAAATCTTAAATGATTTAAAAGACAAATAATAATCTGGGAAATATTTTTGAAGATGTCAAGTGATTAATTTTTAATCTATAAAGAGATGTAAATTATTTAAAAATGAGTAAAAAACTCAGTAAGGGATATATACAAGGACAAAAAACATAAAATACACTATTGAGATTATATTGAGAGAATATTATTCAGCCAGTAAGATTGTCTTAAAAATGGTTTCCATTAGGTTGGTGCAATGTACTTTAAATGGCAAAAACCACAATTACTTTTGCACCAACCTAAATACAATGAAGAAGAAACACTTATAATATGGTGAAAAATTTGAATACAAAATCATTGTTTTGTACGTCTTCATGTACATAAAACAAGGCTTAGGAAAAAGTGACTGAAAGCAAATACACTCCTGGATGGCATTTTTCTATCTCTAATGAGCAAGTGTATATGCCCATGTAATCAGAAAAGAAAAAAATCCATTTTTGTTTAAAGAAGAAAGGGTCATACGTGATTTCCTTGGCAAAGTCAGACAATGGCAGAGAGAACAAAGATGGGCCAAAGGAAAGGCACTGGGAGGGGCTGAAGGCAGGTTTTGCACAGCTGTGCCTCAAATGAGATGGCAGAGGTGGCAGTTTCCTGGTTTGCGAGTCTTTGCTATTGCTAAAGACTGCCTCAATATGATCAGTGCAGATTGGGATGCCTAGCAGAGGGGACAGATTCGAATACCCGTGTCACAGTCTTTTTACCTGATCGGGTGTAAACCCTACTCAAATAAAAAGAACCATCTTTCTTGACTAAAAAGTGAGTGGTGTACAGAGGAAAAGAAGCTAAAGCTGTTAACAGCCCTTTCTATTTGCCCAAAGCCACCCAATGTATGAAATGTCTGTCTGTTCACAGACTCTGAAGTGTTGCTTTGTTTGTATCATCCCTTTTCTACAGTTCAGAAACTAAATCTGAAATATTTCACCAAATTGGAAATCCACTCATATCTTCTGGGTTTCTACGTCTGAACTGAAATTGAACTCTGGCACTTTAGTTCACATGATGTTAGAACAATATAACTTTTTGTTTTGAAGAAGAATGCCTTTAAAAGTCTCATAAATGAGTCCAGCCTGTTCTTGGATATCAAGTAGCCCTTATAAACTCTAGTACCTAAATTCTGTGTCATTGTGAATAAGTAACTACCTAAGAAGCACACATGTACAGATTATGTACCTCAGATTACACACAAGTGTAGAAATAATAAAAATGTATTTGCCCCTTTAAAATCTGGTATTGGAAATTGCAGCAAGAATTGAGGAAAAGAATATTGAAAGACAAAAACAGATTATGATCCAATATAACACATTAATTAATCTAAAAAAAGGAAATTACAATGTTAAGTAAGGCTGGAGATATGTCTAAAGTACAACAAAGATTACTGGAGGAATTTTTTTGTAGTTTTTCTTTAGAAATGTCTATACTTTTAAGTTCCAGGTAGTATAGAACAAAATTTTCATGCGTTTTTCTTTCGTGATCAGTACTAAAATAGTTGTTGTCAAAAGAACTATTGAGTATCCAAAGCATGCAGAAAATATCTCATAAAACAAACTAAAATGAATAAATTTGTATAAGAAAGCTTTTCTCAGGCTTGTCAGGAAAATAATCCAGAGTGACTGTGAACTATAAAAGCTAGACAACTTCTCCAAAATAGCAACAGGCAATGATTTCTTAAGGAAACCCAGAGGAGCTTAAAAAATAAATTCAAGGATCCAGCTTATTTTCACTATTTTTGTGGAGTCTCTTCTCAAAACCAAGAACTGAAGTATGTATTAATAATATGATAATAATTTTACTTAAAGGAAGAACAGAATCTGTTCTCAAATAAGAACTGGACCATATAAATATGGTCTCATTGATATATATTTCAAAACATGTACTACTAGTGATATGGTTTGGCTCTATAGCCCCCCGCCAAATCTCATCTTGAATTGTAGCTCCCATAATTCCCACATGTTGTTTGAGGGACCGGGTGGGAGATAATTGACTCGTGGGGGCAGTTTACCCCATATTGTTCTCATGGTAGTGAATAAGTCTCACGAGATCTGATGGTTATATAAGGGGAAACCCTTTCACTTGGCTCTCATTCTCTCTTGTCTGCCACCATGTAAGATGTGCCTTTCACCTTCTGCCATGATTGTGAGGCCTCCCCAGCCACACCATTAAACCTCTTTTTATTTATAAATTAGTCTCAGATATGTCTTTATCAGGAGTGTGTAAACGAACTAGTACAACTAGATTTCTCTGACATGAAAACCTTGCACATTAGTTTCACTTACTTATATGTGTTAGTGGAAAGCGTGTTAAACAGTAGAATAGAAAAAAAGATTTAAAAGTAGGATTATCAGTGGGGCAGGAAGTTCTGGATCCCAATTCACCTACAAGAGTAGATGTCATATCCAAATATCCAGGTTTGTGGGCCTTAATCCTGCCATGCACTTTCCTCTTAACTTGTTGAATAGTTTAATAAGTATTGTAAGTTAAGTATCATAAATGTGTAAGCCCTGTTTACAATGATAATGTCCTATTTTTGTAGGAAGGAGTTGTCAGTAGAATATACAAATAGTCAGTATTTTGAGACTGCTATGATGGTGTGCTTATCAAGATGAGCCTGGTTTTCACAAAGAATTGACCAGATCTAGAATATTTAGCTCCTGTTACTTAGCCAGTTAATTCTGTATTTTCTCAGATTGTATACTAAGATGAGCATTTTGGCTAAGATGAGCATCAAATTCCTCATTTGATAGTCAAGGTAACGTTACCCAGTTGGCAATATATGAACCATTATTTTGGAAAATATGAACAATTCTGTCCCAAATAAGTTTGATTTGCCTGGTTCCATAGAATTGAAAATTATATCAACTGAACTATGCTTAGTCGCTTAGTGTTCTTGCTCATATATCCTTATTTGGAGATAATCTAAAAAGCCAACAAACAAAACAAAACATTTCCCAACCTCTAATCATGCTGTTTCTCATTGAAAAATCTCTTGGATTCAGTTTTAAAAATAATAGATTAACTAATAATAAAGAAAGTAGTACCTTCCGTTTCAAATCAAGAGCCATTTATCAAATGCTGCGTTTGTCAGGTTCTGTATTCAGGACTTGAAAGAAAAAGATGAGGCTAATATGGTTTCCACCCATGGATACACTATTTTATATTTGGCAGCATGCAATTACATTAGGATAATTCCTGTTTTATCCTCGCTGGGACTCCATGAGATAGATATTATTTCCCCCATTTTATAGAAGATAAAACTGAAATGAAAATATCACTTGCCCAAGTTCACATTTTTACTAGAGCTAATACTATAGCCCATGTATTTTTCTGACTCCCAATTATTTTCTCTTTTGATTATTCAAAAGCATATGTTTTCCCTAATGTTTTTAGTCAAGATAAACCATGTAGATATTTTAGTGCAGAAGTCTTTCTACTCCAAAGTAAGAATTTCTATACCTTGTCTAAATTTCAGTAGCCATTTCAATATCATAGGAGCAGGAAATTATTCAATTCTTGAGAAAATTCATGCACCTGTGGATTTCATCTTTTGTGCCAGATGAATGGGTGAGGTTGGATTTGATTTGCTCCATGACTAAACTCTAAAATTGGGATTTAAAATGGGTCTGTAATCTCACTCTGATTCCATTTCTCCTGTAATGCTGCCTAATGGTTATGCAAGTCTCAGAAACATATTTAAAGTAATAACATGTCCTTTTATCCAATAACATCAAGCTGAGATCTTTTTTGTTCACTTTTGCTAGACCTTTAACCTTTAAAGGTGAGTCAGGCAGCTGCAGAAAGCCTGATCTTAATTTCTGCCCCTGGCAAGACTTTTTCAAGTTCATCTTTTTTCCCTTCTCTCAAAATCTGATGAAAAATGAAATGTCAGGAAACAAGCTCTTGGGCTAAAAAACTTGTGTCTGTCTCTGTGACAGATGTCATTTTGAAAGGTTTCAGGTCACCTGTCCGAAGTGTGCCAGTGTGATCTGCACTCACGTGACTCGACCTCACACCAACATTGAGTTCTGCTTTTAAAAATAGCCTTGAAAAAGAATTAAATGATTTCAAGTCATTGCTTTTTCCACTGTCTTTTAACTCTGATTAATGAGACAAAAAAGGGGGGTAGGGGAGAGAGAGAGAGACTTTTAAAAAGGACAGCTTGACCTCTGGGTGCCCCTGGCAGTGAACCAATCAGCATTCTTGTAATCCAAACACAGATGCCTGGAGCTAAACAAATCCTATACTTGTGAACAAGAATTCAGCTTTCTGTCAAAATACAGTGAAGATCGCACAATAATGCTTTTAACAAAATATCATGAATTAAAATTTAAATGTATGTGATTAATCGAAAAAAATAAAATTAAACAATGTAGAGTTTCAATAGTGGCTCAATTTAGTTGCAAATCTTTCCAGCAAAAATTCATGTGTTTGGAAAAGTCCTGTATCTTAGCTCCACCCTGGACATAACTCCTTAGTATTTTACTTCAGAAGCACCACTGATGTTATTGTACAAATCAGTAGTTTGTAATGACTAATTAATGGGGTTGAACTCTGTTCACTTTCCGGATTAGTTATACAATGTTTGAATTATTTATCACAGTGATTTAAAAAACGTTCCTTTTTTTCTCCTTTTTTCTCCCTTTTCCTTATGGGCTTTTATCATAGTCCAGGCAATTGAATAATTTTTTTAAATAGATAATTTTGTTTCATCAGTTTGAGAGTAATCTTGGGGCTTTGCCCCATAACCAAGAAAATAAAAAATTACAGTTTCAAAGACATGTTTGTTAAATCTGTCACTCTAAACAAGAGGCCAGATTGGGAGAGGTGAGATGACCCATGGATATAAACCCAGAACCTTTAATAGCACAACAGAGATGTTAGCTTTTTCATTTTCTTTGCTTGATTCTTATGTTGGCCCAGCCTTGACTTGAAATGAAGATGCATTTCTTGAAGACGTGCTCATTGTATCCTTGTCTGGAACAAGGTTATTAGTGTGTGTGAAAAACTTGAGGGAGAAAAAAAGAAGCGTAGACCTAGAAGGCAATTAGTTAGCTTGAAATAGAAGTGGCAAGCTGATTTTTGGCAATGATTTGTGAAATATTTGTGAAATTTCTTTACCTTCTACAACGATGTTTTAGACTGGTGCTTCTCAAACTTTAATGCACTCGTGAATTACCTGGATCTTGTCAACATGCAGATTCAGATTCAGTAGGTGTGGGGTGGGGACTGAGTGTCTGCATTTCTAACAGATTGCCAGGTGGGGCAGATGCTACTGAGCCTAAGGTTTTAGGTGACTCTTTTTAACTCTCCACAAGTGTGTCAATTGCCTCAAGATTCCCATATAGTTCTGAGGTTCAAAAAGATTATTTTAAAAACTCCCTTCTGACACATTTTTCCTGTTTATGATCTTTTTCTATGTGTCAGTGACTTGATCTCTTTTAGGAACTTTCTAATTTTAATATAACTGTAGTTACATCATCTCAAAATGACTCTACCTTATGAAGAAAAGATACACATAAAGATGGAAACAATGTCAGGTTTTGTCACCCTTGCTCTTCAGTCGTTAGTTTCTCACTAGGTTTTGGTCTTGGTGAGAGCATTTTGTATTCTACTAGGTAGTCTCATTAGTACTGACACATCTCTTCTTTGCTATACTGCAATCAGAGAGTGTTCATAATCAAAGGTTGAAGGTCTTTATAAGAATGCACTTGGGCTAAGAAGCACCCAGGGGAAAAACAGTTAAAAATAAGAGCAGTCAGAACTATCAGCAGTGTTTAGACCCAGATAACCACAAACATCCTGGAATTTACTTAACCATGTCTGATTTCCCAGTGAGTCATGTTTACAGCTTTAGATGTTAGTTTACTTTTCCTTCATTTTTTTCTTGATCATTCATGCAGTAGAAAGTGGAAACGAAATCTTCCATGGCAATTAAAGTGCCAATACTTGTGCTAGCTATGTGTTCCTGCTACTGATAGGGAGCGATCTGGCCATTAGTCAAACAAAGCTGTACCAATTTTCTCATGCTCATTACCTATTTATAATATGGACATTCTTATGGCATATTATGCAGCTGCTTTAGCAGGGAACTAATGTCAAATGAGAGTGCCCGATTTAGCTTTATCAAGAGAAAATGCACCATATTTAATGCTCAATTTTCATTCTGTGTATGTTAGATATACACGTGATTGCTGAGAATTTTATTCCAGTGTATTCGTAATTGTGTATTCCACTACAAGTTATTTTTGAACTTGATAAAGATTCTTACTTTCTTTTTGGTCAAATGCTAAGATTATTTAACAAGTGGAAAATAATATTTGCTAATTTTCTTAAAAGGCTGAAGGTGTTTTCTGAACTGAGGGTATAGATGATTACTACCTTATATTAGAAGAACCAAACTCTGAGGTTGATTGTCTATCACATAGTAAGGCTTTACGGACTACTATACCATTTCTTCCATAAAAGCCTTCATTTTATGTTGCCAATTTCATCTGGTGAGTCAGCCGGACACTCTGGACACATGATTGTGGATTAGACCCAGAAATATAGATTCCGTTACTGCTATTACACTAGACTCTCAATAACATTACTCTGAATAAGCTTTCTCCTATGAGAAAACCGTTTCAACCTTTTTGATGAATATTGGTGGAAGAAAATAAAATGGGGGACATGGCAGTTGTGAAAAGAGATTTTTTCTGGCTGAAATTAATAATTCTGAGCAGCACTAAAATTAATTACTCTGTAGTTATGAGTAGGCAGTGGATTTATGGTAAATGACAGAGTGTTTGCAAATTTTCCTGACTACTCGATTAGAAAATGCACAAGTGGAGGCGTCAGCCGAGCATGCATTATTTAAGTGGTTGGTGTCTGGCGACAATCTGGAAACTGCAATTGTTGTGGTTGCCGTAGGAAAATTCGCACTTTCTGAGAGAAATTCTTTCACCTTTGTGTGCCCACAGCATGGATCTCTCCTCATGGCAGCTGTAGGAAACACAGGAACTCCGTGACCTGGAAAATGTGGGACAACTGCCACAAGGTGACCCTGGAAGGCTGGGGTAGGCCCAATTAATTTAAAATTTTGCTTGGCCTTGTCTCTTCCAATTTTCTAAATCTTCTGGAAAAATGATTAATGCGTACACTGCCAATGCGAAAATATTTTTGACCCTATTAAAGTCGACCAAGGGTAAACCAAGTGTAGGCTGGCATTGTATCAAACTAGCTTTATTAAATTTGATTGGAGGTTTGTATGAGGAAGGGACAGACAAGGACATTATTTTGCACAGCGGCTCTCTTTTAAATGAAAATATCAAGAGGAATACAAAGTAGCAATATGCCCTGGACAGGAATCATTTTAAATATAGAAAAATACCACCAAGAACTTTGTTTAAAGGGTAAACTGTATTTGCTAGAAAATATTCTGCTATCTTATTGCTATGCTGGTCAATTATCAATGAGGGTGTTTAAATTTATGCAAGGCTTATGGAAGTCTTATATTTCTTTATTTATAGATGAGCTAATTCCACCTTGCTTTCTTTCTCTTGTCTGTTACCAAATTCTACAACTTAAAATAATCTTTCTGCATTTTGAACCTTAGCAGAGCAAGGCTCAATCTTATAGCGTTCCCCCAATGTGTCTATCCCACACAGTTTTCCAATTAATTAATAAAGTGATTAATTTTTTTCCACTTGTTATGTTGTTTTGAGTAAAAATGGCACAATTCTGGCACAATTCCAAAGGATAGAACTTCTCACAGGCACTTCTTCTCCAAGAAAGAGAAAATCATAAGATATAGTGAATGCATAATTCAATTTACGGGTCAACACCTATATTGCACATTTAATGTTTTCCAATAGTTTTCTCAAACCTAGGAGATATTCAACCACATGAATGAGATCATAAAGAGTATATTTTACCCATTAAACATGTGGAAAATATAATACTTTCCTTTATAGTAGGGCTGGATCTTACTGACCTCGATAGAGCTAGTGTATAGTAAATACTTATTCAATGACTGAATGGCAGAAACCACCTGTAACCATCTGTCTTCCAAGGGAAGACTAGAGCTACAGCTGGAATGACAGCTTAGCTAATGGTAATAGCTCAGTGAAGGCTCTAGAATACATGAGTAATTGTTAGTCATTTTAGTCTAGCAAGCATGGATGTGGAGAATAGGTAGTCACAGGAGTAAAAAAAAATCCATGACTTGGGATATTAGCTTTGCCTCAGACTTACTAACTAAAAGACATGAATGAACTATTTATAGGACTTGTCATAGATTGTGTAACTCTTCACCCACGGCTTTCCTCCTCTGCAATGTCTCTTCCTGTAGGAAGGTTATACATTCCTGCACTATTTAACTCAGGCATGCCATTTTGATGTGGTTTAGCCAGCGAAGTATGAGCAGAAGTGAGGTATGTCACTTTCAGGCAGAAGAGTAAAAGCATAGTTGGATTATTCCCTTTTCCCAGTGAATGACCATCAGCAAAGTTCCAGGTAAAGGGCAAAGTGGAGTCAAGTTATAGCTGATTTGTGATAGGCACAACAGTGTGAATGGGAAAAACACTCTTGTTACTGTTAGCCATTGAGATCTGGGATTGTCTATTACCACTACAATACATAGCGTATCCTGACTGACACAGATGTAAACTATATCCTTTTGGCATGAGTTAAAGAATATGGTGTTAATTACAACTCCAAGAGTTTTGAGATGAAATTAGCTCTCATCTTCCTGCTGTCATGCATGGGAACCTGCTTGCTTTCACACCTGTATCTGTTCTTTCCTTGTTAACGGATAGAGCAAACCTGGGACCAATGGCCAAGCCCCTGCCTGTGCTCTGGATCTCATCACCTCTCAAATACTTACAGCCTTTTCTCTGGGAGTTATCTCTTCTCTCCGACAATGCCAATCTGTCCTTTTCTAGTGGGCCATTCATATCTTCCATGGTAAAAACAATTCTTTCTTGGCTCCACATTCCTTTCAGCTAGCCCCTTTCCATTTCTCTCTCCCTTTTCTCAACCAAATATCTCAACTACTTAACTGTGCGCTGTCTCCACTTCCTCACCTCCCATTCAATCTCTAACCTACTCTGATCTGGCTTTCATCCCACTACTGAAAACAAATTGCTCTTGTCAAGATAACCAAAAGCCTATGTATTGCCCAGTCCAAGGGACACTTTATACTGACTTTACTCACATTCTTAGCAGCATGTCACTGAGTTGGCCATTTCCTCCCTCAGGAAAAACTTCACTTGGCTTCCAGCACAGTCTTCTACCTTTATTACAGGCAGAGATTGTTACAAACGAACCAATTATATCTTTATTTAAAAATATACAATTAAGTTATTATTGACTATAGTTACCCTATTATGCTATCAAATAGTAGGTCTCATTCCTGCCTTTATTCTTTTTTAAAATTTTTTTTTAAAATTTATTTTTATTTTTATTTTAAGTTCTGGGATACGTGTGCAGAATGTGCAGGTTTGTTACATAGGTATGCATGTGTCATGGCGGTTGGCTGCACCCATCAACCCATTATCTAGGTTTTAAGCCCCGCATGCATTAGGTATTTGTCTTAATACTCTCCCTCCCTTGCCCACCCCCCGCCACAGGCCCTGGTGTGTGTTGTTCCCCTCCCTGTGTCCATGTGTTCTCATTGTTCAACCCCCACTTATGAGTGAGACCATGCGGTGTTTGGTTTTCTCCTCCTGTGTTAGTTTCCTGAGAATGATGCCTGCCTTTCTTAACGCTTGGTAGTCCGCTCTTTTTCTTCCTTTCCTCACCTCTAAAATTTGTGAAAAGTAAACTCCTATAGATCAGTAATTGAGCTCTCTTTTCTTCTATCTACATATTATTTTCCTTTATTGAGTTTAGTTTCATGACAACTCTAATTAGCTCTAGAGTTGCTATTTTGAACTCCCCACCTAGAAACATTCATAAAAGTGTTGTTAATATATACTTCCTTAGTTCCCACTTCAAAACATCCCTTATAAAACTTCAGGCAGAATTTTTAAGTTTGCTATTTTAATTCCCTCAGTTGATTCCTTAAAAAAATCTACTGATCACCTATAATGTGCCAGGCACAGTAACAGATATTAGGAATCAGATATAATTCTTGATCTCAAAAAAGGTGCTTAATAAGTGATTAGTGGGGAGGAAAATATGTACATAATTATGGTAAAATGAATAAAATGAGAGCATTTCTCATAATGTAGCTGTATAATACATGGAGGGAACATAAAGGAAAGAGAATCCAGGCTTTCTTTGGCAGTAAGAGAAAAGTTCCCAGAGGAAGTTATGTTTGGGCAAAAACATGGTCAAACAGGAATTTATCAGATGGAAGGAATAGAAAACATTATTCCTAAAGACAGGGAGATGTGAGAAGGCCTGCCATGTTTAGGGAATTAAAAATAGCTTAATATTTTTACGAAGAATAAGGAAGATGAAAATAGGTAAGAAATAAGTCTGAAAGTGGGGACTGGGCACAGGGCTATTTATGGAATTATATTCTTTTGATGTTCTGCATGACATTTCTGAGTCCTACCAATTTTTCTGTGTAAGCCATCCCTATCCTGTAAGAATGGGCTCTATTTATTATACTAAGGGGAGGGCGAGCATAAACAATATTACAATTTTTGAGACTGGAAGCATTGCATTCTGTTATATTTCTAGTCTATTTATCTTTCTATTATATCTCTGTCTATATTGTGGTCTTCTTTTATTATCTGTTTATTTCATTTGGTTTTGAGTAGCAATTTTCTGGAAAGATTGACTCCAAAACTGAATGTTTTGACAAATATTACTGTTTATAATAATCTAATTCCAGTTGTTTACCTTTAAAACTATAGGGAAACAGTGATTCCAAATATTGAATAGCTGTTTGAATACTTAACTCCCTCTATTTAAAAATGGATAAAATCAGGTATAAAATGTTTGGTAGTTACATACTCGAAGAAAATCTCAGTTGGTGGTGAGTGAGTTGTAAAATGCAGTTTATCTGACAGAACCCATTGAAAGTGCATGCAACTGGGTAACTCAGTCCTTTTGGAGTAATGGCAAATATGAGAGTCTTTGTAATTCTATTATAACTATATTCTGAGCCTAAGTTTATTGGTATTTATTATTATGCTCTTGGTGAATAACATTTTTAAGAGATTAAAAATGACAAACCCAGTATATATTCATGTGTTCTTGAATATTTAACACCTGCTAGAGCAATACAACAAAGAACCTCTTTTGAAACTAGCTCAGGTAAGGCAATTTTGCTTCTAAATACAATAAAAATAGTATTTAGAATATTTAAATTTTGTAAAGCAAAACGTAGTTGAGTGATGTGAAAAATGTTTTTGTTTTACCTTTAAAAAATCCCTTCTATTTTCATTTCTTAACTTATAATATGAAAAACAAATTGATTATGAACAGGATGTTCTAGATGAGACTTTTAACTTCATGGATGAATATGTTGGGGGTGAATCAAGTGGTTTCTGGGACAAATTTTTGCTATGGAGTGCAAGCAGTCACCATTGTCTTACTTGAATTATTTTATAGTGGCAACTGAATGGACTCTGATCACTTCTCCAGTAAATTAGTCATTCTGGTTGGCTGCCTACAGCATTTCTGTGAAAGCAGTAGAACCGAGAACAAAGAGACATTAGTGGTATGATTCAGATTCTACCCTATGACTTCAAAATACAGTTGAAAAAATAAATGAGATGGAAGGAAGGAATGTGCAATCTTAATTTTCTGAAGTTAGCTGCAG
The DNA here is from genome assembly GCF_000001405.40 of Homo sapiens. NCBI lineage: Eukaryota > Metazoa > Chordata > Mammalia > Primates > Hominidae > Homo > Homo sapiens. The sequence continues at coordinate 93,186,370 of NC_000005.10, read as the reverse complement.
TTTGTAAAATGACTCTGAATACACAGCCATTTCTTACTTGTAGAGCTCCAGCCTATTCAAATATTCATTACAATCTTCTATTAACATTTGATAGACTACAGCTGTGTGAGTGGCCACTGACAAGTCGGCTCCACTAAAGTAAAGACTCATTTCTCCCATGGAACTTGAGTTACTGGGCACAGGGATACTTTGTAACTACTTATTATTCACCACCCTCCAACCACATGTGTTAGGACATGTGATGTCCTTAACACTTAGACACGTTCTGGAATAAAAAAGTCTACACTCCAAATTGTGTCAGAAGAAACTCAACAATTTGCAAGATCATTTAAATAAAAAGCTAAGTAATTATGGGCTTCTTTGTTCCCCACAGTGCCTGCCTTTTCTTGGCATTAGGTAAGGTGTTTAGGGATGTTCATTAAGGATTTTAGGCCACTAGAGTACTACTAAGATCATTAATTTTCACCACAAATCCTCGAATGTATTATTTCTCAAGTAGGTACTGGAGAAATCTAGTCTGTTATTTCTGATAATGAAAAATGTACTTTTCCGCAATATTAGTGATGAAGCTCCCAGTTATGGATAGTAAGGAATTAGGTGTTCGCTTTTCTAGGTGTCTAGGGTTCCATTCTATATCTCAATTTACATGTTATGGCTCTTACATAGCAACCAGTACACTGACAAAGAACTTAGCCTGCTAGAAAATGGGAAGGTCCCAAGTGCAGAGAAAAGGTTGACTCAGGGCTCAAACTGTAATTAAGTGAGAAAAACAAATGCCTCCCTATTTGTCCATTGGATTAAAATAAAATTAAATAAATAAAAAATTTTGATTAAAATATCTGTTATTTCTTAAAACTGTTATAAAGGTTTAATTTCAATGTTCTTTAAGGTGTGGATTAAATATTTTACAAAGTTAATACAAAAATTATTAACACTGGTATGTACAAGATACTGTTCAAAATGTTACAGGAGATGCATAAGTTTAAGTGTAAGATGCTATTCTGGGCCGGGTGTGGTAGCTCACACCTGTAATCCCAGCACTTTGGGAGGCCAAATCGGATGGATCGTCTAAAGCCAGGAGTTCAAGACTAGCCTGGCCAACATGGTAAAACCCTGTCTCTACTAAAAAACAAAAAAAATTAGTTGGGCATGGTGGCAGGTGCCTATAGTCCCAGCTACTCAGGAGGCTGAGGCAGGAGAATCGCTTGAACCCGGGAAGCGGAGGTTGCAGTGAGACGAGATAGTGTCACTGTACTCTAGCCTGGGTGACAGAGTAAGAATCCATCTAAAAACAACAACAACAAAAAAGATACTATCATTCAGGTCTCTCAATGGAGTTTACCTTCTAGTCATGGGATGGTACCAAATGATCATGAAGCAAAGCACATGGGACTTAGAAATACACAACATAGCAGAGAAGGGTGCCAATAGCTCACTCCGATGATTGACTGAAATCTGTTCTTTGTGGTGGCCTACATTAAATCAAGTTGAGATAACAGAAATTCTTTAATGTTTTAAAGTGGAGGGGATAAAAATAATTGGTTAGATATAAGTGTTGCCTTGCAATTATGTATAACCTGCTCACTTTAATTGTTTTCCAAGATGGTCCAGAGAACGTTGTCTTCAATGAAACATTGAGACATACATTGGTGAGAGAATAACAAATTTCTTTCGAAAATCAGTAGTGGTTCTCTCTATCTTTGGGAGTCTTGATGGGCAATGATCCAATAAAAATGGACTTTGCAAGTTCCTTGGGACTTATAGGATTCCAGGATGGCAGAGCATTTAATCACCACTTTAAATCAGTAATAAGGGTGAGTTTTATTAAACATTCTTGGCATCTATCGAAGTTATATTATTTTCTTCCTTTAATCTACTTCTTATGCTGAATTACCGTAATACATTTTTTAAAGTCACATCAGCCTTTCAATTTTACGATAAATCCTATTTGATAATATTTTATTTTGTGGCTGGACTGTGGGAATAACTTATTAATCATTCTTGAATTTACTTACTATAGTAAGTGAAATTGGACTACAATTTTATTTTATTGTGTTATCCTTGTCCAATTTTTGGTATCAGGATTATGCTAGCCTTGAAGAATATGCTGGGCAGGCATCCACATTTTCCTATTTTCTATCCTCTTGGGGATAATCTGTTCTGAGAAGTGTTTGTTAAGACTTTTCTATAAAATCATCTGAGTCTGGTGCCTTTTTAGGCATAAACTTTAAAACTTTCTCCTATAGTAATTATTCTGCTCAGATTTTCTACCACTTCTTGAAGCAATTTTGATCATTTATAGAATTCATCTCATTGAGCTTTTCATTGGTATAAAATAAAACATTCTCAAATTGTTATTTTTAGAAAGGATATGAGGATGGCAAGCTTTTTGAGTCTTTACTTTCCTGAATATGTAATTATTTTCCCCTTATAATTGATTGCAAATGTGGCTGAATCAAGATTTCCAGGTTTAAATAAATATCCTTCCCATTCTTTCAAAGTGTTGCTCCATTGTCTTTCAGAATAAGTTGCCGTTGAGAAATATATATAAATATAATGAATCTCATTCCTTTGTATGTCACCTGTTTATTTCTCCAAGGAAATGTTAAGATTTTCCTTCCTTTGGAGTTCTGAAACTCTACAACAATTTGTCTTGAAGTGCATATGTATGTGTGCATGTGTGTGTGTACGTATATATTTTCATTCTTTCTGTTGAGCCCTAGGTAGACCCAAAGGCATGGTCTTTCTTTAGCTCTGGACAATATTATTTCCATCCCTTTGAAGATTCTATTATCATGGTCTTATTTTCAGGTCTTCCATATGTATGTGTGTGTGTGTGTATATATATATATATATTTCATCTTTCAGGATTCTGAGAAAAGAATCCAGCTGTGTGAAGGATGGCCATATCATCATAAAACCACAACACTGGGCTCTTTTCTTTTCTTCAGAGGCTGATATTGAACAGATTACCACCTCAGGTAATAACTGTAATAGGCAGTTACTTAAGATCAAAAGCTCTGAACTCTCTGTAGAATCAGAGGATAGAGGATATATTCTCTGTAGTAAATCTGTGTTCAGAAACATGAGGAAATCTAAAATTCCTGATTTATGTTTCTAGTGAGATTTAAAAATATTTATGTATTAGACCCTAACAAGCAACTACGAAGATAAAACAAAATTGTGATAAGAGTATTGTGTGGATATGAAAAAACACAACTGTTAGATTAACAACTTCAAGATAAGAAAAGATTAGCAGAAAGAAAAAATTAACAAAATAAAAAAAGATGAAAATATTACAATTCAGGAAAAGTATGAATAATTAAAAATAATACAACAATTTTAGTGATACAAAGATCAGAGATATATGATCCAATCTACATATATAAAGAGAGAATAGATAAGAAGAAGTAATAAGCAATGATATAATAGAAGAAGATTCACTAGCAAAAGACTGATTTTTAAAAATATAGAATTACATTATATTAGTAGGCAATATTAATTTCAGTAAGTATTATTGGCAAAATTATTGCATTCTGAAAATAGAATAAAAATCTCAGAAATATTAGCAGGAAAACTATGTTACTAATACAGAACAAAATTTAGGCTGGCAATGGACTTCTCCAAATATTTATTTTGGAACACATCTGAAAAAACAACATGAAAGAGAATATTAAATATAAAATTATAGACAAAGATATAACAGGCTTCCAATAAAACAGAAAAGAGTAGAGGAACAAAAATTAGCAGTAGCAATATAGTTTTAATATAAAATAGAATTCAAGAACAAGAAGCATGTAACATGATGTTTTTATATTGACAAACGCTAATAATATTCATAGTAGAGATATAATAGTCATGAAACATTGTGTAACTAAAAAGGTAAGAAAAATATACGTAGCATAAACTGTTAAAAATACATTGGGAGGCTGACAGAAGCACAGTTATGATGGCATGCTTTATCATACACCATTCTTAGTCTTTGACAGATTGAAAGCCTAAAAAAATAAATGTGGACTGAAAGGACTTGAAAAAATATAATTAACATAATAATTTTATCTATATCTATATTTCTGTTTATATGTGATGTATGGTTACATATATATTAAAAAATTTTATAAAATATGTATGTGGTTGTATAAAAGTACTGTACTCTATGAAAGCCATATTTTCTTTGCAAATGCCTAAAAAACATTTATAAAAAGTGATCACATGCAATCTTAATTAATAACAAGGAGTAGAAAATGGACAAATTATATTCTTTAATGGCATTGCAATGAAATTAAAACCTAATTGCACAAGTCTAAACAAAAAATTCATACCACTTGGATTAAAAAAAAAGCACTTGGCTAAAGAGTTCTTGGATTAAAGTAATAGTACAGACTTTAGCTATGGAGTGTTTAGAGAGACAAGGATAATTTTAAAAATTAAAACCTCTATGATGTTTCCAAAGTCATGGCTTTAAAGAAAATTTATAGCCTGGAGTTCTTTGTTTATTTAACAACAAAGAATGAAAATCAAGTAATTTAATATTAACTCAAAAGTTTGAACATAATAAAACAAACATAGGAAACTCAGGAAGAACAATGTGGTTTAGTCGGTAATTAATTTTTTGGAAACACAACAAAAAAGAGTTATTAGAATAATAACTAATAGAAAAACTGGCATATTCAAAGAAGAACAAAAGAAAGGAAAAACTGACTGTAGTTTATAATTTATAAGGGGGATATATTAATAGAAATTTTAAATACTTTAAGAGAATTGTACAAACTATGCTAATAATTTTCCAAATCTCAACAAAATAGATAAGCTTCTAACAAGGCATAAGTTATCAAAATTGGTCTGTAAAGAAAAGGAAAAATAGGTAGGCTTATGTTTTTTGGAAAAAAAATTAAGGCATAAACTCAAGTTTTAACTTTTGTGCTTTCAAAATTACAATGACTAAAAATTCCTGTAGTACATAAGCTGGTTGAGAGCATATGGAGAGAACATCTTTCAAGTAATTTTATGAAGCAAGTGAGTTTTAATAACGAAACATGACAAATTTAGCAGAGAGGTAAAAACTATAGATTAATCTCATTACTATACTACACAGATGCAAATATATAACAGAAAATAAAACACATAACTTTTTTAAAATAACAAAACACCATAACCAAAACTAGTTTTTAATCACCAAATAAAATAATAACCCATGATTACTTGACATATTAATTGGAACTTTATGTCATAGATTGCAGAATAAAGGTAATATGATCAATATGAGTGATGCCTAATGTAATAGTTTCTTATTGCAGCTGAAACAAATTATCACAAACCTAGTGGCTTGAAACAACATAAATTTTTTATCTTACAGTTCTGGAGGTCAGGAGTCCTAAAATCAAGGGGTGGATAGGACCGCATTCCTTCTGGAGGCTCTAGGAGAGAATCTATTTTATGCTTTTCCAGCTTCCAGAGGCCATCTGCATGCCTTGGCTTGTGTCCCCTTCCTCTTATCCCTCCAATCTCTTCTTCTGTCACCACATTTTCTATGCTGACTCTGACTCCCCTGCTTCCCTTTTATCAGAATACTGTGATTACATTGAGTTCATCAGGATGATTCAGGATAATCTCCCCATATCATATCAAGGTTCTTAATTTAATCACATCTGTAAAATACCTTTTGCTGTGTAAGGTCACAGATCCATAGGTTTTGGGGATTAGGGCACGGACATCTATGGGGGCTGTTATTCTGTTCACCACACCTAAAATGAATTTGATTAAATTTAACATATTTTCTGATAACATTCTTATTAAACTGGGACCAGAAAGATACTTTTTTTTTCACATCATGAAGCATTTGCATTACCAATTAATTACTGCCATCTTATTTTTTGGAGAAACACTGGAGATATTTCTATTAAGATGAAAATGAATGTTACCATGCTATTACTTAATATTGTTCTGTCAGTAGGAGCGAATAACACCAATGAATAGGAATAAAGCTTTATCTTAGAAAGAAGATTCAGTTTTCATTATTTTCCAGTGATTTCACTGTATACCCCAAAAGCAGAAAAATTAATAGAAAAACTGTTTGGATTAATATAGGGCTTAATAAAGTGAGTGGACCATGAGGAAACAAACAAACAAAAATGAAATAACCAAATAAATAAATAAAGACTTTATATGAGCAGAAATATGTTTAGTTCAGGCACCAAAAAGAGACTCTATGACCTCAGGAACAAAAAGAAAGGAAGAAAATCAAGATGGGACTTAGACCAATGATTCTCAAATTTTTTTGGTGTCAGAATTCTGTAACATTATTAAGAAATATTGACAATGCTAATGAGCTTTTGTTTATGTGAGTTATATCTGTTGATAATTATTTTATTAGTGATTAAAACAGATAAATGAGAAAAGTATTATTATTATTCAGTAGTTAATTTCAAAACAATAGTAAAGCAATATATGTTAAAATAATAACATATATTTTATGAGAAACAACTATGTTTTCCAACCCCTTCCCTCTAAAATGTAGTGAGAAGGGTGGCATTGCTGTTTACACTTTTTCAAATCTCTAATTTAATGCCAGGCTTAACAGAAGATAGCTGAATTTGTATGTCTGCCTCTGTATTCATTTTGTTGTGACATGCTGTTTTGATTAAAGTATATGAAGAAAATCTGGCTTTACACAGATATGTAGATGAAAAAGGGAGGAACAGTTTAATATCCATTTTGGAGAATTATGCACATTCTCCTTTTAACTTGACAAGTGATAGTTTCTTGAAGTGCAGTTTCAATGAAGAGTCCAAAATGACATTAATGAACTTTTTGTACTCTGCACCATTAAAATCCACTGGCCTGCCTTGTACTTTGAATAAACGTTTTACCCACCCATGATTTTGACTATTTGATCATCATACTTTGATCATTTGAAAAATATTTGTTTACTGAATTTTCAGATTTCCAAAATGATGACACATTTCATTAGACAATATCTAAAGGTGGCATTTGTTAATAGCACCACTGATCCCATCAGAAGAGTTTTTAAGTACTGGGAGGATGTCAAGCTTGTAGTGAATATAAGTTCTCTAAAATACAACTTTTTGCTTGATAGCAGCGAGATTTTGGGATTGTTTGCTACTGTAGCCTAATCCAAACTTATCCTGACCAGTATGGAGGTACCAGAAAACTTTAAAGCTGGTCATTTCTGTCTTTTCAGTCAATGGTTCATTCACGATCTATAAGAAAAATAAGCCATTAGTGGTGCTTAGACTACATTTGAAACACATGTGCATATCTGGTCCGCTAATAGTTTACATAAATTCTGATGAGCATCTGAAAACCATGGTGAGAATCGAAAGACTTATTTGGCTGTTTTGGAAGAATGAATTGGAAGTGAATGAGTGAGGAAGGAAAACTGAAGGAAGGGAGGAAACTGTATTAGTAATTTCATTACAGTAGATCCTAATTAGGTTGGGAGTAGTGGAAGTGGGGAAAATGAAATGTGTTCAAGCCATTGCATCTGTAAGTCTTATCATCATTATTATTGTTGCAAATAATTCAAAGAACTTGATGAGAGGTTGAGTCCTGGGGTAAAAGGAAGAGAATTGATACATGACTCTAAGGCTAAATCTGCAGAATGAAGCAAATTTTGGTATTAAAATTGAGTTGGTTTAGTGACAGCCTGGATTAGAGAAAAATGAATTTCATTTTCAACAGGCCAAATTTGCAAAAATGGTGTTCTGTGGATGGATGGAAATATGAGTTTATAACCCAGGTGAAATCCCTCAAGCCTGTAAATGTTAAAAAGGAAGCCTATTCTGGACATGCTAGAGTGCATTTAGAAATGTTCTCCAAGCAGAAAAAAAGAGTTTAGCAAAGGAGGCTGAGCTTAGAAAACATCCACAGATAAAATGAGGAGAGTAACAGGAGCCACTGAAGGAAAGAGAGGAGGAGCAATCTTAACTAAAGGAACTGTGCTGCTTCTGTATGGAGGCCTGGAGCCCCAGGGCCATATGTGGTTGAGAAACTCAGGATGAGAGGAGGATGGAGGAAAGGCCACTCCAGTTACTGAGAGGGAGAGCACATGTGTTCTCAGATGGAGAGATTTTTAAGTATATTGTGGTAGGAAAACCATTTTATAAGAGATTGTGGAAATTGCAACAGGGAGTAGAGATCACGCAAGAGTGGCAAAAGGAAGACAGGAAAAAACAATAGCGATTGGAATAAATCCTGAGGTCAAGGATTTATTTAAAATGGCTTTTCAAGTTCCTGTTGATTTAAAGGCAGATGGAAAGGAGCTGATAAAGAGATAAAAAGGTTAGAGATTGAGAAATAAAAAAAAGTGCCGTAACGGGGCTTCCCAGGGTATGGGAAAGAATGACATCCAGTTTGACTTTGAAGAGGAATTAAGATTTAGATTTAGATTCTATTATACTTGGAAGGAAAATGACAAAAAGGGGATAAAACTCATTTTATGTTGTGATGATGAGAGTTACACGTTAGGAAGAATGTGTCATCCGCTGTGATCAACTTCATGAAGATTGAGGCGTTAGCTGTGCTTGTCCTCGGGTAGACTTTGCCTGCCACCTGCTCACTGGGAACTAGGCTGGGTTTGTACGTGGAGTGTAACCTGAACACTGAAGATTAACATCTGGTTTTATCTAATACAACACTGCAATAAAAAGATAATAATAGTCTCCGTTGGAACTTCATTATAATGAGGCTCTTGCAGAACAATTTCAATGATGAGACTGTCTAAATGTAAAGATCTTCAGTAAAGAAAGCTCCAGATATTCTTTTTAAGTTTAATTCAATGTTAATGAGCTATGTTTTATCATTTGAAGGTTGACAATTAGGTTCCAGTCAAGTAAAACTGATTTTCTTTACCGTCTTTTTAAATTTATGTATTGCAAAATTAATGTAAACATCTTTCCTCATGAACTTATATTACTAAATAAAATGATTTTCATTCTGCTTATAGAAATGTAAGCAGAGATAATATTAATTTACACATTGTTTATACATTCATTTTAAGAAACTTGCCCTCTGATTTATCCATGCTATAAACTGGAATATTTAATGTTAGAATCCACTGATTCTACTGCCCTTCCCTTTACCATCCTTCTCTCTTTTCCTACATTATATTCCTAGGTTATATTATCGTTATAGTCACTCAGTTGCATATATCAACACCCTGGTTCTCTCCCACCATCGAGAAATTCCTGTCCTATTTAACGCCAAGTGCTTCTCCATTTTGTGCTCTTACACTGGTAACTAAAGTAGCTGGAGAAAAATCACACATCTATTAAGTTTGAATTGGGATTTTAATGAATCAGAGTGAAAAATACACATTGGATTTAATTTTCTGTTAGATCCACTTACCAAATTTATAAATAAAACCCATTTTGGTTTCCCAAACCACTTAGAATTCTCTCTTATGCAGAGTCAATTTAAGTTTTTAATTTTAGTCAAACTAATTTTAAATAAATTTAATGAATGAGTATCCCTTTTGTTTTTAACTGTTGATGCTATTAATTCATTCAACAAATGTGTACTGAGTACCTCCCACGTGCTAGTCATGAGGGAAATAGAAATAAACAATGCAGACAAATTTCCTGCCCTTGTAGAGCTTACATCCTAGTAGGGCAGAAAGGTAAGAAATGAGTAATTAAGCACATGAATAGCTGTTAGGTGACACTAAGCCCTGTGGAGAAAAAGAAAAACTGGTCAAGAGGATAAGTTGTAATAGAGCTTGGTTAAGGAGGTGTTCTTAAAAAGTATCATTTGAGTGGAGACCTGAAGGAAGAGAAGGACCAAGCCATCTGACTGTCTGGAGGAAGTCTATCTGAGGCCAAGGGAATAAGGGGAAAACTGTTGAGGCAGGAGTGTGCTTGGCATGCCCAGAGAAAAGCCAATGTGACAAATATGGCTGGTGCTGGATGAGTGAGGGAGAAAGTGACAAGGAATAATATGAGAGCAGGGATGGATGGCAATAACATTGAAGGACTTGGAGGTGATGATGGTTTTCACTCTGAGTGAGAGGACCAGTCACTGGAAGGGTCTGAACAGAGTAGTTCCATGATCTGATTTGCATTTGAAAAGAATCACAGAGTAGACAGAAGGGTTGGGGCTGGGGGTGGGTGGGTGGCATATGTGGAAAGTAGGGAGCTAAGTTAGGAGGCTACTGCAATCATCCAGCTGGGCAATGATGACCATTTACATGAGGATAGTAGCATGAGAGTAGTGCAATGTTGTATTTCTGGTTATATTTTGAAAGTTGAGCACATATAGTTTGCTGATAGATCATATATGAGATTTAAAGAGGGGAGACAAACAATAATAACTATGAGATTTTTGTCTTGCAAAAGTATTTTCAGAGATAGAGAAGACAATGGGAAGAGCTGGATTTTTGTCGTGGAGTAAAGGAGAGGGAATCAAGAATTTAAGTTTAAGATGCTTTTTAGACACTTAGAAAAGTCATGCAGGCAGCTGGATGTTCCTGCGTCTGGAATTCAGGGGAGAGATGAAGACTGGAGACATTACATCTGGGAGACATTACTTCAGGGAATAGATGTTATTTACAGCCACGGGAACTGAATGAGGCTATCTAAAACCTGAGTACATGTAGAAAAAAGAAGTCACAAAATTGAAGTCTGAGGCTCTCCAAAGTTTAGAGGTTGAGAAGATGAAGAATAAATGGAGAGAATGAGAAAGAACAGATAGGGAAGTGGAAGGAAACTTACAGGGAATGTTGCCCCAGAAGCCAAGTGAAAAAAATAAAAACTTAGAAGGAGCAAGAGATCATCTGTGTCTTACATTGTTGAAGTTGAAGTGAATGAGGTCTACTAACTGGCCATTACCAATCCTGACAAGTGAAAGCTTGTCAGCTGGAGAGGAGGGAATGAAGGCCATATGGGAGGAGGTTCAAGGGAGAATGAGAGGAGAAAAAGATAAGGAGAGATTCCATCAAGGGGAGTAGAGAAAGGATTTGTTAGCTAGCTGGCTATGGTCTACTAGATGAAGTGTAGTCAAGAGAGGCTTTAAGTAAAGATCAGAACATTCTTGTATGTCTGCAAACTGTATACTAATCTAGTAGAGAAAATTGATTATAGATGAGGAAGAGAAGTCAAATGCTGGAGCAATGTCTCAGTAAAGAAGATGACATAGAACCAGGGAAAATGGGAAGAGGTGGAAAAGCTGGACCCTCATAAGAACAGTCCCAGGAGTGAAGCCACAGGAAGGTATGAGGATGTGGCTGTGAGAATTGTTGAAGTTCTCTTCTGATTTCTTCTGACTCATAACACCCCAGAGAGGAGGGTGAAGGAGTTGTTATAGGCAAGTGAATAATTATAAGGATGGACCACCGAATCCAAGGTGGGAAGGGAGGAGGACATGAGGGACATGAGAGACCTGAAGGGGCACCAGGATCAGTGAATTACAGTATTAAATGTATTGAAATTCTGGCATATAGCATGGTTAAGACAAAACCCAGATTATTTATTGAGTGAGTAAGCAATGTGTAAATTTAATGTAACATTTAATAATTTTACATTACTGTGTTTATATTTCTTATATCAAAGAAAAATTCTTGGCAAAAATTTTGATTGTAGAGTAATTAATGAAGGTTGTTTTAATTTTCATAAATCATTCTGATCGTATAATAAATTTTGTCTGTTTTGGAATTCATGCTCAGGATCAGACGACTGGTGGCACCACTTCAGATACCATTGGTGTCACCTCCCTTGTCCTACCCCCGCTGCAGCAGCTACGATTGAGTAGGCTCTGAATGACTTCATGCAGGTGCAATCTGACAGCACCCACTTGGTGCCCCTCTGGGTCACTCACCTTCTACACAGGTGTTGACTGTCAAGAGCAGAGCACCACATGATGAGCTTCGTGCTTGGAGTCTCTGCATATGCAACTCACAAGTGTGTAGGGAGTTAGTAGGGTGATATTTTAACCCATAGAAAGGAGGAGCTGGTGGAAAAGTTCTTCCTCCTTTTTCCTCCTCTGACAGCTTGTTCTGAGAGGTTGGATATACAGCTTCTAGGGAGCTGGAGCAATTAGTTGCACTTAGCAGTGCTCAACTTCAAACACGTTGTGGCATCTTGGTACTGGCTCCCTCTCCTTCCCTGCCTACCTGCTTCTTCCCCACTCCTGCTGTGAGGATTCTTCTTCCTGTAATATATTAGGCTGTGTGCTCTCAATGTCAGGCTCTGCTCTCTGGGAACCCAGCCTGAGAAGCAGTGTAACATGGTTATTCTCTACCACCTTCAACAAAGGAATAAAACTGTACTATTTCACCAAATCACTTATCTTGTGAATAAACATCAAGAGAACCTGAAAAATTTAGCTTGAGATTAGCAGCTATAATTTTTCTCTCCTAACATAGACTCTAATTGAGATATGATTTTAGTCACTAGCTATTGTTTATGAACTTAAATTCTACTAACATTGCATTTTGTGGCAATGTAGACACAATATACATGATTATTCTGATCTAAAAGGTGACAAAGAAGTAGTACCAAGTATAATTATGTTTATTATACATTATATAATATGTACAAATAATTATAATTTATCCTTTTCTTACTTTTGCTTAATAAAAATATTAGGCCTTCATAATTCTTTCATGGATTATTGAGTAGCTCTTATTTCATTTCCCTCCTTGTGAGTTCCTCCTTTGAAGTCCTACAAGTTGTCCTCATTGATTTTTCTAAAACACAGATTTGATCAGCTCATATTTCCCTGCTTAAAAGCCTTCAATAGTTCTTCATTACCAAAGATTAAGCCCAAATCTACAACTTGCTACTCTCTTTTTTCCATCCTCGTTCCACCCCATGTACTATGCATGTTCCATTTCTCCTGGTCCTCTCTTGAGGGCCATGTGGTTTTGGTCCTCTGACTCAGGCAGTTCAAGTGCCTCTTCTGCTGCAAAATTTTCTTCCTCTATACACAATTGGATTTTATCTCTCTCTTCTAGGGAGCTCTACTTTGTTCTTCCCCCTTTTATAAGCAGGAATCATACTGTATTACAATGATTGGCTTATGTAACCCTCTCTTCCACTAGAGAGAAAGAACAAGGTTTTGTTAGTTTTTGTATAGTCAGTCCTTAGCATAGTACCGTTATGCATTGCTAACAACAGTGAAATGTTCTAAGAAATATGTTGGTAGGTGATTTTGTTGTTGTGTGAACCTCACAGAGTGCCTTCACACAGACTTTGATGTTATAGCCTACTACACACCTAAGCTATACAGTATAGCCTATTGCTCCTAGGCTACAAATCTGTACATCATGCTATTGTACAGAATATTGTAGGTAATTGTAACACAATGTAAATTATATGTGGATCTAAACATAGAAAAGTTACAGTAAAAATACAGTATAAACTATAAAAAATGGTACACTCAAATAGGACACTTACTGTGGATGGAGCTTGTAGGACTGGAAGTTGCTCTGGGTGAGTCAGTGAGTGGTGAGTGAATGTGAGGGCCTAGGACTTTACTGTACATGACTGTAGACTTTATAAACACTTTACACTTAGGCTACGCTAAATTTATAAAAAGTATTTTTCTTCAATAATAAATTAACCTTAGCTTACTATAAGTTTTTACCTTATAAACTTTAAAACTTTTTTAGGTTTTTGACTCTTTTGTAATAACCCTTAGCTTAAAACACAAACACGATCTGCTGTGGGGGGCGGTTCCAAGATGGCCAAATAGGAACAGCTCCAGTCTACAGCTCCCAGCGTGAGCGACACAAGATGGGTGATTTCTGTATTTCCAACTGAGGTACCGGGTTCATCTCACAGGGGCTTGTCAGACAGTGGGTGCAGCACAGTGGGTGCAGCCCACAGAGCATGAGCTGAAGCAGAGCGAGGCATCACCTCACCCGGGAAGCACAAGGAATCAGGGAATTCCCTTTCTAGCCAAGGGAAGCTGTGACAGACGGCACCTGGAAAATTGGGTCACTCCCACCCTAATACTGAGCTTTTCCAATGGTCTTAGCAAACAGCACACCAGGAGATTATATCCCGCGCCTGGCTCGGAGGGTCCCACGCCCACAGAGCCTCACTCATTGCTGGCACAGCAGTCTGAGATCAAACTGCAAGGTGGCAGTGAGGCTGGGGGAGGGGCGCCCACCATTGCTGAGGCTTGAGTAGGTAAACAAAGTCACCCGGAAGCTCGAACTGGGTGGAGCCCACCGCAGCTCAAGGAGGCCTGCCTGCCTCTGTAGACTCCATCTCTGGGGGCAGAGTATAGTTGAACAAAAGGCAGCAGAAATGTCTGCAGACTTAAATGTCCCTGTCTAACAGCTTTGAAGAGAGCAGTGGTTCTCCCAGCATGGAGTTTGAGATCTGAGAATGGACAGACTGCCTCCTCAAGTGGGTCCCTGACCCTCAAGTAGCCTAACAGGGAGGCACCCCCCAGTAGAGGCAGACTGACACTCACACGGCCAGATACCCCTCTGAGACAAAGCTTCCAGAGGAATGATCAGGCAGCAACATTTGCTGTTCAGCAATATTCGCTGTTCTGCAGCCTCCACTGCTGATACCCAGGCAAACAGGGTCTGGAGTGGACCTCCAGCAAACTCCAACAGACCTGCAGCCGAGGGTCCTGACTGTTAGAAGGAAAACTAACAAACAGAAAGGACATCCACACCAAAACCCCGTCTGTACGTCACCATCATCAAAGACCGAAGGCAGATAAAACCACAAAGATGGGGAAAAAAACAGAGCAGAAAAGCTGAAAATTCTAAAAATCAAAGCGCCTCTCCCCCTCCAAAGGAATGCAGCTCCTCGCCAGCAACGGAACAAAGCTGGACGGAGAATGACTTTGACGCGTTGAGAGGAGAAGTCTTCAGATGATCAAACTTCTCCGAGCTAAAGGAAGTTTGGACCCATCACAAAGAAGCTAAAAACCTTGAAAAAAAGATTAGACGAATGGCTGACTAGAATAACCAGTATAGAGAAGTCCTTAAATGACCTGATGGAGGTGAAAAGCATGGCACGAGAACTATGTGACAAATGCACAAGCTTCAGTAGCCGATTCGATCAACTGGAAGAAAGGGTGTCAGTGATTAAGATCAAATGAATGAAATGAAGTGAGAAGAGAAGTTTAGAGAAAAAAGAGTAAAAAGAAATGAACAAAGCCTCCAAGAAATATGGGACTATGCGAAAAGACCAAATCTACATCTGATTGGTGTACCTGAAAGTGACAGGGAGAATGGAACCACGTTGGACACTCTTCAGGATATTATCCAGGAGAACTTCCCCAACCTAGCAAGGCAGGCCAACATTCAAATTCAGGAAATACAGAGAACGCCACATAGATACTTCTCGAGAAGAACAACTCCAACACACCTAATTGTCAGATTCACCAAAGTTGAAATGAAGGAAAAAATGTGAAGGGCAGCCTGAGAGACAGGTCGAGTTACCCACAAAGGGAAGCCCATCAGACTAACAGTGGATCTCTTGGCAGAAACTCTACAAGCCAGAAGAGAGTGGGGGCCAATATTCAACATTCTTAAAGAAAAGAATTTTCAACCCAGAATTTCATATTCAGCCAAACTAAGCTTCATAAGTGAAGGAGAAATAAAATCCTTTATAGACAAGCAAATGCGGAGAGATTTTGTTACCACCAGGCCTGCCCTAAAAGAGCTCCTGAAGGAAGCACTAAACATGGAAAGGAAAAAGCAGTACCAGCCGCTGCAAAAACATGCCAAATTGTAAAGACCATCGATGCTAGGAAGAAACTGCATCAACTAACGAGCAAAATAACCAGCTAACATCATAATGACAGGATCAAATTCACACATAACAATATTAACCTTAAGTGTAAATGGGCTAAATGCTCCAATTAAAAGACACAGACAGGCAAATTGCATAAAGAGTCAAGATCCATCACCGTGCTGTATTCAGGAGACCCATGTCACGTGCAGAGACACACATAGGCTCAAAATAAATGGATGGAGGAAGATCTACCAAGCAAATGGAAAGCAAAAAAAAGCAGGGGTTGCAATCCTAGTCTCTGATAAAACAGACTTTAAACCAACAAAGATCAAAAGAGACAAAGAAGGCCATTACCTAATGATAAAGGGATCAATTCAACAAGAAGAGCTAAGTATCCTAAATATATATATGCACCCAATACAGGAGCACCCAGATTCATAAAGCAAGTCCTTAGAGACCTACAAAGAGACTTAGACTCCCACACAATAATAATGGGAGACTTTAACACCCCACTGTCAACATTAGACAGATCAACGAGACAGAAAATTAACAAGGATATCCAGGAATTGAACTCAGCTCTGCACCAAGCAGACCTAATAGACACCTATAGAACTCTCCACCCCAAATCAACAGCATATACATTCTTCTCAGCACCATACCGCACCTATTCCAAAATTGACCACATAGTTGGAAGTAAAGCACTCCTCGGAAAATGTAAAAGAACAGAAATTATAACAAACTGTCTCTCAGACCACAGTGCAATCAAACTAGAACTCAGAATTAAGAAACTCACTCAAAACCGCTCAACTACGTGGAAACTGGACAACCTGCTCCTGAATGACTACTGGGTACATAACGAAATGAAGGCAGAGATAAAGATGTTCTTTGAAACCAACGAGAACAAAGACACAACATACCAGAATCTCTGGGACACATTTAAAGCAGTGTGTAGAGGGAAACTTATAGCACTAAATGCCCACAAGAGAAAGCAGGAAAGATCTAAAATTGACACCCTAACATCACAATTAAAAGAACTAGAGAAGCAAGAGCAAACATATTCAAAAGCTGGCAGAAGGCAAGAAATAACTAAGATAAGAGCAGAACTGAAGGAGATAGAGACACAAAAAACCCTTCAAAATATCAATGAATCCAGAAGCTGTTTTTTGAAATGATCAACAAAATTGATAGACCGCTAGCAAGACTAATGAAGAAGAAAAGAGAGAAGAATCAAATAGACACAATAAAAATGATAAAGGGGATATCACCACTGATCCCACAGAAATACAAACTACCATTAGAGAATACTATAAACACCTCTACGCAAATGAACTAGAAAATCTAGAAGAAATGGATAAATTCCTCGACACATACACCCTCCCAAGACTAAACCAGGAAGAAGTTGAATCCCTGAATAGATCAATAACAGGCTCTGAAATTGAGGCAATGATTAATAGCCTACCAACCAAAAAGAGTCCAGGACCAGACGGATTCACAGCCAAATTCTATCAGAGGTACAAGGAAGAGATGGTACCATTCCTTCTGAAACTATTTCAATCAATAGAAAAAGAGGGAATCCTCCCTAACTTATTTTATGAGGCCGGCATCATCGTGATACCAAAGCCTGGCAGAGATACAACAAAAAAAGAGAATTATAGACCAACATCCCTGATGAACATCATGCAAAAATCCTCAATAAAATACTGGCAAACCGAATCCAGCAGTACATCAAAAAACTTATCCACCATGATCAAGTGGGCTTCATCCCCGGGATGCAAGGCTGGTTCAACATCACAAATCAATAAACATAATCCAGCATATAAACAGAAGCAAAGACAAAAACCACATGATTATCTCAATAGACGCAGAAAAGGCCTTTGACAAAATTCAACAGCTCTTCATACTAAAAACTCTGAACAAATTAGGTACTGGTGGGACACATCACAAAACAATAAGAGCTATTTATGACAAATCCACAGCCAATATCATACTGAATGGGAAAAAACTGGAAGCATTCTCTTTGAAAACTGCCACAAGAGAGGGATGCCCTCTCTCACCACTCCTATTCAACATAGTGTTGGAAGTTCTGGCCAGGGCAATCAGGCAGGAGAAAGAAATAAAGGGTATTCAATTAGGAAAAGAGGAAGTCAAATTGTCCTTGTTTGCAGATGACATGATTGTATATCTAGAAAACCCCATTGTCTCAGCCCAAAATCTCCTTAAGCTGATAAGCAACTTCAGCAAAGTCTCAGGATGCAAAATCAATGTGCAAAAATCACAAGCATTCTTATACACCAATAACAGACAAACAGAGAGCCAAATCATAAGTTAACTCCAATTCACAATTGCTTCAAAGAGAATAAAATACCTAGGAATCCAACTTACAAGGGATGTGAAGGACCTCTTCAAGGAGAACTACAAATCACTGCTCAACGGAATAAAAGAGGACACAAACAAATGGAAGAACATTCCATGCTCATGGATAGGAAGAATCAATATCGTGAAAATGGCCATACTGCCCAAGGTTATTTATAGATTCAATGCCATCCCCATCAAGCTACCAATGACTTTCTTCACAGAATTGGAAAAAACTACTTTAAAGTTCATATGGAATCAAAAAAGAACCTGCATTGCCAAGTCAATCCTAAGCCAAAAGAACAAAGCCGGAGGCATCACACTACCTGACTTCAAACTATACTACAAGGCTACAGTAACCAAAACAGCATGGTACTGGTACCAAAACAGAGATATAGACCAATGGAACAGAACAGAGCCCTCAGAAATAATGCTGCGTATCTACAACCATCTGATCTTTGACAAACCTGACAAAAACAAGCAATGGGGAAAGGATTCCCTATTTAATAAATGGTGCTGGGAAAACTGGCTAGCCATATGTAGAAAGCTGAAACTGGATCCCTTCCTTAACCCCTATACAAAAATTAATTCAAGATGGATTAAAGACTTACATGTTAGACCTAAAACCATAAAAACCTTAGAAGAAAACCTAGGCAATACCATTCAGGACATAGGCATGGGCAAGGACTTCATGTCTAAAACACCAAAAACAATGGCAACAAAAGCCAAAATTGACAAATGGGATCTGATTAAACTAAGGAGCTTCTGCACAGCAAAAGAAACTACCATCAGAGTGAACAGGCAACCTACAGAATGGGAGAAAATTTTGCAATCTACTCATCTGACAAAGGGCTAATATCCAGAATCTACAATGAACTCAAACTAATTTACAAGAAAAAAACAAACAACCCCATCAACAAGTGGGCGAAGGATATGAACAGATACTTCTCAAAAGAAGACATTTATGCAGCCAACAGACACATGAAAAAATGCTCATCACCACTGGCCATCAGAGAAATGCAAATCAAAACCACAATGAGATACCATCTCACACTAGTTAGAATGGCGATCACTAAAAAGTCAGGAAACAACAGGCGCTGGAGAGGATGTGGAGAAATAGGAACACTTTTACACTGTTGGTGGGACTGTAAACTAGTTCAACCATTGTGGAAGTCAGTGTGGCGATTCCTCAAGGATCTAGAAGTAGAAATACCATTTAACCCAGTCATCCCATTACTGGGTGTATACCCAAAGGATTATAAATCATGCTGCTATAAAGACACATGCACATGTATGTTTATAGCAGCACTATTCACAATAGCGAAGACTTGGAACCAACCCAAATGTCCATGAATGACAGACTGGATTAAGAAAATGTGGCACATATACACCATGGAATACTATGCAGCCATGAAAGATGAGTTCATGTCCTTTGCAGGGACATGGATGAAGCTGGAAACCATCATTCTCAGCAAACTATCACAAGGACAAAAAGCCAAACACCGCATGTTCTCACTCATAGGTGGGAATTGAACAATGAGAACACTTGGACAGAGGAAGGGGAACATCACACACCAGGGCCTGTAGTGGGGTCGAGGGAGCGAGGAGGGATAGCATTAGGAGATATACCTAATGTAAATGACGAGTTAGTGGGTGCAGCACACCAACATGGCACATGTATACATATGTAACAAACCTGAATGTTGTGCCCATGTACCTTAGAACTTAAAGTATAAAAAAAAATCTACAAAAACAAACAAAAAAACGCAAACACATTGTATGGCTGTACAAAAATATTTTCCGTATATCCTTATTCTATAATTTTTTTCTATTATTGCTTTTTAAATTTTATTTTTAAATTCTCAATCTTTTTTTTAAAAACTAACACACAAACACATATATTAGCCTAGGCCATGTGAGGATGTGCCAGCTTCCCCTTCACTTTGGGGTATGATTGTAAGTTTCCTGAGACCTCCCCAGCCATAGTTCCGGTACAGCTTGCAGAACTGAGTCAATTAAACCTCTTTTCTTTATAAATTACCCAATCTCAGGTAGTTCTTTGTAGCAGTGTCAGGATGGACTAGTATGTTAGCGTTTTGATTTGCATATCCTGACTCTTGCTTGTACAGCACATTACAACAATACTCCTCTGTATTAGTGCTCTTGTCATGAAGCCATGACCATTATTCCATTATAAGTCACCATTCTACACAATTTCCTCACAGTTTATTTGTAATAGATTTTTCAAATGCCGCCTGAATAAATCCCAATGTTTCTCCTGTACCATATTATCATTTATCATTTTAAAATCTGCAAACTTAAGTTGAAATAGCTTGTGACCAACCCCAAATGATTTTGCTATCAGCTTTTGCAGAACCTGCTGGAGGCTTACCTTACCTTAATAAAGTAAACCAAGTCATTCAAAAGAATTCAGATAACTCAAAATATCTGTACCATATTATCTGCTAAAATGTAGTATTTATTTTTTGACATCTTGTACCATGTCAATGCATTTCTCTCGTGTCGTGTTGTGTTTTGCTAGTTTATGGCAGGAAGAAACATAACAGGATGTGACATGATGTAAGTGATGCAGTGACATGTATAATTTAAAGACTGCACTCCTGTTGGAAGCAGACACCTGCAATTAATTCAGTTCCTGGGAATTTGAAATGAAGCTGATGAACAAAACTGAAAATGTCCATAAACTGATGGATGAATGATCTGGTTCACCAATCCAAAGTTAGATTCCAGTATATGAGTACTTTATCATCACTGAAGATCTCAGAGCCTAACATCACCCATGTATAAAGTAGTCGACTATTATTTTCTAAATTTGGTTAGATTCATTAAAAGAGCCTGAGTAGCAAATGTTTAAGGAAAGCATTTTTATTTTTAGAATTTTAATGACTTAGTCATTTAAACTATTTAAATTTCAAAGCAGGTAATTTAATCCAAAGCTCTTTTTGCCATATTTCTCTGGATACATTATGTGAAAGATATATTTTATTTAAAACAATAGTGATTAACACATTTTTCTTTTTTCAAAATTATATTTTGAAATAAAAGCAATACAAGTTTATCATTGGAAACTTGGTAAGTACAAAAAGATATTAAAAATTTGTTGATAAACATCCTAACCAAAAATAACCACTATTAATATTTTAGAGTATTTCTTTCTAATCATTTATTTTAGATTCATATCTACCTATCTTCATTTATCTATATCCGCATCTACATATCTTTACATATAAACAACCATTTGATTATATCTCATAATTGTGTAGATCTGGGATTTTTGCAGGGCTTAATAGGTGTTTGTTGTTTTTCTCACACGGCATTTCCTGAGGTTACTTTGTGACATTCAGTTGGCAAATAGGCTGACCTGAAAGGTCTTAGCTGGCTTTTCTCACACATCTGGCATCTTGACAGGGATGACTGCATGACTTAGTCCAACTGGAGCTGTTGGGCAAGTAAATTAAATCTTTTCTCTAGGATCCTTGCCATGGGGCTGTTAGGACTTCCTCACAGCATGGAACTGAGTTCTAAGAGCAAATGTTCCAGATATACATATATTTTTAAAATATGGTTGGAATACAGCTGTATATTCAGTTTTGAATCTGGCATTTAAGTTTAAAATCATGTACACATTTTCCCATTTCACAAAATTTTTTTGGCAATTGATTTTGATAGCTGCATGATATTACATGTTATGCAACATAATTTACCTAGCCACTAACCTATTGTCACACAATTAAGTAATAATATTTTGATTATATTAATAATACGTAATAAAAATTGTGGTACATACATTTATGACTAAATTTTGTATTAGTTCCTTAATATGTAGTCTAAGAAGCAAAATTAACTAAAGATATGAAAAATTATAAGGATTGTGATAGAGTCAAATTGCTTTTCAGAAATTTACACTGTCATTATTACTGAGTACTTGTCTCACTATACATTCATCAACTTTTAAATTTTTAAGTCTTTATACATTTGATTGTTATAAAAATCTTATTGATGTTATTTGTATTTATGTGATCACTAATAAGGCTGACATTTTTTCCATGTTTACTATTAATTTCTGTTACTTTCATATATTTGTTTATTCATTATTGAGACACTATTTTTAAAACCACTTTATCTGAATTCTTTATGTATTAAACAACTATTTTAAAGACATAAGTTGTGACAAAATATGTCTAACTAATTTTGAACAGAAATTCAAACTGACATGATTCATATAGTTAAGTATTTCCTTACATGACATAAATTTCAATTAGTTTTAAAATACTTTTGAAATAATTTTGATATTTTTTATTATTGGCATAATTTTACCTGCTACTCCTGATTAATCTGAGCTATACAGAAAGATAAAAATTAAGGTCATTATGCAATTTTAAAATTCTTTCTCTCTAAAAAAGATACAAGATATACTCTGAAATCAGAATAAAAATTTGATTACTTTGACTTTCTTAAAATAGCAAATAATTTTTAAAAATGTTTCATATTCTAGAAGTTATATTAACTGTGTATTGCCCATTTATTATAGAGTAAAAAGTCATTTCTGATCTATACTTTTCTAAAATAGTATCAGATCGAATATTACTTCATATATTGTTATATACATAGTTTTTTAAGAGAGAAGAATGACAATATGATCTACCCAAAAATATTTTACTGCCTAATTTAAAAAGCTGTTTGAGTTGTTTAAAGGGCATGATTTCCCTCCCTCCTTCTTTTGTGTTCATTTCAGGACATTATAATACAGATTATAAAAGCAGTGGAAAGTAAAATGGCTGATATACAGATAAATGTAATTACCTAATAGATGTGTACTTGGAATGTGAAGGACTATGAAACTTATTGTGGAAATTCACTGCACAGTTTCAGTAGCAATATCACAAACTGCCTTGGAAAAAACCAAAAAGAATGCAGGAAATCTCAACAAAAATATGTATTCTTTTTTTTTTTGCTGTGAAATGAAAGCATTTCATCATGATGTCCTGCCAAGATTTGTCCTCAATAAATTCAAAGTCTTGTTTGCTTTCCAAAATTCTGTGAAGTGCATTGCTATTGATTCTGAAACACATATTTTCTCAAATAATTCTTACTTGGAGCCAGATTGTTTGATGTCTGCTAACTTGCCTATTAGTCATTTTCCCATATCCTTCCTTTCTGTCATTGCTTTGCTATGCAAGTGTTCCTCTAAACCAGCTTGACCACTTATATTAGCCTTTTGGTGGTTAAGATTGTAAGTTTAGGTAACACATGAATAAAGCCTGAACTTATATTTTTTTCTTTCTTTCTTTTTCTTTGTAAAAAATAGATATTTGGCAATCTTGAAAGAAATGCTTGCTGTAAAGTTATACTACTAGCTACATAATGTGATGCCATATTAAACTGTAATCACCTTTCCACCAAACTAATAAAGACAACATGCTAATTTTTGTATTAAGACACAGTGCAATAACACACAATTGAATGATGCTATTTCATCCCCTTTCTTCTTGAGACTTGTGAAACAGCCTCCTTTATTGCTGATGGGTTTCTAATAATGGTATCCATGTGGCTTTGGAACAACAGTAGCATGTTAATTTATTCCCCAGTGTTACCTAGAGGCCCTGACATGGGTCCAGGACTGGTGACACCCTAATTTAAGTCCTGGGTAGGACCAGGCAGATCAGGTGGCTCAGAGCTAGCACAATAGACTGTGAGGGGAAGCCGCACTCCCTGATCAGGGCAGATCAGGAGGATTCCAAGTGTAATTGGCCTCCAGGGAGTATGTAAGTCACTCTTGTACACCCCCTCAGACCTCCTTAATGCCTTGCCAGCTGGAAGGAAAAGAGCCTCTTGCATTGCCCACAAAGGAAGCAGAGATTGAGGGGAGAAGAACTGGAGAAATTAAAAAAGTGGAAAGAGACAGCAACACAAATAAAGAGGTGGGTAATAATATTGTACATCTAAAAGCCTGGGGAGTGTGTCATAAACAAATGGGCTGCAATGGTCAGTAGGCAATTATATCCTGTTGCCTCATTTAAAATGCTGACTAATTACATAGAGCAAGAGGAAATTAGCACAGGAACCTTATTCTTTGCCAAGTCCACATCAAAATGCTGTAAATGAAAAACATGAAATCAATCTTCCATGGCTTTAAAGAACTCATAGTTCTTGAAGTTTAAACATCTGCACAAAGTCCTCCAAAGTATAAGACAACTTAATGGATATTCAAATCTCAGAAATTAGACTTGTAAAAAAGCTCTCAGAACCCCTAAGGCTCTCACCTTTTTGTGATCTGAACAGTCAGTTTAACATTTTTTTTCTTTAATCTGATATTATTGTTTAAATCCCTAAGTCTCATTCTATTTGCTTTATGTCAGATAATAATTTGCTTATGTGGATAAGTATCTTCTTGGAAAGAATTGTCTCCTGAAATTTCTCTTGGGATTATGTTTGGCATGTTCCAGGATTCAACTGAGTTCTTGAAGTTCCCATTCAAAGAGGTGCTGGGAAATAGCAGAGCTGCATTTTGTTTTTTAAACAACTTTTTCTGAATATAGAATTTTTGAAAATTGAATCACTTTCTTCTATTGATATATAGCTTAAAGATTTGTCACCACTAAAAAGAAAATCAGTTCCCAAAATAACTTAAAGACGTGTAAATAGGCATACAACTAAAAAATCTTTAGTAAATGTACCAAACCTTTGTTAAAATACTCTAAAATATGTGTAAGCATGAAATAGTGGAGACAGTCAGGAAGCCAAACCTACAGTGTGATCTTTAGCAGTGAGGTGGCCTGGGAATCAGGCTTTGCCAGTCTTTGATGGTGGTCATCAATGCTTTGCAAAAGGATGCTTAAAAATTCTGCTATGCCTGTGTAGCAGAGGTTTTTGAGGGTTCGGCTCCAGGGTTCCATCCTGGTCTCAAACACAGAGTGCCACTGCTTTTTCAATGTGGAGTTTTTAAGCAAGATTTCTTTTTGGAGGAAATGAAATATTTCATAATCCTGTTGGTTTAAAAATATTTTTAAAGTGCTGAATAATATTTCATTGTCTGGATGGACCACAGTTTATTTATCCATTCACCTACTGAAGAATATCTTGGTTGCTTCCAAGTTCTGGCAGTTATGAATAAAGCTGCTGTAAACATCTGTGTGCAGGTTTTTACGCAGATGTAAGTTTTCAACTCTTTGAATAAATACCAAGGAGTGCAACTGGCTACATCATATGGTAATACAATGTTTAGTTTTGTAAAAACCTCCAAACTGTCTTCCAAAGTGGCTGTGCCAGAGTGTATTGAGGTGTTTGTGTACATCAGACAATGCACTGTTACTCAGTGCTAAAATGAAATAAGCTTTCAAGCCATAAAAAGGACGGAAGAACCTTAAATGCATATGATTAAGTGAAAGAAGGCAATATGAAAACGCTACATACTGCATGATTCCCAATCTATAACATTCTGGAAAAGGCAAAACTCTGGAGACAGTAAGAAGATCAGTCCCCACTGCCGGGGGTTGTCGGGAGGGAGGGATGAATACATGGAGTACAGAGGATTGTTAGGGTGGTGAAAATACTCTGATGTTATAATGATGGAACCACGTCATTAAACAACTGTCCAAACCTGTAGAATGTACAACAGCAAGAGTGAACCCTAATGTAAATGATAGACTTTGGGAGGTAATGATACGTCAATATAGGCTCATCTATTGTAACAAATATACTCTTTGGGATTGATAGAAAGGTGGGGGATATTGATAATGGGGGTGTCTGTGCAGCATTGTGGCAGGGAGTATATGGGAAATCTCTCCTCTCAATTTTGCTGTGCACCAAAAAATAAAGTCTATAAAAATTTTTAAAAGGCTGTACTAGATGCCCTCTTGGGACCTAGTGGGCTCAAATAGTCTATGATTCTGTGTCAAATATTCTCATGAAAAGCCCACCATGAGGTACAGCAGTATATCTAAAATAAAAATTATCAGTGAGCAAACAAGGGATCTTACCATTTGTGAAGATTAAAAATTAAATTTTTTTCCAGTGATCAAAAAAAAGTCTTTTTAGGAAATGAATTTAAATAACCCTTCTGAATGGTTGTCGTATAGCTATATTTCACTTGCTGTTTTAACAGGGTGGCGTGTTGTTGGCAGGGCAGAAGGAAGATATTCTTTGACATGTCCCCTCCTTCAGGTGCAGGGCTCCTTCTGTCTCATTCTGGCAGAGGCAATGTTGCCACAGATTCATTTGCTATCATGGTGGTAAAAAATAGAGGAAAAAAAATAAGAAGACAGTATGAAATTAAGACAACTAAAAAGTATAATGAGGTTAATATTTTTGCAAGTATTGCTGATGTATTTAGCAAGTTGCTTAGTAACTTTTTATTCATAGAACCAATAGCATTTATAGTTTCAGGCAGAGTCCCTTGGCATAGAAGGCCATTGCTTAGCTTGGAGTAGCAACCTCAATTCTTAAGTTTAGGGTTTTCTAATTTCATGAGCTTCCCTCTACATGCCAGCTCCATTGTAGAGATATATAGAATGTGATGTAAGAAAAGTTCCCGGGGGCTGGGCACGGTGGCTCCCGCCTGTAATCCCAGCACTTTGGGAGGCAGAGGCGGGTGGATCACAAGGTCAGGAGTTCAAGACCAGCATGACCAACATGGTGAAACCACGTCTCTACTAAAAAATACAAAAATTAGCCAGGCATGGTGGCATGCACCTGTAATCCCAGCTACTCAGAAGGCTGAGGCCAGAGAATTGCTTGAACCTGGGAGGCAGAGGTTGCAGTGAGCTGAGATCGTGCCATTGCACTCCAGCCTGGGCAACAGAGCAAGACTCTTCTCAAAAAAAAAAAAAAAAAAAGAACACTTCCCATTAGGAGGAAACATAAAGCCTTCTGATGGGGAAGGAGTGTCATTCAAAGAGAGAAGTAAATGTAAGGATAGAGACATTCATGTCCAGGCTCATCTCTCTGGCTTCGAACCCTTGCTGGCAGTGGGAGGGGTAGTAAAACTAAGGGGAATGGGTGGAGAAGGAAGGCTCGGTAGAGGGATGCTATGCATATTTGCTATATAGAATTCTGGGAGGAAACTTTGTCATGGCAAATCCTCCTAACAAGAAGTGTTTGCAGCAGAGCTGGAAGGGCAGAATGGCTTGTTCAGGCAGACACAAGCCTGAGACATGACCTCAGATCCCCACAGTCTGCTGAGGCTGTCAGCTGGCCCGCTACCAGCACAGTCACTGGGGTGACGGTCAAAGTGGCCTGCCACAGAGTCCTGCAACAGGGAAGATGCCCACGTTGAGGATCAAATGAAAGCCACATCTGGAGCAAAGGCAATCTTATAGCCCAAGACAGCCAAGATGTTTTTGTGGCTTTGTCATATGAAGAAGAGGGTGAGCTCACTGAGGAGCTATCACTGTGCTAAGTAAAGAAACCACTAATTTCATCAGCTATGATCAACAATGGAGTCCATGAAGACGGACATGGCTACCCAGAAATGAGCAGGGTTGGATCTTTTCCACTCACATGGGCTGTATCAATTCCTCATGCACTCAGCTGCCATGCTAAGCATGAGTAGGAAGACAAGGTTGCCTGAGACTGTCCTTGTTTTTAGTTCTGTCCCAGTTTTTCCAGTCTGCATCCTGGAAAAGACCTCGGTACCAAGCAATCTGAGACAATTGGTCACCCTACTTTCAAAGTCAGAAAGGCAAGATTCATAGCAAAATGCTTCAACTTACAGCATAGTGCCAAGAAGTAGGACTGCTAACATCATGCAGAGGCCAGAGGGTAATGCCCACCCAGTAACTAAAGGCCTATGTCATCACAGTGGTTTGCCCATTACAAAGGTCATGTGATTTTTTTTGAGTGCTCCACATAAGTTAAATGAGAGGTGTTTTGTCCCGGTGTTATAAAATGTTTTTAGATCTGGGTTATTGTCCCTTGTGGTAATTGAGACTAGAATGGGAAGTAGTCATTCCTCTGTTTTCAAATAGATTGCACTCTTCCTTTTAACTCAGATCGAAGGGGTCCGTGATTTAAGGTTAATAGTTTTAAGTTAAATATCTATTTCTTTGAAAGGCAGAAGAAAATATTGTGGGCTTCTCTAATGGCATTGAACATTTCCTGCCACATTTCCTGTTTTATAGATCATCATGGCAGACATTGGTGGTTAAGCAAGTCAGGTCTGGGGTCTGGCTTCAGATTCCCTGGGTTCAAATCTCCTCTCTCTACCTTCACCGGCCAGACCTTATGGCTCTTACTTAAACTCATGCTGACTTGGTTTTCTCATATATAAAATGGGGATGATGTTAGTAAAGGTAATATTATTTATCTTGAAGTTTTTTTGTTAGGATTATATGAGTTAATGAGTAAGCACTCTTTCAGTGTTTCTGGCACATTAAAAACCCTCAATAAATGTGTTTCTGTTCTGTTTTTTTTTTTTTTTTTTTTTTTTTTTTTTTTTTTGAGACGGAATCTTGCTCTGTCACCCAGGCTGGAGTGCAGTGGTGCGATCCTGGCTCACTGTAACCTCCGCCTCCCGCGTTCAAGCAATTCTCTGCCTCAGCCTCCCAAGTAGCTGGGATTACAGGTGCCAGCCACCATGCCTGGCTAATTCTTGTATTTTTAGTAGAGACAGGGTTTCACCATCTTGGCCAGGCTGGTCTTGAACTCCTGACCTCGTGATTCACCCACCTCGACCTCCCAAAGTGCTGGGGTTTCTGTTCTTTTAAATTAATGTATGACTCCTCCACTAGGTTTAAGCTCTTTGATCACAGGATCACTGTATACTTTTGCCCACCTGTTCATCTCCAGTATCTGGGATAGAGTAAGCATTAAATACTTGCTGCTATTATTAGAACTAATTTAAAAAATATCTAAAGTCTTCATACCATAATTTTTTTCTGTCTGGATTTCTCTCTTTCTTACAACTTATCCTTCTTAGACTTACAAGAAAAATGTAAAGAAAAAACCTTGGAAATTCATTGGGGGTAAGTATTTGAGAATTATTATGAAGATATAGGCATATTGGCAATCCCAAACTTACTGTCTTCTAAAACGTCTGAGACAGACAGAATAGAGTGAAACACCAATCTGGGAATCTGAAAATCTGTCTTCAGATTATTTCCCTGCCAAAAAACTTTTCCATGGTGTTCTCTTTAAAATCTTTAAAATTAAAGGGTTGGACTAGATGAGGTCTGAGGTCATGTCCAGTTCTAGACTTTAGCAATTCCAGTAGAGAATAAAACAAGACAGCATACCATTAAGTACCCAATTGTGTACTGAACAACATGATAATGCTTTTTAAAAACATCGTTTCTTTCTCTAAAAAAAAAAATCCTTCAAGTGCTAATGTTTTTCTTCTGAAAACCTGCTTTCTTTGCGCTGGACTACTCTGATTCAGATGGAAAAAGCTAACACACCTGGGTAGATGACTCCCCAGCAGCGGAGAGCATCTGACAGCAGAGACACAACTGACATTATTGCACACCATGTGTCAATGAGAGAATGAGTATGGCTCCTACCTAGAAGGTTCATGAGCTGAAGGAGGCTGGCAAATTACTCCATAATTACAGCTGTCTTCGCAGCAAGGCAGAAAACAACAAGAAGCATCGCCTCCACATCTTGAGATAGCTGAACATCGCACCACCTTTCAAATTGCTTTTTTCCTCTTGTCCTTCTGTTTGTACTTTTTCTTTCTGTAAGACAAATTGCTCTAGTCCTCTTGCTGTGAAAGCATGTAGTGAGTTGCCCAGCTCTAAGTCCGACGGCATAGGATACTCTCCAACTTGAATTTGCTAAACGTAGGTAGGAGATCATTTGATTTCTCTTGAGTTCCTCAGTTAGGAGGAGTCTCATAAAAATCCTTCACAGGCTCTAAATTATCACTTAGAATTACTTTCCTTCCTGTGATGGTACCAGAGTGATTGACTCTTCCAAGTATCACTGCTAATATCAGGCAAGTCTGAGAAGGAAGACAAATATTCTAGTCCAGAAATCTCACTCTATTAGGAGAGGCAAGATCTCCATTTGCTTTTCTCTCTAACACTTTGTTTGTTCTGGCACTACTTTCTCTCTCATCATCCACAATCCTTTTGGAATAAAAATGCATGCATAGAAGTGTAGAGTTTGCTTCTAGTTGAAATTCCCCTTGTTACTTAAATACTCAAGGGATTTGTTTGGTGATTGTTGTTTACGCATGGCTATTTCTGGTAAGGAGACTGCACAAGTACCTCTATGTAGAGCTATGGAAAAGGGTACAGCAGTAGTATCCAATAATACTAGTCATGACTAGTCTAGTCATTGGTAGTGTCTAGGCTTCCTTCCTGCTAAAAGTAGGGAGGAGTAGGAGAAAAGCTTCCATTGGATGGGAGATACTTTGTGCACAATTTTGTTTGTCCGAGAATTGATGGCAAACAGGAGTTGGTTTAGACCAAAAGGCAAGGCTCCCATATTCTTTTCAGTGGCATCCTCTGTCAATCTTATTTCCTGGCCTTCCAAGCATCTAGGTGGGAAGTGACATGCTTTGAAATTACAGATTCTTAGAGTAGCAGACTAGTTAGAGGTGTCCTGCCTGAGGATGTAGCCTTTCACAAGGCTGGTCCCCACCAGGTCCTTTTCTCCTTTTCCTGTTGCCTAATCCAAGCTCCCTGTTGAGCACACCTCTGTTCAGTTGTCTCAAGACTATGTATATACCCAGAGCTCTTTCTCATTGGAGCTAATTGGAGCTGTCTCTGATGCTACTTCTAATCCTGTATGTTGATTATGCTGTTTCCTACTCCTCAGTAGGGTGGGCAAGTGGGCATGTGTGGTTTAAGACTCTCTTAGGGTTTTGTGGGAGGGAAGCCAAGCATAATTTTGTTGCATGGTGAGGGGCAAAGGGAGCCCCTGAAGTTAGAGAGTGAAATCTAGAAAGAACCCTTTCTTATTCTTTTCTTATTGTTTGTGTTCTGTGTTTGGGTGTTTACTTGTTTGTCAACTGCCTGTCTCTCAGGAGCTTAAGCTTTGTGACAGCAGAGACTATTGGTTCCACTCATTCTGTGTTATCTAGACTAATTCAGTGCCTAACACATACATGATGCTTGATAAATATCTATTAAATGGAAAAAAAGGTAGAAATCCCTTTTAAATTATGGGTCAGAGTGTAGATATGTATGCCCATGTGTGTCATGCACGTGCATGAGAGATAAGAGAGAGAGAGAGATTTGGGAAAACTGTTTACTTCAGAGCTTCTCAAACTTTTTTTTGCTCACCGTGTTCTTAGTGTTTAAATTTTTTTCTCACAGCATTCCTAGGCCAAAATAAATAAGTAACAGTTCAATTAAGTGGTTGGGTCCAAAAACACTTGAGTGTTTATGTCCTAACAACTTATTGGCCATTTAAAAAATTACACATCAATTGAAAAAATATATTTTTGTTTGACTCTTATCTAGTATGACATACAAATGGGGTGTGTGTGCTTATTGGGCTTCATGCAGCTTCTCAAACTTTGAAATCAGATGAGACGTTGCAAGCCTTAGATCCTGTTTCACATTCTACATTGATTTTCATGTGGTGCCTGCTCATAGTAACTGCTGAGAACCTAGTTTTGCATAGGCATGATGTCACCAAAAGGAATCTAGGAATCAGTAATGACACTGTGAATAACTCAAAGCTGGTAGTTTATGGAGTATTTGACAGATATTCAATATCTCTGTGTTTCCCTCTGAAATTCAAAAATATCTTATCATGAATTCATTGTGGCATGCTGAGGTGCTTTGGTGCAAAGTTTGAGAACTGTATGGTTACATTCATGTTGATTTCAAATACTGGAAGAATCACGGGAAAAGATATTTTATGATAATAAACAGTAATACAACTTTTAATCGTATTGTGAATTACTTTCCATTTATGGCTAATTATCACTCAATAGCAGTCATCATTACATGTGTCTTAGGTTAATTTTGCTAAGTTGAATTTGATTAAGAGTCAGCTCCTTACTTTCAAAGCCTATGACTCTAAAGCAGTGAGACTAATTTCTCAGATAATACATGTGAATTGGTTTCCTCACTTTACATCCTGCAGGTTTAACCTTTACACTTTGTGACCTATGGAACATGGTTGTCTGCTTACAACTTAAAAAAGGGAATGGGGGGAGAGTACTGCTGATTTTGCTCACACTCTCAGCATTAGAGGGCTTATAGCATCTGCAACACATCACAGCACTTGTGTCAACCTACAAATTATCTGTTAGAACTGGAGGAATTTACTTAAAAGGCTTCCAGTGAAATCCTATGACAAATAGGTACAATCTAACCTCACCTTTCTCACTATATGCTTTATTCTTGGCATTTATAAATGTTCATTACTGTTGTGCATTCTTGAGTAAATTTGGATTTTGGAAGAGAATTTATAATGCTTATCATTCCTTCTATAGAACCCAGCTAACCACTGCTCTTTCTTAGCCGAAATGTGAGATCTCAGAGGGTTAAGTGAGTTTCCCCCACACAAAAAGTCAACATCAAGTATTTGTTTAAATGTGGACTTCTTGACAAACACATCTCTCCATTTGCAAGGCCCATGAATTTAAAGCATCCAGTAATAACAGTCCTGTTCTTCTTTTCTGAGCTGGAAGCTCCTCGTGAAATGGTATCCTGCCAAAGTGCCACTGCAATAAACTCGCATCCTAACATTGGTGTCAAAGTGCCAGTGAACCAAGACTGGCAGCGGACTAATTTGGGAGAATTGTCTGCCTTAGCCTTCTTCACTCACTCCTACTGATCAACTCACCCCCATAAGCTATTCAGCTTGTCAGTTGTTCCATGGGTAGAGGGAGGAGGGGATGAAAAGGAATTAGGATATGCTTCTCCCTTTCACTTAATACCTAGCATCCTCTGCAACACTGGTACGTCCTTTAAGAATGCCGGGAGCTCTCTTTCTCCATTAGAGGAATGACTTCATAAGACTCTAGAGGTAAGAAATACACCCCTAGCTAAAGGTGGCATTATTTATAATATGCAAGGTTTTGACAATATGTAACACTTTTACAGACATTCTGAAATAAATTGAATACTTAGCTACAAGCCTGTCTGCACTAATAGATGTCTTGCCTGATTAGTTAATTATCTGTTTCCTTCTATTAAAAATGATCAATTAAGTGAACGGAAGGAAGCAGCTGCATTGCTAGGGACAGTAAGGTGGGTGAGAACCCTTCTGCAAAGTTGGTTTGGAGTAAAGAGCTACAAAAATGCAATCTGTGAGCTACTAATGCCTACTTTTTGATAAACTAAGCCCTGGCTCTCCATGGCCACACTTGAAGCCACAAATGCAGATTTGACCTTTTTCTCTCAATTCATTACGTATGTATAAAAGGGATTAACAAAAATTCTGTCTTCAGTGACATGAGCCTCCTATGGGATAATATGCAGAAAGCTCCTAGCACACAGCAAGCATACAATAATTTATTTTTTCTCTTTCTCCTCTTCCTTATGATTATTGACTTAACTACCTGAAATTGGTACACCATGATGAAACTTTGCATTAATGCAAAATGACCCCAAATGTTTGATCTGTAGTTGAATATCACATGAGAAGAAAAATATTTAACTATAGAAGTCCTACCTAGCATGAAGAAATTAGGCAAAATGAATATGGGCCTCAGAGGTCCTGACTTCTTATTTGTAAGAACAACTTACCCTAAGGCAGTGATTCTCACTCACTGTGTAGCTTGTGAACTGCTCACAATGCTTAACAAGTGTATGTATATTTCAGAGGGAGGGAGGGGAGAAGGGGGAGAGAGAGAGAGAGAGAGAGAAAGGAAAGTTTTCATTGGTTGTAAAGAGCAAGCTCATTTTTTTCCTTCTTCATTTGTTTTCTTATACCCAGAAAATTTTCTGCTCATGACTCCTTTCTGAAAGGTATCTTCTGTGCAACATGCATATTATGGGTATAATTTTTTCTCCTTTTAATGCAGTTGTTTTATAGTGAGGGGCCAAAGAGTTATTTTAATCTCACAGAGGCCAGGTTTTTTTGATTATATTTTTTAACCTTAGTTTTTTAGTTCACACTGTCAGGCTTATAGGCCATCTTCTTCAAGACACTTCACTTTCATTTTCAATCAATTTCTCTCCACGACTTTTCACATAGCTTTCTTCACACTACTAATTTCACTTTAGAACTGGCATCCTATCCCACATCCCCGGACTTGCCGTGCTAACATGTTTAAACATGATTAGTCTTTATTAATGTAAAAGAGACAAAGCTTCAAGAATCACACACCTCTTAATTTGCTATAGTTCCAGAGGGGGACCTCAACGCTGGAAACTGAAAATGAATGGACTCCTTGAGAGGCAGATATACTGGGTGTTCTGCTAAGTGGAAAGTTTTGCATTACGGTTGCAGACAGGATTTTCTTTAAGTTGCATTCCAGCTAAAATCCCTGCTATATCGAATACCACAAAATATCCAAATAATTAAAAAACATTTCCTGGTCACAAATGATGATTAATATACTTTCAGCAAGTTTGTTACACATTTAGTTCAGAAAATGAAGGGATTTTGACATCATTATGGTGGTGTTTGACCTCCATTATGATCTTGAGAATAATACGATAATACTTTCTTAATGCAGTATTCATTTTGTTATTCAACAAATACGAGCTAAGAATTGTTGTAAGCACTCAAGAAAGGGTGGAGTAT
Organism: Homo sapiens; assembly: GCF_000001405.40. Classification (NCBI taxonomy): domain Eukaryota; kingdom Metazoa; phylum Chordata; class Mammalia; order Primates; family Hominidae; genus Homo; species Homo sapiens. The sequence continues at coordinate 93,151,634 of NC_000005.10, read as the reverse complement.
TATGACGCTACCCACAAAGGACACAGAGTTTAGATGAACACTTCGTCTATTTAATACTTTCTTGAAATTTCTGTCTAAAATTTCAAAAGATTATATATTTTATAAAACATATCCATAAATATACCTGTTACTTGATGTAAGTCTCCTATTTTGGGAGAATTTGATATGGGTTACACATATACAATAAGATGTTAACATAAGGCTAAAATATTAAGGGCCATATGTAGGAACAGAGGAGATCATTAGATCTGAAATCTAAGCTAGGGATATTTTCTACAGTTGCACATTAAATTTAGTTCCTGTGGGGGTCACAAAGGCCAATAAAGAAATTCCATGAGTCATGTAGTATTCATTTTCTAATAAAAGGATATATACCAGTTGGTAAGAAGAAAATGTTCCTGGAAATAAACAAGAACCTAACCATGAATTACTAAAATAAAAGAAAATATTGAAAGTATTTTTATAGTGAGGGGCCAAAGAATTATTTTAACCTCACAGAGGCCAGCTTTTTCTGATTATATTTTTTAGCCTTATTTTTTTTGTTCACACTGTCAGGCTTATAGGCCATCTTCTTCAAGACACTTCACTTTCATTTTCAATCAATTTCTCTTTAATAGTGGCCTTTAAAGAAGATATGGAAAATGTATTCATACTGTCATTTCTTATGCTGACCCTTAGTAAAAATCAAGAGAATAATGCTGTATTACAGTCATGTCAATGTGTTTCCATAGGGAATAGAATGAAAGAGTCACCAGGTCCCCTGGAGCTTGGTGTTTTGTTGCAGCTAGAGGTGACTGTGTGTGCTGTCTATGCTTTGACTGGGGATGCATCAGAACACCAGCATTTCTCAGATGAACCAATCTAGACAGCCCATTGCCAGGCTCCTGCTGACAATGTTGATACCAATGCCACTGCTCTGCAGGCCTATGGACACTGGGCTGTTCCTGAGCAGTGTACGGGTACTTCACCTTTCCAACCTGCGTCGTCTCCACTGCCCAAGCAGCTGTCTCAGTCTACTCTGCAGCTATTTGGACCATCCTTATTTTCACCAGAAATGCTCCTGGACTTGTTCACCTGCTGCTGTGGCTCATGTTGGGGCACCACAAGATGACCTGGGGGCCTAAATAAGTGACTTGGGGACACCATAAGGTGGCTTGGAGAATTTCTTTTTATCAACTGCTTGGGAAGTATTTCAAAACTTAAACAACCAGAATGGTTATGTCAGTATATATCCCAGGTCCCCTGATAAGAATGTCATCTTTTTTTCCCACTAGACTCAATTAGTACTGTGTAGTCTCCTTTCCTGTGGACATTTATCATATATGTTTCTTATCTTATCTACAAGACTATAAAGTCCATGAGGGCAGTGTCTGAATCTGATTTGATTTCTATGCCCGAAAACACTTAGTACAGTTCTTCATACTTATTGAATACCTGTTGAATGAATAAATGAATGTGAGGCAGTTATTCAAATCCCCTGGGTCTAGGCACATTGGTGAAAACAGGTAAGCTGTCTTGTGATTTTTCAATCTCTATCATTTAGTTAGTTAGATTGTTAAATTAGTTAGCTGATTGTTAGTTGGTTTGAACACTTAAAAAAGTCCATCCTCGTCATAGGGGATGATATCTACATTTAATCATAAAGATGAGGTTTTTAAAAATAAAAACCTGCAGAAAGATAGATGTAATTAGACCCTAATCCCTGAAGTATTATATTTTCTCTTTTAGGTTGAGTACCAGTAGAAACCTCATATTTACCTGGAAGATTACTTTTAGGAAGCTTGAAGAATTCTCTCTTCCAACTTGGTTGTAAGTAGGATCACCATGTAATTTATTGTCTAAACTGGGACACTTTTTAAAAATTATTATTATACTTTAAGTTTTAGGGTACATGTGCACAATGTGCAGGTTAGTTACATATGTATACATGTGCCATGCTGGTGTGCTGCACCCAATAACTCGTCATTTAGCATTAGGTATATCTCCTCATGCTATCCCTACCCCCTCCCCCCACCCCACAACAGTCCCCAGAGTGTGATGTTCCCCTTCCTGTGTCCATGTGTTCTCACTGTTCAATTCCCACCTATGAGTGAGAACATGTGGTGTTTGGTTTTTTGTTCTTGCCATAGTTTACTGAGAATGATGATTTCCAATTTCATCCATGTCCCTACAAAGGACATGAACTCATCATTTTTTATGGCTGCATAGTATTCCATGGTGTATATGTGCCACATTTTCTTAATCCAATCTATCATTTTTGGACATTTGGGTTGGTTCCAAGTCTTTGCTATTGTGAATAGTGCCGCAGTAAACATACGTGTGTATGTGTCTTTATAGCAGCATGATTTATAATCCTTTGGGTATATACCCAGTAATGGGATGGCTGGGTCAAATGGTATTTCTAGTTCTAGATCCCTGAGGAATCGCCACACTGACTTCCACAATGGTTGAACTAGTTTACAGTCCCACCAACAGTGTAAAAGTGTTCCTATTTCTCCACATCCTCTCCAGCACCGGTTGTTTCCTGACTTTTTAATGATTGCCATTCTAACTGGTGTGAGATGGTATCTCATTGTGGTTTTGATTTGCATTTCTCTGATGGCCAGTGATGATGAGCATTTTTTCATGTGTTTTTTGGCTGCATAAATGTCTTCTTTTGAGAAGTGTCTGTTCATATCCTTCACCCACTTTTTGATGGGGTTGTTTGTTTTTTTCTTGTAAATTTGTTTGAGTTCATTGTAGATTCTGGATATTAGCCCTTTGTCAGATGAGTAGGTTGTGAAAATTTTCTCCCATTTTGTAGGTTGCCTGTTCACTCTGATGGTAGTTTCTTTTGCTGTGCAGAAGCTCTTTAGTTTAATTAGATCCCATTTGTCAATTTTGTCTTTTGTTGCCATTGCTTTTGGTGTTTTAGACATGAAGTCCTTGCCCGTGCCTATGTCCTGAATGGTAATGCCTAGGTTTTCTTCTAGGGTTTTTATGGTTTGAGGTCTAACGTTTAAGTCTTTAATCCATCTTGAATTAATTTTTGTATAAGGTGTAAGGAAGGGATCCAGTTTCAGCTTTCTATATATGGCTAGCCATAAACTGGGACACTTTTGAAGGTGAGAAATGGCACTTTTAATAATTATGCCTGACCACAGGCACTAGCCGAGACTGTCCCTGTGCAAACAAGAAAGTATGGTCACCTAGCTAAACGTTTATTTTTAATTTTTGAATGACTGGTTTTCGGTGTGACAATGTCTTCCATCTCCTTCAGTGGCCATAAAAGAGGCCAGAAATGACACAATTTGGACATTTTACACTTCCCCAAATTGCCTTTTTAATGTATGCAACAGATCAGGGTCTTTCCTGTATCCTTCATTCCACCTCAGAACACAATCTCAATTCCTAGGCGTAGAAGGGAATAAAATAAAAATGGCATTCTTTTTTATTCTAGAATACAGAAGATAAAAACTTACACAGATGCACCTCAAGCCAAGCAGCAGGTGAAATTCTTAGAGAAAACTGATTTTCAGGAGATGACTGGAATTTTAAATTGTAAGCTTTAAAATTTGGTAAGATTCTAATGAAAAGGATGGACTCAATTTTGGCAGGAACACCTATCATCACTTTTTCTTTCACTGGAAGGGATATTTGATCTTGACTTAGAGGAACATAGAAGTAGGCATAATGCTTGACATGAAATAAAATAGAAGCCTAAATCCATGGGGAGGCAATTCTAGCTGAGTGATCAGTCATTCGCTTACAGTATGAAGCGCCTAGATTTATCACAGTAATATTCTTATTTGCTTTCTGTAGACCATGCAGGGCTCATTATATTTATGCTGATGGCCTTGTCATCACTGCTGATGATCAAAATTCTCTTTGTTGGACTTATGTGACTCAGTAACCTTCAATAATTGAGGATGGAACATGATATTAAGGGCTAAGGGGAAAGTAAGTGTTTACAGTGAGATCTTCTCTCCCCTAATAAGAGACCAAAAGTTTGTCAGAAATGATCAGCAGGTTTTCTTGTAACATTAAAAGGAGTAGAAATAAGCGGACCCTCTGCTTTCATAAATCACATGAGTATCCAATAGTCTCCTCTTCACCCTGTAATTTGGAATGAAAAAATCTCTTGTGCATAAACTGCTTTTCCTGAATCTAATACAATTAATCCAGAAGAGAAGTGGGAATGGATATCAGGTTTTTTTTCCTTCAAATTTTGTTGTTAATTAAAAAAACAATTATCAAGGATTTCTAATTACTTTATAAGTGCTGTATGGCCTGTACCTGCTCCTTAGCAAATTAGTAAGATAATGCTGGAAACATCTTATTAAACAGAATTACCCTTTCTGTTCTTCCAGATTCACACATCTACTTAATGGGCCTCTTCTTATGCAACACCTTTGTGAAACATTTATATCTATTAAGTTATCTCACAGTTATTAGCATTGTGCATTGGTTTCTAATTTTTTTTTTTTTACCCAGGACCTAATAAATTGATAGACTACTATAAGGTTGAGTAGAAACAGACACAAACTCTTCAGATCTTTAAAAATATTCCTCTAGAGTAAGTGGGTGCTCTGGAAATTATAAACTCTGATGTAGGGTATAGAGACTCATTGAAAAGATGATACCTAAAGGAAAATAGGGCCCAGAGGTCCACAGAAGTTTCGTGGGACAGAATGGGAATCTCTGTAATCAGGGACTGACAGGTGAAAGGCTATCCTATGGTCTGTATGTCTCCTCCAAAACTCATGTTGAAACTTAATTGCCATTTTAACAGTGTTGAGAGTTGGGACCTTTAAGAGGTGATTAGGTCATGAGGACTCTGTTTTCATGAGTGGATCAATGCTATCAATACAGGAGTGGGTGCATTATCTTGAAAGATTAGCCCCTTTCTCTCTGGTCTTGGTGCTTACTTACCCTTCTGCCATGTTATGACGTGGCAAGAAGACACTTACCAGATGAGGCCCCTCAATCTTAGACTTCCCAGCCTGTACAACTGTGAGCCAGGTAAGTCTCTTTTCTTCATAAATTACGTAGCCTGTGGTATTCTGTTATAGCAACAGAAAACAGACTAAGACAAGCTAGAAGCAAAATGTGAGCCATTGGAGAAAGCTGACAAATGGAGCACATGAATGGGAGGGGTGACTGTGGACATCAGATCTGTCTGTGATATGCTGCTCAAAAAAACAGCAGATGGGGATGCAACTACTTCAGGGTTTCACAGAATATGTCAAGGTCTGCAGCCCATCCTTTTCAGTTTAAGCAGAGTCAAGCTGAGAATGGAAAAGCAAGCTCCTGAAATATAGGGAATCATGACATCCTAAGTTTTAAACCATCTTTGAGAAGAGCATTGTACATCATATAATCTATCCTAGAACTATATGATGTTGGGGTTTGAATAGGTAGTTAAAGATTTTTTGTATTTTATAAATTTGAAGTAACTTTCATTTCATCTGGGTATATTTTTGTTATATTGTATGGCAGTTGCCAAATGAATCATCATTTCACGGTGATGGCACTCACTGCAATTTTTGTTGTTATTCAGTACTCTGTTGTTCTAGGAGCTGTGTCAAGATCACAATTTTGTTACCACAAATTGTCATATGAGGTTTGCTAGCTCATTCAGGAACACTGAGTGTATGCAGGGGAGCTGGGAGTAAGCCTAACATTCCCTCCCCTCTTCCCTACAGCTGCAGTTATCAGTCCACCAGGCCGTGAGTATCTAACAGAGATCAATCTGCAAATGCTTTGATGGCATGTATGCCAAGTCAGTATTTACCAGAGTGAGAGTCTCATTTTGGCATGCATCACTCATGAAATATTTGTAGACTGTGGGGAAGTTTATGGAAATCCTTTTATTTGTAGGAATGAAAAAAAATTCATCATGAATACATAGTACTAGTAGGGATTTTGAGAGAACACTGGGTCCAGGTTTGAATTTCAAATTAGACTCAGAAAAATTTCACTGAGATATAGAAAAACACCAAATAGAATTTAAGAATTGTAAAGCACACACATTGACTAAAAGGTAAAGGATTTGAGATCATCGGACAAGAAGTGAAGGTTGAAAAGTAGTTCAGTAAGTGATAGGATGAGTAGGTGGCCCTTACGAAGATCTCCCTTACTGGGGCCATTTAACTGAGGGAGTGATTGGATGGATGGATGTCGCCTATGAAGGGTTTCTTTGTGCCTGAGCACAGCTGGAAGGGGGTTTTCTCCCTGTGTCAGTGGGATGTACAAGGGAGAGCAGAGGCAGACTGGGGCGCACTGAGCAGTGGCAGAGTGGGGCGCATTGAGCAGAGGCAGAGTGGAGCAATGGCAGAGTGAGGCGCGTTGAGCAGTGGCAGAGTGGGGCACACTGAGCAGACGCAGAGTGGGGCGCGTTGAGCAGTGGCAGAGTGGGGCGCATTGAGCAGTAGCAGAGCGGGGTGCATTGAGCAGTAGCAGAGCGGGGCGCATTGAGCAGAGGCAGAGTGGAGCAGTGGCAGAGTGGGGCGCATTGCCAGACAGGCAGCTCACGCACAGAACTGGAGGAGGAGCATGGGCATCGGGCGGATCGGGAGGACGGGCGGCAGGAAGTCCCGGGCACCCAGAAAAGCTCCCAGTGGACTCTGCAGGTTGCTAATGAGATAGGAATCCTTTGTCACAGTAATTAGGTTCATAAATCCGCAAGTTTCTAAATTTGCTGGAAGCAGTAATAAAAGAAGTCTCTGCTACTTTGAAATAAGTTTTTCTTCCTTCATTGTCTTCCACCAATGGACCTTGGGCAGCAAGAAGTTAGGTCTGATCAAGGTTGTCTGAAAGAGATGAGAGAGGGGAAATGAAGGGAGCACAAGACATACTGGATCCCCTTATACGGTTTATCTAAGGCCGAGCAGTTCATATAAATTACCTGGAATGTACTTTATCTCCATCCTCCAACACAATTCTTTTAAGGTTTTCCATGGAAAGTCTTCACTCTTTATAAATTTATCCCACTAGCATACATTTGTTTTTATTCTCTCTTTATTTCACATACCTATTAGGCTATCCTTCTGTTTGGGGTTGGGCCCCATCTTGTTCTTTGTGACTTTCTTTATTATGCTAAGCTATTCTGGACACAATAGATTCTCAATAAATGTTTATTTAATAGATTAATAAGATTGTATTTGTATTCCTCCTTACATCTCATCTAAAAAGGAGGTGTTTTCTTATTATAAATGTAGTGTTAATTGTTAAAAAAATTGAGATTTTTTTTTTAATGGCCTCCTTAATGCAGGCATAGTTTGTTATTGGGGCTTTTTCATTACATCAGGAAAAATACTTTTAGGTATTTCCCTTCTAACCAAGAAGTGTACTAAAATATAAATTAACTTTGACTTTATAATACAAATATATTTTATGGAAATCTTGTTTTTTTCAGAGCCTATAAAGGTATGCTGCAGTAATATAGAGTAAGTCCAAAGTTGTTTTTATCCCAGTAAAAACATTTTCTTCAAAATGCACTTATTTCTGGGTTGTAATATTTTCATTTATAGGATAAGGATAATAATACCTCTTTCACTGATCTCTTAAATTTATTGTGATAAATAATGAATTAAAGTTATAAGATGTCAAGCCTTATGCAAACATTAGAATATAAGGACTCTTCGTTATTTCATTTATTCACTCAGTGCATTTTAAAGCACTTGTTTGTAAGAAAGCTAGTAGGTGCAGGTGTTATAGGGCAGGGGTCTCCAATCCCTGGGCCCAGGTTGATGGCCTGTTAGGAACTGGGCTACACAGCAGGAGGTGAATGAGCAAAGCTACATCTGTATTTACAGCTGCTCGCCATCAATTACATTACTGCCTGACCTCTGTCTCCTGTCAGCTCAGCAGTGGCATTAGATTCTCACAGGAGCATGAACCCTAATGTGAATTGTGAATGCAAGGGATCTAGGTTGTGTGCTCCTTATGAGAATCTAATGCCTGATGATCTGCCACCACTTAGTTGCAGGAAAACAAGCTCAGGGCTCTCACAGATTCTACATTATGGTGAGTTGTATAATTATTTCATTATATATTACAATGTAGTAATAATAATAATAGAAAAAAGTGTACAATAAATGTAAAGCAATTGAATCATCCTGAAACTGTCCCCTCTACCCCACCACCATCCCCCAGTCCATAGAAAAATTGTCTTCCATGAAACTGGTCCCTGGTGCCAAAAAGGTTGGGGACCACTGTAGAGGATTCGAAGATACATAAGGACCTAATTTTTCTCCTCTCCAGACAGGTGCCTATTCATTTTATAACATCCAAAATTGTTAGCCTAAGTAGATAATCTTACGTGTAAACCAGCAGACCATGTAAGAGAGAGCAGATTTCAAAATTTAGTAAAAAGGTAAGTCTGGCTTCATGATATAAGTCTCTGGAAGGAAGAAGGCTTCAGGAAGTTAGGAAAATTTTCAGCGATGGTCTCATAGCTATAAAGCTGCAGATTAAAGCACTGAGAAAGAAAAGGTGGTAGTGCCCAGAGAAAACTATCTTCTGATATTTGAGGGCCCATACTGTGCAAAACACATTTGATTCATTCTCTGTGGTTGGCTCCATGGGGCAGAGTAGGAGCAATAAAGGAAAATTACAAGGGCACAGATTTCAGAATATTACAAGGGAGAAATTTCTAATGTGCTAAGCTATCCAGAACTAGAGTAGGCTGCCTGAGGGGTGATGAGTTTCTTGTCACTGGAAGAGTTCAACCGCAAAATGCACTACCTTTTGCTTGAATGGGAGGCCTTTACGGTATTTTACAAAGCTGAATTACTGATACAATAAGTCTACTCTCCAAGTTGGTCTCATTAAGCTGTGAGCTTTCCTTCTCCTGCTGCCATTTTGAGATCTCCTGTTCCAGCTCCTTCCTCCCGAGAAGAAATTGGAGAAAATGAAGGATAAGCCTCCTTTAATATTAATTCCGTATTAAGTGTGGAGAGTTTCTCTATCAAGAGGAGTTTTCTATTTAAAGATAAACCTAGGGTCACAGATTTATGTTTTTACATATCATTATTTTCATTTTAAATGGAAACGGAGGTCTTTAATGTGGCACTCATATTATTTCTTTTCATTTTCCAAATATAAGTAAATAGCGATGGAGTGAGTGTTTTTGCCTTGATACAGCAATCTGTTTTCCTCCTCTGTTCTCAATCAGACAGTTTTAAATTTTGGTTAGCTGCGTAAACACACTGTGATGGACGACATTAATAAATAAGTATTACACTGGCTCTGCTTGAGCAGTCCTTCTTCATCTTTATCTTTTTTGTTTAAATCCTGTGGGGTCTTAGAATGCTCTTTATGGAGATCAAGAAGATTAAGCAAAATTAGCTCTCAACTACATAATGGGCTTCTCTCTCCTGGCATGTGTCTCCCCTCTCTGCACGTGGTGACTCCCCCTGATATCAACAGGATATTCACAGATGGAGGGAAAAATTATGTTCTGGGAGAGCAGGGCACACAATGAGATTTCAGCTTTCTCTTTCGTTTCTAGCAGTATATAGCTTGAATAGGAATCCAAAATGAAAATGATAAGTAAATCAGCTAGCTACTTAAAGATACTTTCAAATTCATCTGTTTCCCAGGGCAGACTGACCTGTTCAATCTTGAAGCTGGAAGTATCATCCTAGTCTTGAGGACATCTAAACCACAGCTTCATAAACAGATGATACCTTAAAAGAGGTTATTTGCTGGGAGAACTATGCTTTACCCATGTCAAACAGTGAAATTCATGCTGTTTATAAAGTTCTCCAGAGAGAGACTGGCTTACTCATGGGCAGAGTCGGCAGCTGCCTGCATGGAATAACTTGAGAATCAATGAGAGGCCCCCATGCTTTAAAATCCATCTCCCTCATCAGTCTGCAGTGGTGCCTGAAATTTCCACCATTACTATCATTTCTTAAAAGCCTTTAAGCGGACATATGCCCTATTATCTTGAGGGAGGTAGCATTAATTAACTACGTAACATATTAGAATGGATGAGTTTTCTTGTTAATAACCCATTACAACCATTGACACCCAGTAAAGATCAGGGCTCTGAAGAAATAGAGGCAAGTGCAGGTAAGTTTTAATGGAGAATTAGAAGACAGTGAATCACAGTGTATGTGTTGGGGTATTATGCAGGTCTTATGTGGGTGTGGGGGATCTAATATAGGGATAACCAGTGGGGAGAAAGAAGACACTGAGCATTTTATCTCAGATAGTGGGGTGTGCATGGCCCCCAAATAAGAGAAATGGAAAACAAAAGGAAATGTGTGGATGACAAAGTTTATTTACCTCATAATATTGCTAGCCCTGGCCTTAGTCCTCCAGAAAAGTTCATTTTGTTAATCACCACTCGTACAGTGATTTTAAACTACCTTATATGGTCTTATATGAGGGTAGAGGATATTTGTTTAATTCTAAATCAATGGAAATGGAGAACTGGTTGTTATAATTTGGATGGCAATATTTCACTAACTTAATTTATTGACTTATAACATCCACTGGCTAAATAAGCATATTTATTTACTGGTTTCTTCAGAAGTATTATTCAAAAACATTTAACCATTTAATAATATGAAGCATTTATAGAGTTTAATTAGAATCAGAGAATTTTAGAGCTGGAATTGACGGTTCGAAATCTTTTGGTTTAACCCTATTACTTCAGAGATGAAAGAGATTACTTCAGAGACTCATTGTCATAAAGTGTCTTTATTTATTCCTTCATTTAGTCTATAGATCTTTATTCAGTATTGACTATGTGCTAGGCACAGGGATATAGTGGTAAGCAAAAATAGATCTATTCCTCACGGAGCTTATACTTTAGTGGGGGATGAAAACATTAATCAACTTATCACAAAAATATGTATAAAATAAAAATTATGATGAATGTTATTAAATGATATGCTTTATGAGAGAGTATTATAGGAGAGTGTGACCCCAATAGGAGTGGTGTTAGGAAAACTTCTTTGTGGAAATAATGCTTGAATAATATCTGAAGGTTGAACAGGGCTTCACTGAGCAAATAGGAGAAAGGAGAGCTGTCTAGGGAATAGGTAGAGAGTGTGCAAAGGCCCTGTTACAGGAAGATCATGACCTGTTTAAGAAATTAACAAAGGACCTGGGTGGTTTGAGCTGAGAGTGCCACTCAGAGTGAGTTTTGAGATGAGGCTGTAGAGGTAAACCAAGGCTGCTCATGTAGGGCTCTATTCAGGATTTTGGACCTTATCCTGGGAACAGTGCAGAAGAGACTGGAAAGGGATTCCTATGGATTAGGAGGCTAAAACAGTGAGTGAGCCAAAAAAATCTCAAAAGCCCAGCAGTGACGTTCCCAAGGCTGAACAACTGTGGTAGAACTGGCATTACTTCTAGGTTCCTTGATGAACAGGACTGCGTTGTTCTTACTCATAACAGGTATTTGTTGCTTTTTGAACTCTGCATAATCCATTTATCCCACTTCCATTTTATTTGGGGGCTATTCCCCTTCTCACAACCAGTTCCTGTGATTTGAGTAGAGCTGACTCGATTCTCAGCTCCAAGGATG